>NC_000014.9:105671717-105974717 GCF_000001405.40 Homo sapiens
AAGGTTGGGGAGGTGGAAATTTCTATTCCAAGGGTGTGATTCTGCCTTGGCCAAGACTCCCAACCCATTAAATGGTACAAATTCTTCCTGGACCCCGAGTATGGCCAGGAATAATAAAACGAAACTAACTTCTACTCACATCCTAAAATGGACACAGGGCTCCCTCATCTCCCCACGGGCAGGCCGAGGAATGAAGAAAGAAAGGTCGTTCTCAAGTCAGACCCCGATTGTCCTGTCTTGGGGAAAAAAGCGGGGAGGTGGGGGAGACGTCCTGACCACCCTAATAGGTTAGGTCAGGCGCTTCCCAGTGGCCTTCAAAAAATAAATAAATAAACCGCCCCTACCATTGAAGTAGGAGACGTGTCAGGGCAGCCACTGGGGGACGGACAGAAAAGAGAGAAAAGAGAGAAGCTGTGGAAGCTGAGTGTTTTCTGTGGAGGAGTTAATGAGAGTCACTCCTGGGAGAAATCCTTCCCAAGGATCCCCACCCCACCACAATCAGAGCATGAGTCTTTCAGTTGAACTGTGTTTCTCCTTGAGAGAGCACGGATGGAGGGACCCCAGAAGGGGTGGTGGTGCTGGTGGTGGTCATGGCCTCTGCGGCCCTGGCGAGAGCACCGCGGGGGTCGAGAGGCCAGCCACGCCGATGGAAGGGATGTGCACCTGGGCGCCGCCACTGGACGGAAGCTGGCAGGAGAGCTTGGCCGGGCTGCGGGGCGCAGCGGGACTCAGGCTGCTCCGGAAGTGAACGCTGGGAGGCAGCGAGCTGGGTGTCAGCAGCGCCGGGGTCAACGTGTGCGTAGGAAGCAGGGACAGGGTCAGCGCCGGCCTCGGCGCCTGGAGGCCGGAGCCAGTTCCCGATCCTGGGGTCCGTTCGGGTCCCGGCGCACCTAGCAGGCTCGGGCTGAGTGGAAGCTCTAGGTCCCGGGGCTTCCGGCCCTTCTGCGGCTGGGAGATCTGAGGGCTGGAAGCCGCGTGGCCGCCCGCCTGCCCTGCGGTGTCCATAAGGACCTCGGCAGCCACGCTGGCACGCCCTCCTGTGGAGGGACTTCAGGCTCGGCCTTGGCGGTTTCTGGCACGAACCCTCTCTCCCCCGCGAATTCCAGCTCTTCCTCGGGCCCTTCCACTTCCACTTCCGGGGGCAAAGGGCGGCGCAAGCCCGGCTCCACATTCGGCTCTTCCAGTTTCGGGTTTGGGGCCTCGGGCGGGGTCAGGATGACCTGCAGAGGGAAGCCGGCTTCCTCAGCCTCCAGGCAGGCCTCCCAGGGGCTTGGACTGCAGGAGCTGCGTTGGGGAGCACCGCTGCAGGCCGAGGCTGAGGGGGTGGCTGCGGCTGCAGAGACTGGATGGTGAAGGTGGAACAGAGGCCCGAGCGCATGTACTTGTTCCGGCTGTTGCGCGCCAAACCGCCAGGGCCTGCCATTCCTGCACCCTTGGGTGTGCCTGGCTTTCCTGAGGCAGTGCCCCCTGGGGCGGCATGTGCAGCAGCAGGGGCCACAACTGCCATGGTGAAGTAACCGACACCTCTGGGTGGGGCGGGCAGTCCTCACTCAGTGGAGCACCCTGCGACCTCAGGATAGGACACAAACTTGTAGACTTAATGCCATGTCAAATTTGTTCTCTATCTTGAGCGGGGATCCAGAATCGAATAGTAAAAGAACATTAACTCCAGAGGCCACGAAAGAAATTGAATTAGTTGAAGAAAAAATTCAGCCAGCACAAGTAAATAGAATAGACCACTTAGCCCCACTCCGACTTTTGATTTTTGCTACTGCACATTCTCCAACAGGCATCATTGTTCAAAACACAGATCTTGTGGAGTGGTCCTTCCTTCCTCACAGTACGATTAAGACTTTTACATTGCACTTGGATCAAACGGCTACATTAATTAGTCAGGCAAAATTACGAATAATAAAATTGTGTGGAATTGACCCAGATAAAATCATTGTTCCTGTAAACAAGGAACAGGTTAGACAAGCCTTTATAAATTCTGGTGCATGGCAGATGGGTCTTGCTGATTTTGTGGGAATTATTGATAATCATTACCCCAAAACGAAAATCTTCCAGTTTTTAAAATTGACTACTTGGATTTTACCTAAAATTACCAGACAGAAACCTTTAAAAAAATGCTCTGACGGTGTTTACTGATGGTTCTAGCAATGGAAAAGTGGCTTACACTGGGCCAAAAGAACGAGTCACTGAAACTCAATATCACTCAGCTCAAAGAGCAGAGTTGGTTGCTGTCATTTCAGTGTTATAAGATTTTAATCAGCCTATTAGCATTGTATCAGATTCTGCATATGTAGTACAGGGTACAAAGGATGTTGAGACAGCCCTAATTAAATATAGCATGGATGATCAGTTAAACCAGCTGTTTAATTTGTTACAACAAACTGTGAGAAAAAGAAATTTCCCATTTTATATTACTCAATTCGAGCGCATACTAATTTACCAGGGCCTTTAACTAAAGCAAATGAACAAGCTGACTTGCTAGTGTCATCTGCCTTCATGGAAGCACAAGAACTTCATGCCTCAACTCATGTAAATGCAACAGGACTAAAAAATAAATTTGGTATCACATGGAAACAGGCAAAAAATATTGTACAGCATTGCACCTAGTGTCAAGTCCTACACCTGCCCACTCAGGAGGCAGAAGTTAATCCCAGAGGTCTATGTCCTAATGCGTTATGGCAAACGGATGTCACACCTGTACCTTCATTTGGAAAATTATCATTTGTCCATGTGACAGTTGATACTTATTCACATTTTGTATGGGCAACCTGCCAGACAGGAGAAAGTACTTCCCATGTTAAAAGACATTTATTGTCTTGTTTTGCTGTCATGGGAGTTCCAGAAAAAATTAGATAATGGGCCAGGATACTGTAGTAAAACATTTCAAAAATTCTTAAATCAGTGGAAAATTACACATACAACAGGAATCCTGTATAATTCCCAAGGACAGGCCATAATTGAAAGAACTAATAGAACACTCAAAATCTCAACTGGTGAAACAAAAAGAAGAAAAAGACAGGAGTATAACGCTCCCCAGATGCAACTTAACCTAGCAATCTATACTTTAAATTGTTTAAACATTTATAGAAATCAGACCACTACTTCTGCAGAACAACATTTTACTGGCAAAAAGAGCAGCCCACATGAAGGAAAACTGATGTGGTGGAAAGACAACAAAAACAAGACATGGGAAATAGGGAAGGTGATAACATGGGGGAGAAGTTTTGCTTGTATTTCCCCAGGAAAAAACCAGCTTCCAATTTAGTATCTACAACTTACAGAAGAAGTTGCCATCCACCAAGGAAGCAAAGCCACTGACCTGGGGCCAAATACAGGAGCTGACACAGTTAGCTAAGAAAAGCCTGAAAAAAACAAAGTCTACAGGTATATCCCGCAGCTCTGAAGAGACAGCGACCAGCGAGAAGGGGCCATAATGACGATGGCGGTTTTGTCAAAAGGAAAGGGGGCTATGTAGGGAAAAGAAAGAGAGATCAAACTGTTACTGTGTCTATGTAGAAAAGGAACACATAAGAAACTCCATTTTGACCTGTACCCTGAACAACTGCTTTGCCCTGAGGTGTTAATCTGTAACTCTGCCCCAGCCACTTTGCCCCAACCTGGAGCTCACAGAAACCTGTGCTGTATGGAATCAAGGTTTCAGGGATCTAGGGCTGTGCAGGACGTGCCTTGTTAACAAAGTGTTCACAGGCAGTATGCTTGGTAAAAGTCATCGCCATTCTCCAGTCTCGATGAACCAGGGGCACAATACACTGCGGAAAGCCGCAGGGACCTCTGCCCTGGAAAGCCGGGTATTGTCCACGGTTTCTCCCCATGTGACAGTCTGAAATATGGCCTCGTGGGATGAGAAAGACCTAACCGTCCCCCAGCCCGACACCCGTGAAGGGTCTGTGCTGAGGTGGATTGGTAAAAGAGGAAGGCCTCTTGCAGTTGAGATAGAGGAAGGCCTCTGTCTCCTGCCTGCCCCTGGGAACGGAATGTCTCGGTATAAAACCCGATTGTACATTTATTCTATTCTGAGATAGGAGAAAAACCACCCTGTGGTGGGAGACGAGACATGCTGGCAGCAATGCTGCCTTGTTATTCTTTACTCCACTGAAATGTTTGGGTGGAGAGAAACATAAATCTGTCCTATGTGCATGTCCAGGCATAGTACCTTCCCTTGAACTTATTTGTGACACAGATTCCTTTGCTCACGTTTTCTTGCTGACCTTCTCCCCACTGTCACCCTGTTCTCCTGCCGCATTCCTCTTGCTGAGATAGTGAAAATAGTAATTAATAAATACTGAGGGAACTCAGAGGCCGGTGCCGGTGCAGGTCCTCTGTATGCTGAGCGCCGGTTTCCTGGGCCCACTGTGCTTTCTCTATACTTTGTCTCTGTGTCTTATTTCTTTTCTCAGTCTCTCGTCCTACCTGATGAGAAATACCCACAGGTGTGGAGGGGCTGGCCCCTTCAGAATTCTTCTAGTTTTCTCTAATATCAGGCAACAACTCTGCAAACTAATTTTTCCCTCACCCTCTGACTTGGAATCAGTCAAATTTAAAACTGCCCTTTTCCTGAAGCCCTGTGAGCTGAAATGGGACAAGTTGATGTAAACTTCAGAGAAATCATCCCCACAGATCCTGTGCGGGCAGCTTCTGCAACACCTGACCTGCAAATCAGGAAGGCCCTTCAGCTGCCTACCTGGCTGCAGCTGAAGATGCTTCAGGCCCAGCGTCTAGAAATCTTCTGGCCTGGTGCCCACTGGGCTCAGAAACTGCATTTCTAAGTGTTAACCTTTGTGTTTCATTTATTTTCAGAGTCTCTCCTCTTCGAATGTCCAACTGCTAGCACCATGCGGCGAAATGTCCTCTTCTATCCAGTCCCAACAGAAAATCCAGCTGGTTCTTAATGAACGAAAGGCCACCCAACAAGAAAATGGACTTATATTGTTGGAGGGAAACGAGAATGTCTCCTCTTTCCTTAAACAGTGTGGACTGACAAAGATTCTCTGCTTGGCTAAACTGCAGTCGGGCTCTGGAAACTTCTCCTAGGCCGGCCTGCACTTCCTTGTAAGAAAAAGGCTTTAAAAAGTACCCGGTGGGGCCCGGAGCGGTGGCTCATGCCTGTAATCCCAGCACTCTGGGAGGCTGAGGTGGGCTGATCATCTGAGGTCAGGAGTTCCAGACCAGCCTGGCCAACATGGTGAAACCCTGTCTCTACTAAAAATACGAAAATTAGCTGGGTGTGGTGGCACGCGCCTATAATCCCAGCTACTCGGGAGGCTGAGGCAGGAGAATTGCTTGAACCCAGGAGGCAGAGGTTGCAGTGAGCCAAGATCGTGCCACTGCACGATGACACGTGCCACTGCCTGGTGACAGAGTGAGACTACGTCTCAAAAAAAAAAAAAAAAAGAAAAAAAAAGAACCCCCCTAAATCAGGTTAAAGACCCACTCTTGACATTTGATCACCCTTGATCCTGAGTTCCTCATCTTCCACCATCTCCCAGGTCTGATCACCCTGGTCTGTCTTCAGCAAAAATCTTCCTGGGCTAATTTAGCCAGAACCCTCCTTCCCCCCAATATTTCCTCTTGGGAATGTCCGTCCTCCGAGTTTACCCAGCTCCCTGGCTGTCAATCCCCGCCAGCCCATGCTGTGTTAAGAACTGAGCCCCATCTCTCTCCCGCATGGCCGTGGTCCCTGCTCCTGCGGCGGTGGTCCTGAATCACACCTGCCTCCGCATTGAACAACTATCATGGAATAATTTTTTCTTTAACATTTCTAAACACACTCTTAGGAGGCGCCAGCAGCCAGCGTGCGGAGTTAAGTGCCTGTGCCCTTTGTATGAAAGTGTCACCGTTGTCCTGGTCTTGAGGGGTGGCTTTCGGGTGTAAACGGCCGGCAGAGGTGAGTAGATGCTGGGAGGCTGCTCCAGGCGTCTTGTTTGCTCCAGGGTTCTTGAGACTCTCCTGTCTATGAGAACGTGCAGTGGCACGGGACGGCCGCCGGGGGGCTCCCGAGTCCGGCTCTGGAGTCTGTGGCCGCGCGAGTGCACCTGCCTGGGCCGGCCCTGACGGATTTTTTTTTTTTTTTTGATAGAGTCTCACTCTGTCTCCCAGGCTGGAGGGTAGTGGCGCGATGGCAGCTCACTGCAACCTCCGCCTCCCGGGCTCAAGCGATTCTCCTGCCTCAGCCTCCCGAGTAGCTGGGACCACAGACACCCGCCACCACGTCCAGCTAATTTTTGTGTTTTTAATAGAGACCGGGTTTCACCATGTTGGCCTGGCTGGTCTCTCCAACTCCTGACCTCAGGTGACCCACCCACCTCTGCCTCGAAAAGTGCTGGGATTACAGATGTGAGCCACCACGCCCGGCCTCCTTTTGGATGCTTCTAAAGTCTCTTTGCCTCTGGTGTTGGCAGCTCCATCGGCAAGCGTCAAGGTGTGGACGTGGAGTTTGCTTTTATTTATCCTGCTTGGGACTTGGCCTTGATCCTGACGCGTCCTGTTATTCAGCGATTTTGGAAAATTCCCAGCCACTGCCTCCCCCGACTCTGTTTCTCCTTTGGGCAGAAGAAGCCCTTGTGGGAGCCTCCGTCCAGCCTCCGCGGGGCTGCGCTCGGGCTGGGTGGCGTCTCCTGCTCTTTCTTCGGTGTTACCAGCTCCCGCTCCTGCGTGTCCTCTGCGCTGCCTGTCCCATCCATTCTTATTTTAGCCTCATCTATTACGGTTTTCAATTCTAGAAGTTCTTCGTAAAACTCTCAGGTCATTTCAAAATGCAATGTGCAGTAATTTCCCATTTTGCAGTAATATTTGAATAGCTTCTGTAAGTAAGTTTAAAAAATCTCTTGGCCGAGCGTGGTGGCCACGCTGTAATCCCAGTACTTTGGGAGGCTGAGGCAGGAAGATCATGAGGTCAGGAGATCGAGACCATCCTGGCTAACACGGTGAAACCCCGTGTCTACTAAAAATCCAAAAAAATTAGTCGGGCGTGGTGGCGGGCACCTGTAGTCCCAGCTATTCAGGAGGCTGAGGCAGGAGAATCGCTTGAACTCGGGAGGCGGAGGTTGCAGTGAGCCGAGATCGCACCACTGTACTCCAGCCTGGGCGACAGAGCGAGACTCCATCTCAAAACAAAACAAACAAAAAAACCCTCTGAAGCACACATTGCATATTCTATGTCTGATAACGCCGACATTTTGCTTTTGTTTGGGTTCTTATTCTATAGTTTCTTGTTTCACTGATTCTTGTTTCTGCTTCTTTAGGGCTTTTCTGATTTGTATGTGAGCTGGGTTCCTGGGATCCTGATCTGGGCGCGTCTTTTAGGCTTGCCTCTGAGGTCCGCTGTCCCCGCATGAGCGGACGGCAGAGCGCGCCTGCCTGGGAGCCCAGGAGGCTGCCGGGCCAGGGACCCCGGGAACCCCGGGAACCCCGGGAACCTCTCAGCAGCAGAACTGCAGTGGCACAAGACGGCCACCAGGGGGTCCCGAGCCGGTCTCTGGGGTCCCTGCTGGGGTTGAGGGGCTGTGGCTGCAGACGCGGACCTGGCAGGGGGACCCGAACCCCAACAGGGCCCTGACCGGCCCCAAGGCTGAGCCTGCCCTGTCCCACCAGCGCCCAGACCCCGATGTTGGGCCGGGGCCTTCCTTTCCTTGTCCCGGCCCTCTGAGGTTCGTCCCCGGGGTGTGAGCTGATTCTGAGCACACGGAGGCCTTCCTCCTCTCTGGGGCTCTGGAGCCCCTGGGGGCCTGCAGGGCCTGGGCCTGGGCCTGGCTGCTGTCCTCTGTGCTCAGGAGGGCTTCTCCCACCCACCCACTTCCGGGCACAGCCCCCAGCCCCACACCCAGCCGCCGGGAGGGCATCCCCAGGGGAGGACCCTCTGCTCCGGAGCCGCGTCCCTTGTCCTCCAGGGACAGTGGCCGGAGGCTGGTGCCTCAAGCTCGTGCGCCTCATGCAGCATCCCGTGGGTCCATTCGCGACCATAGTGAAGACCCGCAGGCCCCAGGCCCGAGCCGGCTCCCGGGCAGGCCGCGTTCTGGGGCTTCCGCGGGGACACTGGGCCACGCCAGGAGGAAGGGTCCTGACCAGGGTCAGGGAGCATCGGATGCTGCCGGCAGAAGTGGGGGGCGCGGGGCCCCACCGAGGAGCCCAGGCCAGCTTCCCCATCTGCCCCAGGTGCAGCCTTGCAAGGCCCCCAGGCCACAGCGTCCCCAGGTCACAGCGTCCCCACACCCAGGGAATGCAGGACTTTGGCAGAGGCTGGGATCCCAGACCACAGAGCCCCACAAGCTGATGCCTGTTCGCGGATGCCACAGCCACCTCCGCGGCAGGCGCTGGGGAGGGGAGGGGATCACAGTGCTGGACACGGACCGGGCCCCAGCCCTGAGCCCAAGGCAGAGCCGGGATCCGGCCCCGAGAGCACGCCTGGCCCTGCCCCTGGCCCTGGCCCTGCCCCTGCCCCTGCCCCTGCCCCTGCCCCTGCCCGTGCCCCTGCCCCTGCCCCTGCCCCGAGCCCGGGAAGCGCCGCGTGGTCGGCGGCGTTCGATGCTGCTGTCGGCCACACGGGGGCAGCAGAGCCTCAGCGGCTGCCGCAGCGGGTCCAGTTTCCGGCCGCCGGGGTTGGGCTGGCGGTGCCTGGGGGTCCTCCCCAGAGGCCCGCGTGTGAAACGTCCGAGTGCGCTGGGCGCTGGACACGGAGATGGGTGCTTGGGCCACGGGCCTGGGGGACCCCACACGGCCGGCTAGGCAGGCCCAGACAGCCCAGGGTGGGGGTTCCATGGGGGCAGGAGGGGAGAAGCCTGGGCTGTGGAGCAGCTGGGACGTCCGGGGAAGGGCCTGGGGGTCAGAGGGGCGGCTCCCGGGACAGGGAGGCACGTGGAGGGGCGGGGTTTGTGGCAGCCCCGGAGCCGCCTCTGAAGCTTCCATCTGCAGCCTCCTGTGGGGCCGGGTCTGCTTCTCTTGCTGGGCACCCACATCCACCCCCGAGGGGTGTGCGACAACCCCCATTCCAGCCCACTCAGATGGTCTCTAGCCCCTCCCGTCACAGTGAACCCCGGTGTCGGTGCGAGACGCCTCCGTGTATTCCCGGACGTCCCTCTGCAGGCCCATCCCCACCTCACAGACAGTCACACCCTTCCAGGCCTTGCCCCATCCCCAGTCCCTGGCCTCACCATCGCATTGCAGGGAGGCGGGCATATGCAACCTCCATGAAATAAAGCCCTAACGGAGAAGGCCAGAGTGGGAACTTCGTTTCCACCAGCAGGTGGGGCAGACACCCTGGCTAGCCCCGGGGAAAACCAGTAAAAATACTGGATTTAAATCCCTTCGAATTCTCCTTTCTACAGGCAAGCTGTTTAGTGAGAAAGAAAGGGCCCTGCAAAGATCCTCCCCAGGTGGACGGGCAGCCCCCAAGCCTGTCTTGAGCTCCCGGACGCTGCTCCTGGGGAAGGGCCTGCCGAGGACAGGGGCCAGTGGGAGCCCCTGCCTGACCACAGGCTGTTCTGCAGCCCAGGTCAGGAGCGCTGGTGCCTGCCGTGTGGGGTGGCCCTGGTCCTGACCGCCTGGGGTCCCAGGTGGTCCCGGGTTGTAAGAGTCTGTGGTGCTTGTGAAAAGCTTGCACATCCTTCCAGGGGAGACTCGCGCGTGGGGCGAGGGCAGGAGCAGGAGCTCATAATCACACAGGAAAACAGGAAGCCCTGAACCCCGGGCTCGGGAAGCGGCGGGGCGTCAGGTTTGGAGGGGCTTCGTCTCCCACCACCTCCCCATTTGCACCCCCAGTCCCTGACCCGCATCTTTCCTCACCTGGTCACTGTCCCCCACCCTGTCCCCCACCCTGTCCCCCACCCTGTCCCCTGTCTGCCATCTCCCTCCCAGGAGGGGGCTGCTCCTGCCTAGCACGCGGTGCCCTTCCTCCCACGTCGCTTAATTATATTTGAAAATACAACATTTGAAACGTGCAAAGAATGGAGGGGCTTTTCTGTGAGTGCAGGGTGCCCCTCCCGTGTCCCCCCACCAGGGGGCTTCCCCGTCCAGCCCCGGCTTGTCCCTTTCATTTTAACAAAACGTCCTCACCACAGTGCATGTGTGTTTTATAAAAGCAGTATTGGAAGTTAATGCTTTTAATACAGAAGAAAAAAAAAACCCGAAACAATATAACTGTCCTAAGTGATGTTGAGTGGGGAGTGCCGGGTGGGAGTTGAATTGCGGGACCACGATCCCTCCACTTCCAGCCGGTCCTGGGGGTGTCATGTGACCCCTTCTGACCAGCCCTGGGCAACCTCTGGATGGACGGGTGGGGAGGGGCCGTGGAGGGGATCTGGGACCAGGAGAGAGAGAGCGTGGCCAGGCAGCCCCAGGAGGGCCCTCCAGAGCCCGAGTGGGCCTGCGTCTGTGGTCCCCAGGTGCGGTCCCTCGAGGTGGCGTGTGGGCCCCCCAGGCCCGCGCCCTGCGGTTCCAGCGCCTCCCCAAGCCTCTGTCCCTGCAGCCCCCACCCCCCCTGCACTTTCCTCTCCTTTGTCTGTGCTGGTGGTCCCTCTCTCACTGTCCCACACAACACCGCACCGCCCTCCCCCAGGAAAGCCTCCACCTTTTCTCTTAGTGAAATAGAAGCCCTTTCAAGGTGACATGTCACCTACTCACAGAACAGTGCCCCAACCCAGGACGCAGCCTGAGGCCCCTCAGGAGCATTGTGTGCCCCCAGGCCTGTCCCCAGTGGTCCCCACCGTGGGCCCACCACAGCTCCTGCTGTCAAGGGCAGCCTGGGTCTGAGCCCCGTCCCCCTGTGCAGGGCACGGGTCTGGGGGCTGGCTTGTCCCCTGCTGGGCGGTGGGCGGCCTGGGGTGTCTCCCAGACACGCTGCCTGCGGCCGGCTGGTGTGGACTGGGCCTGGTGGGCCAGGAGCTGCCCTCACTATGGCGACAGGATCGGGCTGCCAGGCTCCTGTGGGGGCTCAGCAGGAGGGGATGGGAGACGGCAATGCTCACGCCTGACCTGCTGCCCTTGGGGGAGCCGTGGTGCCACCTGGCCGGCCTGCCTGAGAGACCCCCACGGCTGGTGTGGGAGCCTGGGGGAGCCCTGGGCAGGTGGTGGGGCAGTGGGCAGAGGTGGCTGCAGAGGGACAGGGCCTGGCCAGGACGTCACCCTGAGGCCACTGGAGAGGTCAGCAGGGGCCCAAGGAGATGCAGGGATTGGCAGCTGGGGAGCACAGGGGTACCCCTGAGCCGTGGTACCCAAAGGTCATGAGCTGAGAGGGGAAAGGCCCAGAGCCGCTGGATGGTGGATTCTGGGCACCTGATCCGCAGGGCGTGGTGGCCCTCTGAGGGACCCCTCTGACAGACTGCAGGCAAGCTGTCAAGGGTGTGTATGTGTGAGGGTGTGTGAGAGTGTGTGGGTGTGTGAGAGTGAGGGTGTAAGGGTGTGTGTGAGAGAGTGTGTGAGGGTATGTGTGGAGTGTGTGACGGTGTGTGAGGGTGTGTGGGTGTGTGAGGGTGTGAGGGTGTGTGAAGTTTTCAGACTGTGAGGGTGTGAGGGTGTGTGAGAGTGTGTGAGTGAGGGTGTGAGAGTGGGGGGGTGTGAGAGTGTGGGGGTGTGAGGGAGTGTGAGGGTGTGAGGGTGTGTGTGGATGTGTGGGATGTGTGGGGTGTGTGTGCATGTGTGTGGATGTGAGGGTGTGTGTGGATGTGTGGGGTGTGGGGTGTGTGTGGATGTGTGGGAGTGTGAGGATGTGTGAGGGTGTGTTTGGTGTGTGGGGTGTGTGTGGATGTGAGGATGTGTGGGGTGTGTGGGGTGTGGGGTGTGTGTGGATGTGTGGGGATGTGAGGGTGTGTGTGCACGTGTGGGGTGTGGGGTGTGTGTGGATGTGTGAAGGTGTGAGAGTGTGAGGGTGTGTGGATGTGTGGGGTGTGTGAGGGTGTGTGAGGGAGTGGGTGTGTGGTGTGTGAGGGTGTGTGTATGTGTGTGAGGATGTGTGTGGATGTGTGTGGATGTGGGGTGTGGGGATGTGTGGGGATGTGTGGGAGTGTGAGGATATGTGAGGGTGTGGGGATGTGAGGGTGTGTGTGGGTGTGTGGGGTGTGTGTGGATGTGTGGGGATGTGAGGGTGTGTGTGGATGTGTGGGAGTGTGAGGATGTGTGAGGGTGTGAGGGTGTGTGTGGGGTGTGGGGTGTGTGTGGATGTGTGGGGGTGTGTGGGGATGTGAGGGTGTGTGTGGATGTGTGGGGGTGTGTGGGGTGTGGGGTGTGTGAGGGTGTGGGGATGTGAGGGTGTGTGTGGATGTGTGGGGTGTGTGGGGTGTGTGTGGATGTGTGGGGTGTTTGAGGATGTGTGTGGATGTGTGGGAGTGTGAGGATCTGTGAGGGTGTGTGGGGATGTGAGGGTGTGAGGGCTTGTGGGGATGTGTGGTGTGTGTGAGCGGCTGTGTGCACTGGCCGAGTTGCCTGCTGCTGTCCTGGCCTGGGGCCAGGCGTGTGCCAGCTCCTGTGTTTGTTGTGTGCCTGGCGTGTGCTGGGTGCCCGAGTCGGGCTGGGTGTGTCTGGGTGTGGCCCTGGGGTGTCCCTTTCTGGACGTGTGTCTCCGTGCAGAACGGAGGTCCTCGAGTTCCCAGAAGGAAGCCCCCAGCCCCAGGCGGGTGCCTGAGAATAGACCTGGGGCCTGTGGGCGTGGCAGGGCTGCCCCTCGGCTGCTCATGGACCCCCCGGACACCAGTCCCACCCTGTGTCTGTGATGCTCACTCTCTGAGCCTTCCCTGACCCCATGTGCCAAAGCCTGGCCCAGCAATGCCACGTGTGCATGTGTGAGCGTGAGCTTGGCAGCGGGTGGGAGAATGTGTGCGTCAGTGTGTGAGCGTGAGCACGGCCTGTGCTTGTCTGGCTGTGGGACTGGGGGCCTCTGTGACGCTGTGAGCCCTTGTGGACCTGAGTGTGGGCCGTGTGAGCTGTGTGCACGTGGCTGTGGCTGAGTGTGAGCCTCTGAGTGTGTGTGTCTGTGCCGTGTACCTCTGTGTGTCTGTATGTGTCTGTGTGTGCCTCTGACTTTATGTGTGTCTGTATCTATCTCTGTGTGTGTCTCTGCGTGTGGTAGCGTGTCTGTGCTTGTGTACCTGTGTCTGCGTGTGTCTCTGTCTCTGTGTGTGCCTATGCGTGTCTGTGTGTGGTAGTGTGTCTGTGCTTGTGTTTCTGTGTCTGTGTGTCTCTGACTCTGTGTGTGCCTATGTGTGTCTGTGTGTCTCTGTGTGTGTGGTAGTGTGTCTGTGCTTGTGTTTCTGTGTCTGTGTGTGTCTCTGTCTCTGTATATGTGTCTATGTGTCTGTGTGCCTGTATGTGTGTGGTAGTGTGTCTGTGCTTGTGTGTCTGTGTGTTTGTGTGTGTCTCTGTCTTTGTATGTGTGTCCGTGTGTGTGTGTGTGAGGTATATCTGTGTTTGTGTGTCTCTGTGTCTGTGTGTGTCTCTGTCTCTGTGTGTGTCTATGTGTATCTGTGTGTCGTGTGTGTGTGGTATGTGTGCTTGTGTTTCTGTGTGTTTGTGTGTGTCTGTCTCTGTATGTGTGTCTAGGTGTCTGTGTGTGTGTTAGTGTGTCTGTGTGTATTGTGTGTCTTTATGTCTCTAAGTCTGTCTATGTGTCTGTGTCTCTGTGTGTTTGTGTGTTCTGTGTGTCTCTGTGGGGTGTGCATGACTATATTTGTGGGAGGCTGTATGTGCAGGAAGGGCCCCCTGAGCCCTGTCACCCGGGCTGCACCCTGGGGGTCTTCCCAGGGATCCTTTCCTCAAACTTGAGTCCTCCCTGGAGGGCTTAGGTTCCACTGAGGGGGTGGGCGCAGGCACAGACCCCTCCTCTAGGAGGCTGGGGTGGGGCTGTCCTGCCTGGCTGGGACACGGGTCACAATGTCCCCCCATGTGGTCCACCCTGTTCTAGGCACAGGGTGTCATCTCCCAGGGTCTCAGCTGCTGGGGTGATGGGCCCCGGACAGCCCCTGGGTGTGGGGTGGGGTCCTATGGAGGCCTCTGTGTCCCACTGAAGATGCAGGGCTGGGGTTGGGCAGGTCTGTTCTGGGGTGGTCTCGTGGGGCAACCCCAGAGGGTCCTGAGGCCGGGGTAGGGTTGGGCGACCCCACCTAGGGTCTACGGGCTGAAAGCGCCTGGGTTGGCCAGGCCTGGGCACAGGGGAGGACAGAGGTTTGGTGACAGGTGGGCTGTGAGGGGCCCAGCAGGTGCACGGAGGAAGCTCTGTCCCCAGGTGACCCACAAAATCCTCTTCCGAGGGTGCTGGGGGTCCTGTTCCTGGGGGCCATGCCTGGGACCTCCATGCAGGGGTCTCCTCCCTGGCCCAGCTCCCCTGGGGCAAGGTCCGACTTGTTACCCCCTCCACCAGGCAGTCCTCTGGGAAGTGCCCTGGGGCCTGGTCACTCTGGGCCTGGCCACAGCATTGGCCTGGACATGGGGTGTGGCTGGGGAGTGTGAATAGTCAGGAATCCTGCAAACCAGCTGCCTGGGTGCCAGCCTTCCCCCCACCTCCCCCAATGCAAATCGCCATCTCGGAGGTGGGTGGGGGTTTCCACACCACTGTCCCACCTGCTCTGTGGTTCCCATTTTCAGCATTTTTAGAAATATTTGCAAGAATGTGTTTGTGCCTGTGTGGTGGGGTGGGGGTGGGAGCTGCGGCCCGGTGCCCATGAGGTCTTGTTTTTCAGACTGGACGGGGGTGGGGGAGGGGGAGCTGCGGCCCCCCCACCTGCTAGTGTGTCCAGCCTCCTGAGTGGGGCAGCGAGGGTCCTGGCTGGGCCCCAGGGCATGACCCCCGATGAGTGTGAGGCGCTGAGGCCGAGTCTGGTCCTTGGCGAGGAGGCCCAGAAGGCCCAGGTGCCCGTCCTGAGCGTTATCCAGGGCCCTGCCTCAGGCCTCATGCCGGGGCCAAGCCCAGGGCTGGCTGGTGGCCACGCAGAGGTGAGAGGGGCGGGGAAGTGAGGCTGGGTTGGAGGAAAGCTGAGGGGCCCAGGCCTCCCACTCCAGCCCCCGAGGCAGACCCTGGCCCACCCAGGGACCCCCTCCCATGCACACAAGCACACACAACACGTATATGGGCATGCGTGTGCACACACACTCGCTGCAGCCCGCAGCACTGGCTGGCCCAGGTGTCCTCGGGACGTGGTCCACGCGGTGCTGACACGAGCTGGCCCTGAGTGCGGGCTCTGCGGGGTGCCATTCCCAGGCCCTGCAGGGGCACATGCGGTGTCGTGGGGCAGCAACTGTGACCTCTGCCCCGCAGACCCGGACATGCCGCCAGAGAGGCCAAGGCGTACGCTCTCCGAGCCTTCCCTGACCCCATGTGCCAAAGCCTGGCCCAGCAACGCCATGTGTGCACGTGTGTGAGCTTGGCAACAGGTGGGAGAATGTGTGTGTTAGTGCATGAGTGTGAGCATGAGCGTGTGAGATGCAAGCGTGTGTGCAGTGAGTGGTGGATGAGCTGGAGGTGTGCGGTTGTGCGTGATGCGGACGGGTGTGTAGTGTGGACAGGTGTGTGGGGTGGACAGGTGTGTGGGGTGGACAGGTGTGTGGGGTGGACAGGTGTGTGGTGTGGACAAGTGTGCAGTGGGCCTGGCTCATTGTCACCGCCAGGACAAGGCCTTTGTCCGCACTGATAGGGCTGAGCAGGTGGTCCAGGCTGTGGTCAGGCAGCAATGTCCTGGCGTGGAGCAACAGGGGAGGCAGGTTCATGACACGGGGCAGGACAGTGGCCAGGGGCTGCAAGCGTGACCTGCGGGAGGGGGTGCCTGTGTGCGGGCATGTCTGTGTGTGTCTTTATGTGTCTGTGTGTGTGTGTGTCTCTATGTGTGTCGGTGTGTGTCTGTGCATCCACGTGCATGTGTGTCTGTATGTGTGTGTGCATATCCGTGTGTCTGTGTCTTTATGTGTCTGTGTGTGTATGTGTTTGCCTGTGTGTGTCTCTGTGTGTCTGTGCATCCATGTGGATGTGTGTCTATATGTGTGTCTCTGTGCACATATGTGTGTGTCTGTGCATGTCCGTGTGTGTCTGTGCATTTCTGTGCGTGTGTGTCTCTGTGCATGTCTGTGTGTCTGTGTGTGTGTGTGTCTGTGCATGTCTGTGCATGACTCTGTGTGTGTGTCTCTGTGCATGTCTGTGTGTGTCTGTGCGTTTCTGTGTGTGCATGTCTGTGTGTCTGTGCGTTTCTGTGTGTGCATGTCTGTGTGTCTGTGCGTATGTGTATGTGTCTGTGCACGTCTCTGCGTGTCTGAGTGTCAGGGGATGGCCTGTGCTTGGTTCGCAGTGCAGGCGGGTTTGCTCACACCTCCCCCGCAGGGCTGAGCCTCCAGACTCCCAGCCCCATACAGGCCCCAGCCCAGGGGGGAGCCGGGCGGCGCTTGGGGCCTGGAGCCCTGACCCGGGGAGTCGGGGCAGGACTAGCGTGGAGGCTCTGGTGACTCAGCCTCCTCGTATGTGTGCACTGCAGTTTGTCCTCCGTGCATCCCTTGGTGGACACTTGTGGGGCTTCCTGGGAGGCGGCCCCAGACTTGGACAGATTCTAGGACCCAGAGGGATGGGGCAGAGGCAGGGATGACAGAGACAGACACAAAGCAGAGAGACGGAGGCAGAGGGAGACATGCAGAGTCACGGAGACATCCGGGCTCAGGCCCCGACTCTCAGGGGCCACCCCCAGGGAGGACACGCAGTGCACCCCCACACCCACACCTCACACACACACTCACACCCACATACCCCCATCCACACACACCCAGAGACACACAGACACCCACAGCCACACACTCACACTCACGAACTTATCCAGTCACCTTTCCAGCGAGGCAGGGATGACAGAGACAGACACAAAGCAGAGAGACGGAGGCAGAGGGAGACATGCAGAGTCACGGAGACATCCGGGCTCAGGCCCCGACTCTCAGGGGCCACCCCCAGGGAGGACACGCAGTGCACCCCCACACCCACACCTCACACACACACTCACACCCACATACCCCCATCCACACACACCCAGAGACACACAGACACCCACAGCCACACACTCACACTCACGAACTTATCCAGTCACGTCCCACACACTCCCACCCAACCCATACACCACACACCTACACAACTCATACACCACACACTCACACTCACAAACTATATACCACACACTCACACACCCATATACCAAACACGCACAACCCATACACCACACACTCACACTCACAAACTATGTACCACACAGTCACACACCAACCATACACCTATATACACTCACACACCCATATACCACACACACACAGCTCATACACCACACACTCACACTCACAAACTATATACCACACACTCACATACCCATATACCACATACACACAACCCATACATCAGACACTCACACACAACCCATACACCTATACACACTCACACAACCCATACACCTATACACACTCACACCCATATACCACATACAACCCATACACCACACACACACAACCCATACACCTATACGCACACACCCACACACCACACACACAGCCCATACAGTACACACTCACACCACAAACTATGTAGCACACACTCACACATAACCCATACACATATACACACACATATATAACACACACACACACAGCGCGCGCACATATACACTCACACACCTATTTCCCACATACAACACATACCACACACACAACCCATACATATATACACACACACACATACACCACACACAGCGCATACACTATATACACACCACACTATATATACCACACTCACATATATAACACATACACATATACACACACACCCATGTCCCACACACACACCCCGTGTACATACATACACACCCATACACAAAACACTCACAACCCCTACCCCTATATATACACACACACACCCCCCATACACACACAGAGCATACACTTACACACACTCATAGAGCACACACACACAACCCATATACCACACTCTCACACAGCCCATATACCTATACACACTCACACGCCCATACACCACACATTCACACAACTACACCACATACACCCACAAACTATATGCTACACACTCACACACAGACCATACACCTATATACACTCTCACAGCCATATACCACACACAACCCATATACCACACTCTCACAAACTTTATGCCACACACTCACACAAACTATATACCACACTCACACACAACCCATACACCTATACACAATCACACAACCCATACACCACACACAACCCATACACCACAGACACATTCACAATCTATATACCACACAAACCCATACATTTATACACACTCACACACCCATATACCACACACTCACACACAGCCCATATACCACACGCTCACACACAAATGATACACCTATACACACACCCATATGCCACACACACAACCCATACACCACACACACAAACTCATACACCACACACACAACCCATAGACCACAAACACACACAAGCCATAACCACACACACACACAGCCCATATGCCTATACACATTCACACACACAACCCATACACTGCACACACAACACATACACCTATACACACTCACACTCACAATTCATACACCACACACTCACACACAACCCATACATCTATACATAAACTCACACACAATCCATATACCACAAACACACACAACCAAACACCTATACACACACACACAACTCATACAGCACACACACAACCCACAGACCATAAACACACACAAGCCATAACCACACACACAACCCATACACCTATACACACACTCATAAACAAGCCGTACACCCCCCCCCACACAACCCATACACCACACACTCACACACAACCCATACACTTATATACACATACAACCCATATACCACAAACTCACACTCAACCCGTACACCTATATACACACACAACTTATACACCACACACTCATACACAACCCACAGACCACATACACAAACCATACCCACACACTCACAACCCATACACCTGTATACACACTCATAAACAAGCCACACACCTACACACACTCATACACAACCCATACACCACACATTCACACACAACCCATACGCCTGTACACACACTCACACACATAACCCATATACCACAAACTCACACACAACCTATACACCTATACACACATACAACCCATACACCACACACTCACACACACATATACCACACCACACACACAACACATACACGAAACACTCATACACACACGCATACACCACCCACACATACAACCCATACACCACACACACAACCCATACACCTATACACACACACAAACTCATGTACCACAAAAACACACAACACATATACCTATACACACATACAACCCATACACCACACATTCATACACAACCCATACACCACACACACAACCCATAGACCTATACACACACAACACATGCAACTATCACACACTCACAACACATACACCTCCTATACACACACACAACACGCACACTTCCTATACACACAACCCACACGCCTATACACACTCACACCCTCACTCACACTCACCCTCACATTCATATACTCACTAACACACTTCCACACTCACACCCTCACCCACACTTACACCCCCACCCACACTCAAACCCCGACGCTAAGTCACTGTCACATTTGTACCCATGCTCACACGCTCCCACCCTCACACGCTCACCCCCCACCAGCTCCAGGGCTCACTGGTGTGTGCCCACGAAACCCTGCCTCGGGGGTCCCCTCGGTAAGCTGACAGCGCTCTGCTCATCGGTGGCCTGGGGAAACAGGGCCCACCCAAAGCCTGGCTCAGGAAAGGCTCCAAACACACATGCACATGGCCCAGAAACAGATGGGCAGAGCTCAGCCTGCAGCTGGGAGCGGCGGAGCGGGTGCTGGGCCAGAGTCGGGGCCTGTCTGTGGGTGGGGGGCACGGCAGCACGGGCCCACCTGCACACCCCAGGCCTGGCCCCCGAGGTCACTGGGCCACCACCCAGCCCTCGCCCTGTTCCCCGTCTGTGCTGGCCGGGGCAGGACTCTGAGCCTCGGGGAAACCCACAGATACACACGGGACCCCGAACATCGGGCTGGGGAGGTTGGGGTGGGTAACAGCATGCCAGAGGCAGGAGCAGGAGGTCCAGGACCCTGCGCACTGCGACCCCAGCCCTGGGGGCTGAAGCCCAGGACAGCCTCAGGTCTCCCAGGAGGGACTGGACAGTGGGGGATGGTCAGAGAACAGGACAGCCAGCAGGGTGCAGCCTGAGGACAGGGATGGACGCTGGGAGGTCAACAGGACAGGGGCAGGGGCTGTGGAGTGTGAGAAGGTCCTGGAGGGCCTGGAGAACCTGTGGGTCAGTGTCTGTGGGAAGGAGGCCAGGAGCAGCCCTGAGTGGCCAGGCTGGCAGGGGTGAGGAGGTGGGGGCAGTGAGGTTAGGGTGACCGAGACAGTGAGGCCTCTGGCCAGGGAGGGGACCTTGGCTGGGCTCTGACTGAACCCAGGGCTCCTGGAGAAGGGGCCCCAGGCGGGGATGAGGATGTGGGCATCTGACTCCATCAACAATGGGGCTTCCGACACGCACAGCCTGGGCCTCGGAGACCTGGGCCCTGACCCGCCTCCCCCTGGCACTGGGCCGGGTGCCGTGTGTGGTCCCCAGTCCCCGCAGCACCTCCCCCACACTGGTCACGTTCCAGGGCCCCTCTGAAGCACCTGCTGTGAGGGGATGTGGGGAGGGGACAGGGACTTGGGCCTGAGCTGCCGGGTCGGGGGGGAGTCGGGGACCCAGGCTCAGCGTGTGGCTGGGGACCAGACAGATGGGGATGGAGGAGGACACGCCCTGTACCCACTGCCTGCCAAGGGGCTGGACCCACGCCCAGTCTAGGCCATGTCCCCCGAGGCCTGTGAACCTTCACCCTGAGCCACTAAAACATTCAGGAGCTTTGAAAGCAGCCCCCGTCCTTGTCACTATGCGATGACTCTGAGCATCACGCTGTCCCTGCTGGATCCACCCTCCAGCCCCAGCGAGGGAGGCTGGGCCCCGGGCAGCAGGTGGTGAGGGCAGCGGGCACAGCCACGCTACAGCACACACAGGGTCTCAGGGACGCGTCCACCACAGCCCGTGCACAGGCTCCTCACGGCACTGAGTTCACCCGGGGCGCGGGCCGTTTGTCCTCAGGAGTCCGGCTGTGCCCTCCGCCCCCAGCCCTGTCCTGCTGAGGCTGCAGCTGGGTCCCGGGGCACAGGGCGGCCCTGAGCACCTTGTCATGTTGGTCCCTGTCGGGTGGGCTGCTGGCTGTCTGTGGAGCTGGCAGAGCCGCGGTTCAGCCTTGGAGGCCGGTCCTGGGGCCCAGCAGCCGTGGGGAGCACTGCCCAGTCCCGTGCCCACAGGGAATCACCTGGGCTGAGGAAGGGCCCACACGCCGACGGGATCGGGGTCAGGCAGCGCACGCCTGGCACCGAGATCCCACGTCCCGAAGTGGGGACACGGCCCAGGGGCACTGTTCCGGGAGGGTCTCAAGATGGGGTCTCCTATTTCAATCTTCACTCCTTCTGCACCTGTTAGCTGGGAACCTTCTAGAAGGAGGGGTGTCCTCAATCATGGGGTGGTTGTGAGCTGAGCACAGATCATGCAGGAAGGTACATGGCTTCTCCTTCACCAGGAAAACAGTGCAGAGAGACAGAGACACAGAGACAGAGACAGAGTAACAGAGAAAGACAGACGAGAGAGAGACACAGAGACACAGACAGAGTAACAGAGAAAGAGAGACAGAGAGACACAGAGACAGAGACAGAGTAACAGATAGAGTCACAGAGAGACAGAGAGAGAGACAGAGTAACGGAGAAAGACAGAGACAGAGAGAGACACAGAGACAGAGACAGAGTAACAGAGAAAGACAGAGAGACAGAGACACAGAGACAGAGACAGAGTAACAGAGAAAGACAGAGAGACAGAGAGAGACAGAGACAGAGTAACAGAGAAAGAGAGACAGAGAGAGACACAGAGACAGAGACAGAGTAACAGAGAAAGACAGAGAGACAGAGACACAGAGACAGAGACAGAGTAACAGAGAAAGACAGAGAGACAGAGAGAGACAGAGACAGAGTAACAGAGAAAGAGAGACAGAGAGAGACACAGAGACAGAGACAGAGTAACAGAGAAAGACAGAGAGACAGAGAGAGACACAGAGACAGAGACAGAGTAACAGAGAAAGACAGACAGAGAGACACAGAGACAGAGACAGAGTAACAGAGAGAGACAGAGAGAGACAGAGACAGAGTAACAGAGAAAGACAGAGAGGCAGAGAGAGACACACAGAGACAGAGACAGAGTAACAGAGAAAGACAGAGAGACAGAGACAGAGAGAGAAAGAGAGACAGAGAAATAGAGACACAGAGATACAGACAGAGACAAAGACACAGAGACAGAGACAGAGAAACAGAGAGACAGAGACAGAGAGAAACAGAGACACAGAAAGAGACATGCAGACACAAATAGAGACAGAGATGAGGAGTTACAGAGAGACAGAGACACAGAGACAGAAACAGAGTAACAGAGAAAGAGAGAGACAGAGACAGAGAGAGACAGAGAAATAGAAACACAGAGATACAGACAGAGACAGAGAGAAAGACACAGAGACAGAGAAACAAAGAGACAGAAACAGAGAGAGAAACAGAGACACAGAAAGAGACATGCAGACACAAATAGAGACAGAGATGAGTTACAGAGAGACAGATAGATAGAGACAGAGATGGAGAGACAGAGACAGAGAGAAAGAAACACAGATCCAGAAAGAGACATTGACAGAGACAGAGAGAGAAAAATAGGCAGAGAGAGAGAGAGAGAAAAACAGAGACACAGAGACAGACACACAGACACAGAGACAGAAAAAGACAGAGATAAAGTTACAGAGAGACAGAGATACACAGAGACAGAGAGACAGATAAAGAGAGACAGAGATATAGGCAGAGACAGACAGAGAAAAACAGAGATAGAAACAGAGAGACAGAGATAAAGTTACAGAGAGACAGAGACCAAGACAGAGATAAAGAAAGACAGAGACAGAGTGAGAGAAACAGAGGCAGTAAGAGATAAAGAGAGTTACAGAGACAGAGATACAGAGAGATACAGAGAGACAGAAAGAGAGATAGAGACAGAGATAGAGATGAGAGAGACAGAGATAGAGACAGAGCAATAGAGATAAGAGAAAGACAGATACAGAGAGTGAGAGACAGAGAGAGATAGAGACAGAGATAAGAAGAGAGACTGAGATAGAGACAGAGAGACAGAGAAAGAGAGTTAGAAAGGCAGAGAAAGACAGAGACAAAGAGAGACAGAGAGGGCTGAAGAGAAACAGAGACAGACAGCAACAGAAAGACAGAGATATATAGAGGGGAAGAGACAGAGACAGAGAGACAGAGAAAGACAAAAAGAGACAGAGAAAGAAACAGAGAGAGAGAAAGAGAGGTATAAGGAGAGACAGAGAGAGGGAGAGCTACAGAGAGGAAGAGACACAGACAGAGAGACATAGAGAAACACACACAAAATGACACAGAGGCAGAGACAGAGATGAAGAGACAGAGAGAGAGAGACAGAGGCAGAGAGACAGAGAGACACACACAGGAAGAGACAGATGAGAGAGACAGATATAGACAGAGATACAGAAAGAGACCGAGAGAGACATACACAGGGACACGAACAGACAGACAGAGATACAGAGGCAGAGAGACAGAGATATAGACAGAGGCATGGAAAGACAGAGAAGAGAGAGACACACACACAGGGACACAAAGAGGCTGAGATATAGACAGAGATACAGAAAGACAGAGATAGAAGCAGAGAGACAGAGAGAGACACACAGGGACACGAAGAGACAGACAGAGAGACAGAGGCAAAGAAAGGGACACAGCAAAGGGACAGGCACAGAGGGAGGGATAGACGGGAAGAGAGACGGAGGGATAGAGACAGACACGGGGGAGAGATGGATGGAGAAAGGAGGCACCGACGGAGACACACAGAAAGAGAGAGAGGCCAAGACAGGCAAGATGGCGGGACAAAGCCCAGCAGACGGGCTTGACAGAGATGAGTCAGAGACACCGACAATGGGACAGAGACAGAGATTCGGGCAGGGAGATACCTTCAGAGAGGCAGAGAGACAGGGAGACAGAAGGGTAGCCAGAGACAGGGACAGCGGGAAAGATGGAGCTGGAGGCTCAGATGGAGACGGGTGTGACAGAGCTGGGAGCAGGGAGGCCACAGCCCACGCAGTCCGGGTGCTGCACCCACCACGGCCCCCAGGCCCGGAGACCCAGCCCCCATCACCATGTAACCTCAGGCCATGTCCCTGGCCCTGCTGAGCCTCAGTGTTCTCTCTGTACAGTGGGGACCACCAGGCCATGAGGGTGGGGGAGGTGCGGGCCTGCACCAGACCGGCCCTGTACCAATCGGGCTGCCTGTGCCCAGGCCACCAGGGCCACCTCCGCTCAGCCTCCTTGGGGCTTCTGGGGTGGGGGTTGGCTGGGGGCCCTGCCAGCGTTGGCTCCCCTGCCCTTCCTGCCAACCTGGGGGCTGCCCCTGGGTCCTGGTCCCAAAGATGGCAACAAGTTCAGAACCACTGAATTCAATAAAGTTGACGTTTGCAGGGTGGTCCCAGTGTCAGTAACCCAAGTGGGCCTGTCCTGGGGGAGGGGGCGGGTGTCCCCGAATCTGGAGGCCTGAGCCAGCCTGGCCACGCTGGGGGAGGGGGCGGGGGGTGTCCCCGAATCTGGAGGCCTGGGCCAGCCTGGCCACACTGGGTGGGTGGCGGCTGCAGCTGCAGGTGGAGAATCGTGCAAGCTATTTCTGGAAACAGCCTCAGAGGGCAAGAAACATGTTTTCGGTGTGGAACAAACAACCATTTGCATGTGCCCTGAGGGCCAAGTCTGCCCAGAATGAGTCACTCAAGGAGAAACAGATCAGAGCCCTCACACCTGCCTGGGGGAGGGGTGGGCGCCGCTCCAGGGACCTGCTGTTGGGCCCAGAGATGCCGAAAACTCAGCCCACCCGGCCGCCATGGCAGGACCCACTTTCCTCACCAGCTTGCCCCTAGGTGGGACCCACAGGACCCCTGGGAAGCCCTCAGCAGCCCTTGGGCAGGTCCCACCCTGCAGAGAACGCGAAGGCTCAAAGGCCCACTCGGGCTGAGACCGCAGGGAGCCCTGGGCCGCTTGGATGCAGAGCCCTGAGGCCCGAGGCTAGGCTGTGGGAGGGAGCAGCAGTGAGACCCCCACTGGCCCTCAGGGCTCACAGGTGCCCCGGTGAGGGTGCAGGGAGCGGGGGTGCCTGCCAAGCAGGAAGGCGGAGGGCCCAGGCTGCCGTGGCACCATCGGGGCACACTATGTGTCACTGGCCCAAGGAGACTCGCCCATGAGGAGCTGCTGCTGGTGGACGCAGGGGTGCCCTCCAGCCTCCTTGGGGGGCTAGGAAGGGAGGGCAGGGCCAGGCAGACCCTAGGGTGAGGTAGGAGGACTGGCAAAAGGCCAGTATGGCCAAGGGAGAGCCACATGGGGGCTGGGAGGGCGCAAGGTTCGGGCCCGGCCAAAGCGTGGGTGCCAGGTATGGTGCCCACCAGGACCGCGCGGCGTGTACTCCAGAAAGACCCTGGGGCGCAGGACGGGCTTGCCATGCTGAGGTCTGGAAAGTAAAGAGAGGCACTTCACGGCAGCACGCCAGCCTGCATGATCTGTGCTCACACTCACCCACTACGAGCAATGCCCTCCTTCTAGAAGTTTCCTCACTAACACGTGCACAAGGAATGAAGGGAATGGGGTCTCCCGTCTCACAGCCCTCCATGTAATGGTGCCCTCAACCGACCGACTGCTCCCGACCGGCCGCAGCCCTCGGCCCCGCGGCCCACCTCTGCCTGACCCCGGCCCTGCTCTCCTCCTGGCAGCTCAGGGATTCGCCACTGCCTGGGCTCAGCCGGAGCAAAGCCCGTGTCCCCCGGCACCCCACACAGCCGAGTCACCCCTCCCTCACGGCCCCCACCTCCTCGCCCCTGCCGGCCCAGCCACGCTGAGCTGCTCCTGGGCCCCCTTCCCAGAGACATCGGAGCCCTGCAGGTTCTCCAGGCCCTCTGCCCACTCCACTACCCCTGCCCGCTCCCAGCTGCAGGCTGAGCTCTGCCCCTTTGCTCCTGGGCCATGTGTGTTTGAGGCCTTCCCTGAGCCAGGCCTTGGGTGGGCCCTGTTTCCCCCAGGCCAGCCATGAACAGAGCGGAGGGCATGTGCCCAGCTCATAGAGGGGACCCCCAAGGCGGGGTGTGGTGGGCACACACCGGTGAGCCAGGGGCTGGTGGCCCAGAGGCTTAGACAGGCCGTAGGCCCCATCGGAAGTGACAGGGCCTGAGGGAAGCTCAGTGTGTGTGTGAGAGTGTGTGTGAGTGTGTGAGTGTGTTTGTGAGTGTGTGTGTGACTGTGTGTGTGTGACTGTGTGTGAGTGTAAGTGACTGTGAGTGTGAGAGTGTGTGTGAGTGTGAGGTGAGTGTGTGAGTGTGTGAGCAGGTGAGCGTGGGTATGAATGTGACAGTGACTATCTATCTCTGTCTCTCTCTGTTTCTGTGTATCTTTCTTATCTCTGTGCCTGCCTCTGTCTCTATCTCTCTCTCTGTCTCTCTATCTCTGTTACTCTGTCTCTGTCTCTTTCTGTCTCTCTGTTACTCTGTCTCTGTCTCTGTCTCTCTGTCTTTCTCTGTTACTCTGTCTCTGTGTCTCTCTCTGTCTCTCTATCTCTGTTACTCTGTCTCTGTCTCTGTGTCTCTCTGTCTATCTCTGTTACTCTGTCTCTGTCTCTGTGTCTCTCTCTGTCTCTCTTTCTCTGTTACTCTGTCTCTGTCTCTGTGTCTCTGTCTCTCTGCACTGTTTTCCTGGTGAAGGAGAAGCCATGTACCTTCCTGCATGATCTGTGCTCAGCTCACAACCACCCCATGATTGAGGACACCCCTCCTTCTAGAAGGTTCCCAGCTAACAGGTGCAGAAGGAGTGAAGATTGAAATAGGAGACCCCATCTTGAGACCCTCCCGGAACAGTGCCCCTGGGCCGTGTCCCCACTTCGGGACGTGGGATCTCGGTGCCAGGCGTGCGCTGCCTGACCCCGATCCCGTCGGCGTGTGGGCCCTTCCTCAGCCCAGGTGATTCCCTGTGGGCACGGGACTGGGCAGTGCTCCCCACGGCTGCTGGGCCCCAGGACCGGCCTCCAAGGCTGAACCGCGGCTCTGCCAGCTCCACAGACAGCCAGCAGCCCACCCGACAGGGACCAAGATGACAAAGTGCTCAGGGCCGCCCTGTGCCCCGGGACCCAGCTGCAGCCTCAGCAGGACAGGGCTGGGGGCGGAGGGTACAGCGGGACTCCTGAGGACAAACGGCCCGCGCCCCGGGTGAACTCAGTGCCGTGAGGAGCCTGTGCACGGGCTGTGGTGGACGCGTCCCTGAGACCCTGTGTGTGCTGTAGGGTGGCTGTGCCCGCTGCCCTCACCACCTGCTGCCCGGGGCCCAGCCTCCCTCGCTGGGGCTGGAGGGTGGATCCAGCAGGGACAGCGTGATGCTCAGAGTCATCGCATAGTGACAAGGACGGGGGCTGCTTTCAAAGCTCCTGAATGTTTTAGTGGCTCAGAGTGAAGGTTCACAGGCCTCGGGGGACATGGCCTAGACTGGGCGTGGGTCCAGCCCCTTGGCAGGCAGTGGGTACAGGGCGTGTCCTCCTCCATCCCCATCTGTCTGGTCCCCAGCCACACGCTGAGCCTGGGTCCCCGACTCCCCCCCGACCCGGCAGCTCAGGCCCAAGTCCCTGTCCCCTCCCCACATCCCCTCACAGCAGGTGCTTCAGAGGGGCCCTGGAACGTGACCAGTGTGGGGGAGGTGCTGCGGGGACTGGGGACCACACACGGCACCCGGCCCAGTGCCAGGGGGAGGCGGGTCAGGGCCCAGGTCTCCGAGGCCCAGGCTGTGCGTGTTGGAAGCCCCATTGTTGATGGAGTCAGATGCCCACATCCTCATCCCCGCCTGGGGCCCCTTCTCCAGGAGCCCTGGGTTCAGTCAGAGCCCAGCCAAGGTCCCCTCCCTGGCCAGAGGCCTCACTGGCTCGGTCACCCTCACCTCACTGCCCCCACCTCCTCACCCCTGCCAGCCTGGCCACTCTGGGCTGCTCCTGGCCTCCTTCCCACAAACACGGACCCACAGGTTCTCTAGGCCCTCCAGGACCTTCGCCCACTCCACGGCCCCTGCCCCTGTCCTGTTGACCTCCCAGCGTCCATCCCTGTCCTCGGGCTGCACCCTGCTGGCTCTCCTGTTCTCTGACCATCCCCCACTGTCCAGTCCCTCCTGGGAGACCTGAGGCTGTCCTGGGCTTCAGCCCCCAGGGCTGGGGTCGCAGTGCGCAGGGTCCTGGGACCTCCTGCTCCCGCCTCTCCCATGTTGTTACCCACCCCAGCCCGATGTTCCGGGTCCTGTGTGGATCTGCAGGTTTCCTGGAGGCTCAGAGTCCTGCCCCGGCCAGCACAGACGGGGAACAGGGCGAGGGCTGGGTGGTGGCCCAGTGACCTCGGGGGCCAGGCCTTGTAGGTGCAGGTGGGCCCGTGCTGCCGTGCCCCCCACCCACAGACAGGCCCCGACTCTGGCCCAGCGCCCGCTCGGCCGCTCCCAGCTGCAGGCTGAGGTCTCCCCATTTGCTCCTGGGCCATGTGTGTTTGGGTGTGAGTGTGGGTATGGATGTGACAGTGACTTAGTGTGTGGCTGTGAGCGTGGGTATGTTTCTGTGTGTTTGTGTGTGAATGTTGTATAATAGTCGTGGTGTGTGTTTGTGAGAGTGACTGTGTGAGAGGGGCTTGCAGCTGAGTTCCTGGGCCCATCTTGCTGCCTCTTTCTCTCCCTGTGTGTTCTCTGCCTCTGTTGTGTTCTCTCTGCATGTCTGTCTCCATGTCTCTTTTTCCCTGTTCCCATCTCCTCTCTTTTTCTCCCATCTCTGTCTCCGTTTCTTCTTATCTCTCTCATCTCATCTCTCTCTCTTTCTGTCTCTTGTAACTCTGTCTCTGTCACTGGCCTCGCCTCTGTCCCTCCCTGTCCCTGTCTCTTATCTCTCTCCATCCCCATCTCTCTCTCTGTGTCTGTCTTTGTCTCTCCTTTCCTGTCTCTCTTGTCTCTCCCCATCCCTGTCTCTCTCTCTCTCTATGTCTCTGTGTCTCTTGTCTCTCCCCTCAGATAGACCATGGTTGACCCTGGCTGACCTCTGCCTAACCCTGGACCTGGAAAGCCCTAGCTGACCCTGGGCTGGTTGGGGCTGGGCCTACCTGTGGCTGCAGCCCCTCGCTCAGGCCCCAGGCACACCTGGCCAGGTCTCGGTTTTGGGGCATGTTTCTCAGAACAGCAGTTCTCTGGCTGGAACACCTGACCTGGGCTGTGTTCACAATGACTCAGCCACCCCACAGGGCTATTTTGGGTATTTCTGCAGGTCTATTCAAGAGGCTTCAGGAGAGAGAGAAAAGCAAGAGAATACAAACGGCATGGCCTCCCCTCACCTTCCTGTCCCCACTCCTGTACTGTACCCCCTCCCCAGTGCTAAGTCGAGACCTGGCGACCCCTTAGGGGCTGGGGCTGGGTGTAGCTCACAGGGCCTGGGCTGGTCTTCTCGCCACCAAGTCCTCCTGGGGCCTACACACCCCTCTGAGCCTGGAAAAATGGAGCAAGTCATTGGGGTCATTTCTTCATCTACCAGTGAGTACATGCACTGAGAGGGTCTCGGCTCCCCTGGAGGCCTCCCTCCACCACTGCAGGTCACTTACTCATGAGGGCCAAGGCTCAGAAATCAGACAGGACTCAGTGTCTAGTCAGACTGATACATGCTCAGAAAAGGAATCAGATTTCAAAATGAATATGCATAATTAAAGAACCAGAGATCAGTGATCAGGAACAGGGATCCGCGGTCTGGTCCAGGGCTCAGTGGTCAGGAACAGGGCCCAGTGATCAGGATCAGGGCTCAGTAATCAGGACCAGGGCCCAGTGATCAAGACCAGGGCCCAGTGATCTGGTCCAGGGCTCAGTGATTTGGTCCAGGGCTCAGTGATCAGGAACAGGGGTCATTGACTGGGTCCAGGGCTCAGTAATCAGGACCAGGGCTCAGTGATCAGGAATAGGGGTTAGTGATCAGGAACAGGGCTCAGTGATCAGGTCCAGGGCTCAGCAATCGGGAACAAGGGTCAGTGATCAGGTCCAGGGGCCAGTGATCAGGACCAGGGGCCAGTGATCTGGTCCAGGGCTCAGTGATTAGGAACAGAGGTCAGTGGTCAGGATCAGAGCTCAGTTACCAGAAATAGGGCCCAACGATCAGGATCAGGGCTCAGTGATAAATACTAGGGTTCAGTGATCAAAAGGAGGTCTGAGTGATTAGAATCAGGGCCCAGTGATCAGGACCAGGACTGGATGATCAGCACCAGGACTCAGAAGTCAAGAGCAGAGCCCATTGATCAGGACCAGGAGTCAGGGACCAGAACCAGGGGCCATTGGTCAGAACCAGAGCCCAGTGATTAGGAACAAGACCCAGTGATGAGGGCCAGGGCTCAGTGATCAGGACCAAGATTCAGGGATAAGAACAGGACCCAGTGATCAGGACCAGGACCCAGTGATCAGGACCAGGGCTCAGTGATTGACTATTGACTAGGACCAGAGCTCAGTTATTGACTGTTGACTGGGACAAGGGCTCAGTGGTCAGGACCAGAGCATAGTTAGCAGGACCAGGGCCCAGTGATCAGGGCCAGGGCTCATTGATCCAGAACATGGCCCAGTGATCAGGATCAAGACTCAGCGATCCAGACCAGGACTGAGTTAGGACCAGAGCCTAGTGATCCAGATCAGGGCTCAGTGATCACGACCAGGGCCCACTGATGAGGACTGGAATTGAGTGATCAAGTCTAGGACTCAGGGATCAGGACCAAGACTCAGTAATCAGGACCAGAGTTCAGGGGTAAGGACCAGAACACAGCATGACCAGGGCCCAGTGATCAGGAGCAAAGCCCTTTGATCAGGGCCAGGGTTCATTGATCAGGAGCAGGGTTCAGTGATTAGGATCAGGGCCCAGTGCCCAGTGCCCAGTGACTAGCATCAGGATCTAATAATCAGGACCAGAGCTGAGTGATCAGGACCAGGGCTGAGTGATCTGGACCAGGACTGAGTGATCAGGACCAGGGCTGGGTGATCAGGACCAGGGCTGAGTGATGAGGACTAGGATGGAGTGATCAGGACCAGGGCTGTGTGATCTGGACCAGGACTGAGTGATCAGGACCAGGGCTGGGTGATCAGGACCAGGGCTGAGTGATGAGGACCAGGGCTGAGTGATGAGGTCCAGGGCTGAGTGATGAGGACCAGGGCTGAGTGACCAGGACCAGGGCTGAGTGACGAGGTCCAGGGCTAAGTGAGGAGGTCCAGGGCTGAGTGATGAGGTCCAGGGCTGAGTGAGGAGGTCCAGGGCTGAGTGATGAGGTCCAGGGCTGAGTGATGAGGACCAGGGCTGAGTGACGAGGTCCAGGGCTGAGTGACGAGGTCCAGGGCTGAGTGACGAGGTCCAGGGCTGAGTGACCAGGACCAGGGCTGAGTGATGAGGTCCAGGGCTGAGTGAGGAGGTCCAGGGCTGAGTGATGAGGACCAGGGCTGAGTGATGAGGTCCAGGGCTGAGTGATGAGGACCAGGGCTGAGTGAGGAGGTCCAGGGCTGAGTGAGGAGGTCCAGGGCTGAGTGAGGAGGTCCAGGGCTCAGTGACGAGGACCAGGGCTGAGTGACCAGGACCGGGGCTGAGTGATGAGGACCAGGGCTGAGTGATGAGGTCCAGGGCCAAAAACAGGAGTAGGACTCAGTGATCAGGACTAAGGCTCAGTGATCAAGGCTAGAATTAAGTGATCAGGAACAGGGACCAAGTAGTAGGACCAGAGCTCAGTGATCGGTAAACGGGCCCACTGGTCAGGACCAGGGCCCTGTGATCAGGATGAGGACCCAGTGAGGAGGACCAGGGCTGTCTAGGTTATGAGGAACAGGGATCCCATGTAGTTCTTAGGAGCAGGCTTCTTTGCCATGGTCTCTGGTGAATCCAGCATTCATCCTTGGGCCTCAGCCTCATTCAAGATCAGGTCATTTCTTGATTTTGGGACCAGGGGTACCCTCTGTCCATGCCCACCATGACCACCATGACACCCAGGGGGACTTTGAAGCAGGCGTTCTCCAGTCTAAAGCCACCACCCTTTCCCTGACCCCCGTCTCCTCATTCAGAGTCTGTGAACATTTTCCTTGGGGCCACTTTATTGCACCTGGAAGGCATGTGAGTAAGGGCGGGTCGGTGATGTCTGAAAGGGCTGAGTTCTGGCAAGCATAGCTGGCTTCTCCAAGAGGTTCCTCCACACTTCCTCCCTGCAAAGACAGAGGGGTCACAGCCTGAAGGAGCAGCATCCTTGCCAACGCCCTCTGTCTCAGCCCTGGCCTGGCTCATGGGAGCCTGGACGGAATCCTCGTTACTGCACTGGAGGGAAGCTCAGCCCTGACCCTGGGCCTGCGCGTGTCCTCAGTGTCTGTGAAGGGCCCCCCAGGAGAGCACGTCCCCCCACAGTGGGAGCAGGTGGTGCTCTCCTCTTAGCCAAGCACTGCAGCCCACCTCATCTACTGTGGGCTCATCCCCCTCCTGGGCTCCCACCTGTGCCTTGCCGGCTCCTGCTCAGTACTGGGGGCCCTCCCTGTTGCCAGATGGGCCCCGGACGCTGGTCACGGTCAGTGCTGTGCTATAGAACAGGCTCAGCAGGAAGAGGGTGAGGAAGGTGATGGTGGTGGGCCACAGGTTGGCGCCGGGGGTCTCCTCCTCCAGGGTCTCCTGCGGCAAGTCCAGCACCACATAGGGAGGCGGCATCTGCCAATCTGCAACACAGCAAGAGCCTGCCAGGCCCAGACTCGTGTGAACAGCGGCTATGCTTCCTTGGGGTCTGGGGACAGTGGGGTCTGGGTCCCCATCTAAGGCCTGAGACTCCCCCAGGGAGGATGAGGAGGCAGAGTCCCAGGTGAGGGGCTGGGACCTTCTGTCTTTGACATTCTTAGGGCACTTCAGGGAGAGACTTGGCAGGGCAGAAAGTGGACACCATCTGCTTCTCCAAGGGAAGCTTGAGCCCGAGGTACCCTCCCGCCCCTCCCACCCCACCCCGTCTCAGTCCCAGCCACGTATTCAGTGACTGGGTCCCGGGGCCAGAGAGGACCAGACACACCCACCCTCAAGGAGATCTGGGTCCAAGACAGAGACCTGGGTCTGACACTCAGTGTGCCAAAGGTTGAATGGGCAAGACCAGAGGCCTCTGTTGCCTTCCCAGGGAATGTGGCTGAGGGGTTACAAGCGAGGGCCAGGTGAGGGCCACCAGCACGGGCATCCTCATTTTCCTCAGGGTCTCAGGGCATAGACCTCCCATGTACAGCTGTACCTGCTTGTCATATGCTGATACATCCAGTCATTCACCTGTCTTTCTATCCTTCCATCCATCTATCCATCCATCCATCTATAAAGCTATTATCCGTATATCCACCCCTCCATCAGTAACACTCCTACCCACTCACCCAACCATTCATCCTCCATTCATCTATTAATGTAAGGCTATCACTTAAATATCCACCCATATATCTATAAAGCTATTTTCCATCCATTCATCCTTCTTCCATCTATCCATCCATCCATTCACCCATCCATCTATAAAGCTATTTTCCATCTCTTCATTCATCCATTCATAAAGCAATTCTCCATCCAATTATCTTCCATACACCTATCCTCCATAGATCTACCCACCCACCCACCCCAGTATCCTCAATCCTCCGTCAGTCCACCCATCCTCCATTCACCCCTCCATCTATCTTCCATCCTCCATCCACCCTTCCATCCTCCATCCGCCTACCCATCCATCCATCATCCATCCATCCATCCATCCATCATCCATCAGTCCATCCACCCATCCATCCATCCATCTTCCATCCTTCATTCATCCACTCATCCATCCTCCATCCACCCGTCCTTCATCCATCCATCATATATCCATCTGTCCATCCTCCATCCAGCCATTTACCCACCCATCCATCCTCCGTCTACCAATCCTCCATCCACCCATCCATTCATTATATGTCCTAGGATCTACCCATGTGTCTGCCTGATCTCTGTCTGCTGGTTCAGCCCCTCATCTGTTGATTCTCCCTCTTTCCCCCTCTCTTTAAAAGCCCCTCCCCTGGGCCAGGTCCTGGGTCCCATGGGCTGGAGGGCTTCTCTGTGGCAGGGCTTCCCCGAGTGACCTGTTGCTCTCAATTACCCTCTGGTGACTGGACCCTCAGGGGTGACAGTGGCCTCCACCTCACCTTGGCCCTGAGAGCAGAGGGAGGCAGCCAGAAGGCGGGGGGCCCTGGGGAGGCCCGGAAGATGTCTAAGGCACGAGCAGGGGCCCCACTGCCCCCTTGTGGGAGTCTGGGTGCCAGGTGTCCCCACAGTGGTTGTGGGACTGTTCTTACACTCCTGGGAGCCCCAGGCAGAAGCCAGAGGCATGCAGAGGGCCCTGGGCAGGCCCTGTCTCACTGGCCTGCTTCTGATGCCACCCCACGTGGCCCCTCCCTGTCTATGCTTTGGGTCCTAGTTGGGCTTAGGAAGGGATGGGAGACTTGGCCAGGCAGGGAGCAGGGGCTGCCTGGGAGGGGTCTGTGGAGTTGGTGCCTGATCTGTGCACAGTGGAAACACAGGGAAGCCAGAGGGGCCTAGGGGAGCAGGCTGAGCTTGGGGGCTTGGGAGGGGACTCCCCTGGCTTTTCTGGAACTGGGTCTGGGCTGTGAACGTTCCGCTCCTGCAGGGCTCAGGCGTATATGTGAGTGTGAGTGTGCACCTGTGCCCACGTGCCCCGTACAGAGCAGTGTGGTTAAGGGGAGGTGCCCCTTCCTGCATGCGTCAGTGGGACGTCCTGAGGCCCACCCACTAGGGTGGTGGGGCCCTCCTGGAGCTTGTCCTCCCAGTGGGGCCCTGGAGTCCAGCCCCTCACTCCCTCGCCGCTCCTGCCACTACCTGCGCCTTTCTTGGCTAGCCTGCTCCTTTTACCCTCCCTATTCCCTCCCAGCTACAGCCAGAGGCGGCTCTCTCAGGGACAAACGGCCATGCCACTGCTCACTCAGAACTGTCCGGGGCATGTGCATCTCTCAGAACCCATCCTGGGCTGTGCCTGCCTTGGCAGACCTAAGATCTCACACCAGCGAGGCCTCCTGCACCACACACTCTCACACTCACAACTCACACTCACACCAGGGTGGAAAGGCTCAGGGGGGTGCCAGGGGCCCCCCGAGGCTGAGGGCAGGGGGTATTCTTCCCTGTCCATGCCCTGGCCCTTTCCCAAGTGCTGAGACCCTGAGGATGGACAGACAGGCGCCGGATGGAAGCGTGGGGCTGCTTGGGGGAGCATGGAGTTTATTCAGGGGTGGGGACAGGCGGGCGGCTCAGTAGCAGGTGCCGTCCACCTCCGCCATGACAACAGACACATTGACATGGGTGGGTTTACCCGCCAAGCGGTCGATGGTCTTCTGTGTGAAGGCCAGCGGCAGGGCCTCGTGGCCCACCATGCAGGAGAAGGTGTCCCCCTTCTTCCAGTCCTCGGCTGCCACGCGCAGTATGCTGGTCACAGCGAAGGTGGTGGTGCCCTGGCTGGGCTCCTGCCGGGATGCCCAAGTCAGGTACTTCTCGCGGGGCAGCTCCTGTGACCCCTGCAGCCAGCGAACCAGCACATCCTTGGGGCTGAAGCCGCGTGCCAGGCACGTCAGCGTCACCAGCTCGTTCAGGGCCAGCTCCTCCGACGGCGGCGGCAGCAGGTGGACCTCGGGCCGGAATGTGTTTCCTGGAGGGTAGAGAGCCAGGTCAGGGGGCTGGGCAGGGGATGAGAGAGCCCCTCTGCTCTGGTGGGCACCCTGGGCTGTGTCCTGGCCCCTCAGCCTGCCTCAGTTTCCCTCTGTACTTGGCATGAGCACTGGAGCCCAGGATTGGGAGGGAGGAGGCAGGCCAGGAATATGCTTTGCAAACCAGAGCACTGAGCAGGGCCCCGAGCAGGGTCTGGACCCACCGGATTTTGAGAGGGTGGCGGTTAGCGGGGTCTTGGACTCGGGGTAGGCAGCAGTGCAAGTGAAGGTCTTCCCATGGTTCCATGGCTCGGCACAGCCCGGCAGGACACTGGACACGCTGTAGCAGCCACAGAGGTCACGCTCAGGTGGTCCTTGAACAGCGCTCTTCCCACTTGAGGGCGTCCAGGTGAAGGTGACACCTGAGGCATCTCTCAGGCCGGTCAGTGTGCACGTGAGGTTCGCTTCTGAACCTAAGAGCAGGTCCTCGAGGGCCGGTCGGTGCAGTGACAGTCGGGGGTGGCAGCATGAGGGAGATGGGGTAGGTGGAGTTGAGGGAGATGGGGTAGGTGGAGTTGAGGGAACTGGAGTGGAGAGATGGCCTGAGCTGGTCAGCACATACTTCCCCATGCCCCCGCCTCGCCCCTCCTGGCCTGTCCACCACCACCTCCTGGGGCTCGGCCCGCGGTCCACTCTGGTGTGAGTGAAGGGGCGGCTCCCTGTGGGGAACACGGGTGCAGGCGCAGTGTCAGGGCACGACGGGGTGGCCCCGCCCCACTCCCCAGCCTGCCCTCTGACCTGGGCAGGGCACAGTCACATCCTGGCTGGGATTCGTGTAGTGCTTCACGTGGCATGTCACGGACTTGCCGGCTAGGCACTGTGTGGCCGGCAGGGTCAGCTGGCTGCTCGTGGTGTACAGGTCCCCGGAGGCATCCTGGCTGGGTGGGAAGTTTCTGGCGGTCACGCCCTGTCCGCTTTCGCTCCAGGTCACACTGAGTGGCTCCTGGGGGAAGAAGCCCTGGACCAGGCAGGCGATGACCACGTTCCCATCTGGCTGGGTGCTGCAGAGGCTCAGCGGGAAGACCTTGGGGCTGGTCGGGGATGCTGGAACACAGAATGCACTGTGAGGACGCGGCCCTCTCCTCTATACTGCCTCTCCTCTATACTGGAGGAACCCAGCACAGAGAGGCCTGGTGACAGCCCCATGGTCACACAGCTCCTGCACCACAGGCCTGCAGTTGGACCCTGCTGTCTGATCCCAGCAACATGGTTTCTGAACATGCTCCTTAGATAGGGTCTCTGATTCAGGCCATCCCAGACACAAGTTGTATTAAACAGGGCTCTGCCATGGAGTGGCTGAGTCCCCTGAGCTCCCTGACCGCAGCCCCTGCTCTGGGTGGGGGACATGTCTTGCTCTATCCCCTGCCCCTAGAGAGGATTTTGGTGGGGGCTCTTAGGAGAGGGTCTGGGCTCTGAGTGCTGTGTGCATGGGGTAGGGGTGGAGTGGCTTGGCTGTGACCCCATCCCCCTGTCCCTGGTCAGAGTCTCAGTCCAACACCCACCACTCCATGAGCCCCACCCCAGGCCCAAACAAGCCACAGTGGACCCCTGTGGCCTATGAGGTCTCGGGACTAGAGGCCAACAGGCTAAGCCATGTCCCTGCCAGGCCCTCCAGGACAGGGCCTGCTATACAGGGGAGCTCTGGGCCCAGCCCACTCCAAATTTCCTTCAGGCAGTGGGCAAGAGAGAAGACAGAATCATGGTGCAACAGAGCTGCGTGGCCCTCAGAACCCCTAAGAACACAGCTGGGCTCAGGGCTCTGCAGGTGGAATCACACTCAACCCACGGCCTCTTTCCCACATTAGCAGCCACCTCAGCCCATCCCGCCCAGCCCAGCCCAGGCCAGTCCAGCTCAGTCCAGCCCAGCCCAGCTCAGCCCAGGCCAGTCCAGCTCAGTCCCGCCCAGTCCAGCCCAAGTCATCCTAGCCCATCCCATCCCAGCCCAGGTCAGCCCAGCTTAGTCCAGCTCAGCCCAGGTCAACCCAGCCCAGGCCAGCTCAGTACAGCTCAGCCCAGCCCAGGCCAGCTTAGTACAGCTCAGCCCAGCCCAGCTCAGCCTGGCCCAGGCCAGCTCAGTACAGCTCAGCTCAGCTCAGCCCAGCCCAGCCCAGCCCAGCCCAGTCCAGCCCAGTCCAGCCCAGTTCAGCTCAGCCCAACCCAGCTCAGCTCCGCCCAGCCTAGCTTAGCCTAGCCCAGCTCAACACAGCTCAGTCCATGTCAACCAAACCCAGCTCAGCTCAGCCTAGCTCAGCCCAGCTCAGCCCACCCCAGCTCAGCCTAGCTCAGCCCACCCCAGCTCAGCCCAGCTCAGCCCAGTCTAGCTCAGTTCGGCCCAGCCCAGTCCAGCTCAGCTCAGCCCAGCCCAGCTCAGTCCACCTAAGCTCACCCAGCTCAGCTCAGTCTAGCTCAGCTCAGTCCAGCTCAGCCCAGCCTAGTCCAGCCCAGCCCAGCACAGGTCAGCCCAGCTTAGCTTAGCCCAGGTCAGTCCAGCTCAGCTCAGTCCACTTAAGCTCACCCAGGTCAGCTCCGTCCAGCTCAGCCCAGCCTAGCCCAGCTTAGCCCAGCCCAGCCCAACACAGGTCAGCCCAGCTCAGCCTAGCCCAGCCCAGCTCAGCACAGGTCAGACCAGCTCAGTACAGCTCAGGTCAGCCCAGACCAGTCCAACCCAGCCCAGCGCAGTCCAACCCAGCCCAGCTCAGCTCATCCAAGCCTAGCTCAGCTCAGCCCAGCCCAGGTCAGCCTAGCCCAGCCGAACCCAGCTCAGCCCAGGTCAACCCAATTCAGCTCAGCTCAGCCCAGGTCAACCCAACCAAGCTCAGCTCAGCCTAGCCCAGTCCAGCTCAGCCCAGCTCAGCTCAGCCCAGTCCAGCTCAATCCACCTAAGCTCACCCAGCTCAGCCCAGTCTGGCTCAGCTTAGGTCAGCCCAGCCCAGCCTAGCCCAGATCAGTCCAGCTTAGCCCAGCCCAGGTCAGCCCAGCCCAGGTCAGCCCAGCTCAGCTCAGCCCAGCCCAGCTCAGCCCAGCCCAGCCCAGCCCAGCTCAGCGCAGCCCAGCCTAGCTCACCCCAGCCAGGTCCAGCTTAGCCCAGCTCAGCCCAGCCCAACTCAGCTCAGCCCAGCTCAGCCCAACTCAGCTCAGCCCAGCTCAGCCCAACTCAGCCCAGCCCAGTTCAGCCCAACCCAGCCCAGCCCAGTCCAGCTTAGCCCAGCTCAGCCCAGCCCAGCCCAGCCCAGTCTAGCTCAGCCCAACCCAGCCCAGCCCAGCTCACCCCAGCCCAGCTCAGCTCAGCTCAGCTCAACCCAGGGCAGCCCAGCTCGTCCAAGCCCAGCCCAGCCCAGCCCAGCCTAGCCCAGCCCAGCTCAGGCCAGCCCAGCTCAGCTCAGCTCAGCTCAGCTCAACCCAGGCCAGCCCAGCTCGTCCCAGCCCAGCCCAGCCCAGCCCGTCCCAGCCCAGCCCAGCCCAGCCCAGCCCAGCCCATCCCATCCCGGCCCAGCCCGGCCCAGCCCAACCCGGCCCAGCCCAGCCCAGCCTAGCTCACCCCAGCCTGGTCTAGCTCAACCCAGCTCAGCTCAGCCCACCCTAGCTCAGCTCAGCCCAGCCCAGCTCATCCCAGCCCAGCCCAGCCCAGCTCGTCCCAGCCCAGCCCAGCCCAGCTTGTCCCAGCCCAGCCCAGCACAGCTCAGCCCAGCCCAGCCCAGCCCAGCACAGCTCAGCCCAGCCCAGCCCAGCCCAGCCCAGCCTGGCCTAGCTCACCCGAGCCTGGTCTAGCTCAGCCCAGCTCAGCTCAGCCCAGCTCAGACCCGCTCAGCCCGGCCCGGCCCGGCTCGGCCCGGCCCAGTCCGGCCCGGCCCGGCCCAATCCGGCCCGGCCCAGCTCAGCCCGGCCCAGTCCAGCTCAGCCCAGCTCAGCTCAGCCCAGTCTAGCTCAGCCCAACCCAGCCCAGCCCAGCCCAGCCCAGCCCAGCCCAGCCCAGCTCATCCCAGCCCAGCCCAGCTCAGCTCAGCTCAGCCCAGCCCAGCTCAGCCCAGCTCAGCCCAGCCCAGCCCAGCTCATCCCAGCCCAGTCCAGCTCATCCCAGCCCAGTCCAGCCCAGCTCAGCTCAGCCCAGCCCAGCTCAGCTCAGCCCAGCCCAGCTCAGCACAGCACAGCCCAGTCCAGCTTAGCCCAGCTCAGCCCAGCACAGCTCAGCCCAGTCCAGCTTAGCCCAGCTCAGCCCAGCCCAGCCCAGCCCAGCTCAGCCAAGTCTAGCTCAGCCCAGCCCAGTCCAGCTCAGCCCAGCCCAGTCCAGCTTAGCCCAGCCCAGCTCAGCCCAGCTCAGCCCAGCCCAGCCCAGCCCAGCCCAGCTCAGCCCAGCTCAGCTCAGCTCAGCTCAACCCAGCCCAGCCCAGCTCGTCCAAGCCCAGCCCAGCCCAGCTCAGCCCAGCCCAGTCCAGCTCAGCCCAGACTAGCTCAGCCCAGCCTAGCTCAGCCCAGCTCAGCCCAGCCCAGTCCAGCTCAGCCCAGCCCAGTCCAGCTCAGCCCAGCCCAGTCCAGCTCAGCCCAGACTAGCTCAGCCCAGCCCAGCTCAGCCCAGCCTAGCTCAGCCCAGCTCAGCCCAGACCAGTTCAGCTCAGCCCAGTTCAGCCTAGCCTTGCTCAGCCCAGCCCAGCCCAGGGCAGCTCAGGGCAGCCCACATGGACGTGTATCAGCTGGCTCCACGTCATCTTCTTTGCCCTCTGGCTCGGCTCAGCCTAGGCCTCAGCTCAGCCATGAAACCTGTTCACCTTGTATCCCAGGAAGGGCCGGGTCATCCCTGGTTAGGCCTGGCCAGCCTGGCTCAGCCCCCAGTGCCCAGATCCTTCCTGCCTGGTTAGGAAGCCCTGCCCTGTGGTTCCGGAGTCCCTGTGGTGACCTCTTTTGTCCTTCCCTCTTGTCTTGGTGCCTGTTCTCCACCTTTTGCTTCCAGAAGGGGCCAGGACCAGCCTGGCTGGACTCCTCAATGTGCAGAGGAGGAGACGGAGGCCTGGAGACCTCCAAGACCCACCTGGTCAGGCTGCTGGAGGGCCCGCAGTGCTGAGTGGGCGGCCTCCGGCGTGCAGGCCCTCATGGCAGGTCCACCCTCACGGGCGTCTGGCTGCCTGCCAAGAGGGCTGCTGTGGGGAGGGAGCCCTGGCCCGGCCCAGGCCCTGCCTTGATGGCCGTCTGTCCTTAGCAGAGCCCTGCTCTGCCTCGCTGGCTGTGTCCACAGATGTGGCTGGATGCTGAGGGGCTGGAGGGGAGGGCCTGCATGCCCGTACGTCTGGCCTACAGACAGGGTCACTCGCCCACTTCCTGCCCCAGCAGACACGGCCGCGCGGCTCCACGTCATGTCTGGCCTGTGGTCTGGCTGTGGTGGGGCCAGGTGTGTGTGGCCAGGGCTCTGTGACCCCACCGGCCGTGGAGCCTCATGGCTCCACATGGCTCCACAGGGCGGGGTGGGGGCCACGATGCAGGGAAACAGGAACAGACACAGTTAGAGGCTCAGAGACCCCGAGACAGAGATGGCAAAGGGGAGACACAGGGCCAGAGAGGGTCCCCGACCACCCGCAGGGGAAGGGTGCCTGTGAGTGGACTCCCGTTGAGGGGGCCTTGGGGCCACAGGGCGGGCATCAGGCTGGGGAGAGTGAGTCTTGCGCTGCTGGGTTGGAGCCACTCCGGCCTGGCCTCCCTCGGTCTGCCCCATGGGCCGCTGGGGGCCCCAGACTGCAGCCCAGGGTGGGGGCATGGGGGCACCCCGTCTCCTAGCCTGCAGCCCTGCGGGTCAGGGTGGCCAAGGTGCCTGCTCTACCCTGTCCAGCGCTGCCCAGGTGGCACTCCTACTGTGGGTCACCAGAGAGCTGGCCGTTGCGTTGGAGAGATCCCGCCAGCGATGCTGGCCCTGGAGTCGGGGGAGGCCAGCTATGTCTGGGGGCTCGGGTGGCACCGGCAATGGGAGGCCAGAGGCGCTTCACAGAGGAGCTGCTGCAGCGGAGTCCTGGAAAGCGTGGGCGTGAATGGAAGATGCCCTGGCCATGGGGCCGGGCCACCCCGGCGGAGGCTGTCGGGTGAAATCCAGGGAGTGACAGTGAGGCCGGATCAGGGCAGGTGGGGTCAGAGGAGGAGGGAGGTAGCCTGGGGCTGCCCCAGGGTCCTGGGAAGACACACCTGGCGGTTCAGGGAAGCTCTGGAGCTTTTGTTATGAACCTTGGGATGCCCCCGGCCCTCGCCAGGGGGACGTGGCTGCTGCATCTTAGTCATTTCTGGCTGCAATAACAAAAATACCATAGACTGGTGGGTTCAGCAGCAACATTCATTTCTCACGGTTCTCGAAGCTGGAAGTTCAAGGTCAGGATGGCAGCAGGGTCAAGTTCCAGGAAGGGTCGATTCCTGGTTCACAGACCCCCATCTTTTCACTGCGTCCTCACGTGGTGGAAAGAGGGCAGGGCTGCTCTCTGGGGTCCCTTTTCTTTAGGGTCTCTAGTGAGATTAGGGACCGAATCACATTTTTGAGGGTTCCCCCTCAGGCCCTAACCACCTCCCTGAGGCCCCAGCTCTGCATGCTCTCACTCTGGGATGACGGCTGTCACACAGGAGTTTCGGGCAGACACAGACCCTCAGACCATAGCACCACCCCTGTCTGCCTCTGCCTCTCCCCATCCCTGTGTCTCCTCGTCTGTCTCCAGCTAGGACACTTGTCCTTGGACCTAGCCCCCTCGATAATCCAGGGTGTCCTTCACCTTGAAATCCTTGACAATCCAGGGCGCCCTCACCTTGAAATCCTTGACAATCCAGGGTGCCCTCACCTCGAAATCCTTGACAATCCAGGGTTCCCTCACCTCGAAATCCTTGACAATCCAGGGTGCCCTCACCTCGAAATCCTTGACAATCCAGGGTGCCCTCACCTCGAAATCCTTGACAATCCAGGGTTCCCTCACCTCGAAATCCTTGACAATCCAGGGTTCCCTCACCTCGAAATCCTTGACAATCCAGGGTGCCCTCACCTCGAAATCCTTGACAATCCAGGGTGCCCTCACCTCGAAATCCTTGACAATCCAGGGTTCCCTCATCTCGAAATCCTTGACAATCCAGGTTTCCCTCACCTCGAAATCCTTGACAATCCAGGTTTCCCTCACCTCGAAATCCTTGACAATCCAGGGTGCCCTCACCTCGAAATCCTTGACAATCCAGGGTTCCTTCACCTCGAAATCCTTGACAATCCAGGGTTCCCTCACCTCGAAATCCTTGACAATCCAGGGTGCCCTCACCTCGAAATCCTTGACAATCCAGGGTGCCCTCACCTCGAAATCCTTGACAATCCAGGGTTCCCTCATCTCGAAATCCTTGACAATCCAGGTTTCCCTCACCTCGAAATCCTTGACAATCCAGGTTTCCCTCACCTCGAAATCCTTGACAATCCAGGGTGCCCTCACCTCGAAATCCTTGACAATCCAGGGTTCCTTCACCTCGAAATCCTTGACAATCCAGGGTTCCTTCACCTCGAAATCCTTGACAATCCAGGGTGCCCTCACCTCGAAATCCTTGACAATCCAGGGTTCCTTCACCTCGAAATCCTTGACAATCCAGGGCGCCCTCACCTCGAAATCCTTGACAATCCAGGGTTCCTTCACCTCGAAATCCTTGACAATCCAGGGTGCCCTCACCTCGAAATCCTTGACAATCCAGGGTTCCCTCATCTCGAAATCCTTGACAATCCAGGGTTCCCTCACCTCGAAATCCTTGACAATCCAGGTTTCCCTCACCTCGAAATCCTTGACAATCCAGGGTGCCCTCACCTTGAAATCCTTGACAATCCAGGGTTCCTTCACCTCGAAATCCTTGACAATCCAGGGTTCCTTCACCTCGAAATCCTTGACAATCCAGGGTGCCCTCACCTCGAAATCCTTGACAATCCAGGGTTCCTTCACCTCGAAATCCTTGACAATCCAGGGCGCCCTCACCTCGAAATCCTTGACAATCCAGGGTTCCTTCACCTCGAAATCCTTGACAATCCAGGGTTCCTTCACCTCGAAATCCTTGACAATCCAGGGTGCCCTCACCTCGAAATCCTTATCTTGATGGGATCTGCAAAGGCCCTTTTGACAAATAACGCCGCACTCAATGGCCCCAGGGGCTAGGATGTGGCTCTATCTTTTGGGGGCCATGGTTGTACCCACGGGTGGGTTAATAGGGGAATGAAGAGGGGGATGGAGAGGCCCTGAGACGGCATCCTCTTGCTCCCGGGAGGCCAGGCCATGTGGAAGGCAGGGGCGCTGTTCCGAGCCTGGGTGTGAATCCGGGCCTCTGCCCCTCCCCACGGGCCCCGTCTGTCTCCTCTACGTGGGTGCTCATCTGGTCTTCCTCTCAGGCCTTTGAGGCGATGGAATTTTCTGTGCGTGAGGACGCCTGCCACACAGTGGGGCAGTGAGCTGACTCCTTGCCCTTGCTCTGGGGCCATGGAGGTCTCATGATCTAGGGTGCGGGGCAGAGAAAGTCACTGAGCTCTGTCCCCCGGGGGGGCTCCCGGTCCGGGGCACCTTGGCTGCGGAGGGCCGGTCTGTTGTAGGAGATGTGGGTTTGCGACACCCTGGGCTGGTGATGGGGTGGATGGAGGGCCTGGCTTCCTGAGACTGTGTGTGTGTTGGTATGAGCGTGCCCGAGCGTGTCAGCCTGTGTGAGTGCATGATTGGTGTGTGTGAGTGCAAATGTGTATGAGAGGTTGAGTCTGTGTGTGTGAACCTGTGTGTTTTTGCATGTGCGAGTGTGTGCCCGCGTGTGTGTCTGTGAATGAGGGAGTGTGTGAGGGGAGCTGGGCAGCGGCTGTGGCCTTGGCCCTGTCCTGCGACGCCCCCTCCTCTGATGTTGTTTGGACCCAGTCAGCCTCAGCGCTGCCCGCTTTGGGGTTTTCTACCCCGTAGGGAGCCGTCGCTCCTCACCTTCTCCCCCGTGCCCGGCTGCTCCGAGGTCGCAGCAGAGGACAGGGCGGAGGGCCCAGGTGCCGCTGTCAGACTGAGGCAGGCTTGCTTCATTCCGCTTTGTGCCAGACTCCATGTGACGTGGCTCTCCTGGCACAGAGCGAGGCTCTCCCTGTGGGGCCATCACTGTGAGAGGACTCTCCTGCATTGGGGCATTTTGCCAACTGGCCCTAAAAAGTGGTCTTAATGATTTACGTGCCCTCAGTCAGGGCCAAGAAGCACCTCCACCCCCTTCATCCCCTCCTCCTTCCTTTCACTTTTCTCATTGTTAAAATGGTTTCTTTATATTATCGGCCACTGGGTTTTTCCTTTCCATGAAGAACCTATTGCTCACCTTTCTTCTTAGTGATCTCTGAGTGCTCTTTGTATATGAGGGAACCCTGCCCTTTGTCATGCCTATCATGCGTTCTCTCCCATTTTTAGGATGTTGTGGAGACCCTTGTAAGCAGGCCTCTCCAGCCAGGGAGGCTGCACATTTGCCCTGAGGACTGGTGTGGGTCAAGCCCACCTGTGGCCCCGATGGCTCTGGGGCCCCAGCCTGCTCCTGGGTCACCTCTCAGCTCTTCAGGAGGTCCAGGCTGGTGGGCGGCTGTGGGCTGGGGAGTCAGCTTTGTCTGTGCTCAGTGGGTGCTGGATCAGGGTGTGTGGCCAGTGGTCCTGGGGGCCCCCACCAGCCTCCACCTTGGTGACTGTGCAGCTGCATTCTTGGGGCCTCCTGTGCTGACCACAGCATGGGCCTCTTCTGGTTTTGCCCACAAAGGGGTCGATGTTGATTGTTGCTTTGACTTTACCTGAGAAGGAGGCATGAGTCTGGGCTGGAGACCAGCAGACCAGGTATGACAGCGCTGAGCTGGGGAGTCTCTGGGGTGCTGAGGGGTGATTGATGGGAACCACTGCTTGGGCACTTTGGCTCTCAGGACCCCAGAATGGCCCCTGCCCTTCCTTCCCCTCTGGCTCCTCCTGCACGTCCTCAGGGGTCCTGCCTCCCACCAGCCACTCCAGGGCCACACACACCTCCTACAGAGCCCTCCGGAGACGTGGGGTTTGTGAAAAGGATCTTTACTAAGAAACTCAGAGAGAAAGAAGTATGACTGCTGAAGCCAGACACTGGACGAGGTCATAGGGACGAGGTCGGCAGCTGCTGTCCCTGCAGGAAACCCCTTCTCTGGCTGTGGGAGCCCCTCTACCCACTCCAGGGGCCCGAAGCCCTCAACCGTCCTGTGGCCTGGCCTCAGAGGGCTTCCCTGTGCCTTCAGGCTGCAGAAATGGGGGCTGAGGATAGATGGCAGGAGGGGTGGGTGAAGGGATGGGGGCTGAGGATAGATGGCAGGAGGGGTGGGTGAAGGGATGGGGGCTGAGGATAGATGGCAGGAGGGGTGGGTGAAGGGATGGGGGCTGAGGTGGATGGCAGGAGGGGTGGGTGAAGGGATGGGGGCTGTGGATAGATGGCAGGAGGGGTGGGTGAAGGGATGGGGGCTGAGGATAGATGGCAGGAGGGGTGGGTGAAGGGATGGGGGCTGAGGATAGATGGCAGGAGGGGTGGGTGAAGGGATGGGGGCTGAGGATAGATGGCAGGAGGGGTGGGTGAAGGGATGGGGGCTGAGGTGGATGGCAGGAGGGGTGGGTGAAGGGATGGGGGCTTTGGATGGGTGGCAGGAGGGGTGGGTGAAGGGATGGGGGCTGAGGATAGATGGCAGGAGGGGTGGGTGAAGGGATGGGGGCTGTGGATGGATGGCAGGAGGGGTGGGTGAAGGGATGGGGGCTGAGGATAGATGGCAGGAGGGGTGGGTGAAGGGATGGGGGCTGTGGATGGATGGCAGGAGGGGTGGGTGAAGGGATGGGGGCTGAGGATAGATGGCAGGAGGGGTGGGTGAAGGGATGGGGGCTGTGGATGGATGGCAGGAGGGGTGGGTGAAGGGATGGGGGCTGAGGATAGATGGCAGGAGGGGTGGGTGAAGGGATGGGGGCTGTGGATGGATGGCAGGAGGGGTGGGTGAAGGGATGGGGGCTGAGGATAGATGGCAGGAGGGGTGGGTGAAGGGATGGGGGCTGTGGATGGATGGCAGGAGGGGTGGGTGAAGGGATGGGGGCTGAGGATAGATGGCAGGAGGGGTGGGTGAAGGGATGGGGGCTGTGGATGGATGGCAGGAGGGGTGGGTGAAGGGATGGGGGCTGAGGATAGATGGCAGGAGGGGTGGGTGAAGGGATGGGGGCTGTGGATGGATGGCAGGAGGGGTGGGTGAAGGGATGGGGGCTGAGGATAGATGGCAGGAGGGGTGGGTGAAGGGATGGGGGCTGTGGATGGGTGGCAGGAGGGGTGGGTGAAGGGAAAGAAGGTCTGGGTGAGGCTTGGGGGACGGGGATGCCAGGCACTTGGATCTCAGGGCTAGAAGGGTCAGACCGAGGCTGGGGAGTGAGGCCGTGGGCTGGTGTTGGGCTGGACGCAGACTCAGCTGTGTCCTGGGCTGGGTGCTGGGCCCTCCTTGGCTTTTGGTGATTGTACAGTCAGAATGGGAGTGACCCGGAGACCCAGGGGCCTGGGATGAGCTCAGAACGGCTAGCAGCCACCCCTCCTCGATGACTCTGTTGAAGGGACAGACACGGTTTTCGGGTGGGGGCTGCGACTGGTGGTTCTCTCGGCGCCTTTAACCTTGCGGCTGAGCCGGCCCCCTCTGGGCTCAGGTTCACTGGCCATCAGCCCACAGTAGTGACCTTGTGCCCCCTTTTCTTGTCTGCTTCCCTTTTCCCACCCAGGGCAGGGCGCAGCCCGAGGGAGGCTCAGGCGCTGGCAGAGAAAAAGCTGGGCCTGGTGGAGCGTGAGTGGCCCGCGGCCTAGGCGTGGGGCTGGAGGACGTTGGTGTAGTCGAGGGAGGTCTGGGGCCTCCCCTGCCGCGTGGCTGAGAGGAACCGCTGCACCTGAGGGGAGGGCGTGGGTCAGGGCGCTCTGCTGGCTCTGCCCAACCCCCTGCCCTGGCCGGGCCCCTGGAGGTGGGTGCCCACCATGAGGAGCGTGATGGCGGCGCTGTAGCTCACGCTGAGCAGGAAGAGTGCGGCGAAGATGCAGAGGCCGGTCCACGTCCACGGCGCCTCGCCCTCGGCCTCCTCCACGCACACGTCCAGCTCTGGGGGACCTGGCCAGTCAGCCCTCCCGGCTCCACAGTGGCAGCGGGGGTGGGGGACAGAGCCCCCTGCTGCTCTCGGCAGTCCCTGCTGCTGTCCGGAGTGGCAGAGCACCCTATCCGGGGCCCTCTGGGACTGCGCGGAGCCGCCAGCCAGCCCTGAGGGTGGGCACCCAGGTCCCGAGTCAGTCAACGGCCCAGAGCCAGGCCGACCACTCCTGACCTCTCGTCCCTGGGCCCCCACTCTGGCCCCATTTTCCCTCTGTTCCTTACGGCTTCTCTCCTGACCTCTGGTTACCTCCACTCCGCCTCTCTAGACCCCACGCCCTCCCCAGAGAAGGACCCAACCCCTCGGCACAGGAGTGGCCGCCTCACTCAGGGCCCTCGGAAGGATGCGTGAGCTCTGCGGCCTGGCTCCCAAGACCTGGGACTCACTGCATGGGTGCTCTGAGGGGCTGTCCTGGTGTGGACTATGAGCCCAGGCCTGTGGGTGTCCAGAGCTGCCTCCTGGCCCTACCCCGGCCCGGCCCCGCCCACCAGCCTGGTCCCTCTGGCTCCTGCCCTGAGTCCCCTCCACTCCCTTCCCCAACACCGTGAGCTGCCTGCTGGTCCCGGGTCATCAGCAGGTGCAGGTCCGGCCTCGGGCCCTCACACCTCTTTCTGCTGCTCCAGGCCCAGAGCTGGGTGCAGGTGGGCTGGGACGTGAGAGTGAAGCTGAATGTATGGCTGTGACGGTGTGCAGGGACTGTCTTCAGACATGGAGGGGCTTTGTGCTCATGGGGTGCCCGGTGCCCGTGTTTCCGTGTGGATTTGGTGGGTGCTGTGCCCTTGGTGTGCATGACCGGGGGGAGCGTTTGGATCTGGGGTGTCAGATGCACATGTGGGTTTGAGGTCTGTGAGGGGCACGTAGCCTGCTCTGGGGTTCCGGTGTGGGTGAGTGGGGGATGGAGCCCACGCATCCATCCTGTGTTTGGCTGTGGGGTGCTGCTGACAGGGTGACAGGGAGGGTTGGACTGGAGGACACCACGTGAGGGCCTCTCCATTTCTCTCTGGGATCCAGCGGCCCAGGTATGGCTCAGAGGAAGGGCTTGGCAGTAGCCTCGCTGGAGGCAGGGTGGGAGGCGGAGTGTGGGCCACGTGTGACCACGTGTGGGGTGTCTATGGCGCCCTGGTGGTGGTACAGGGTGCTGTGGAGTTGCTATGGGGCCTAGTGTGTGCACAGCTGTGCCTTGAGTGAGGCGTGAGTGGGCGAGACTGGGTGTGTGAGGCTGGCGATCCCCTGGAGGCCGATTCAGGATGGACCAAGGGGCGGTGGGGGGCAGTAGGAGAGGGGGCCTGGCTGCTGACCTGGGCCTGGTGTGCCCACAGGGCGGGGTGGCGGAGGCTGCGGGGTGTGAGTGGGCTCGGCTCCACTGGCCCCGGTGCTGGGGCCAGGACTCGGCAAGGTGGGACAGGGCAGAGAGGCGAACGCCAGTGGCACAGACTTGGGCGAGGGCTGTCGGGTCGTGTGTGTCTGTGTGGGGGTTTCACTTAGGGCTGTTTTTCTACCTGGAGGGGCCTGTGTGCCCATCTATACCTGGGGGTGCAGGGGCTCCTGTCCAGGGGGGTAGAAGCCAAGCCCCCAAGAGAGAGGGCTGTCGGGGCTCCCTTGCCCCTTCCCTGAGGACCTCCCCTGGGTCTTTGGACTCCTTGGAGGGGGTAGACCGAGAGTGGGGGCAGAGAGGGCCCGGGGTAGCTGTGATGAGTCCCTGCAGATACGCTGTTTGACAAATAACCCTGACACGAAGGCAGATGGATGAGTGGCACCTCAGCCCTGCCCACCTCCTCCCACCACCTCTCCTGGGGGGACTCAGCCCTGCCCACCTCCTCCCACTGCCCCTCCTGGGGGGCCCATTCCTCTGTGCCAAGATGCACCTGCCCACAGCCCTGCCCGCTCCCAAGAACGGGTGTACCCTGGGCTCTGAGCAGGCACTGTTTATTGGGGGTAGCTTCCTGGGGTCGTTGCAACAGTGGACAGAAGGTCTGGCCAGCCCTCCCCACTGCACAGCTGGACGGAGCCCTGGGAGGGAGGGAGGCAGGAGTACGTCATTTACCGGGATTTACAGACACCGCTCGCTGGACGGTCTGTGAGGGGCTCGCTGCCTCATGGACTGCACGGCAGATGAACTCATCTTTCTGCTCCCACTCGGCCCTGGTCACCTCCAGGCGGCTGAAGATGAAGAAGCCGGAGCCCTTGGTCTTGCGGGGCTGCGTCGTGCTGTGCCGGGCGTCCGGGAGCTGCACCTCGTTGTGCAGCCACTGCACCGAGATGTCCTCAGGCATGAAGTTCTGGATCAGGCAGGTGAGGGTGCGCTTGTCCCGGCTCCCCAGCCACTCCGGCGTCGCAAACGCATAGACTTCCGGGGCAGCACGCGGGCCTGTGGCCAGACGTGGGGTCAGCCCAGGCCCCGCTCACTCGCTCCCTCCCTCCCCCCACGACCCCGGCCTGCCCGTGGCTCACCGCTGGTCTTGGTCGTGGACCGCACGAGGGCCCTGGGCAGGTGGGGGTGGGTCACCCTGCACTGGTAGGTCTCCCCTTCGATCCAGTCTCGGGTGCCCACCGGCAGGGTGGACGTGACGGTTAACGTGCCATTGCGCTGCTTCTCCTCCTTTCTGGTGGAGTGGTTCACAGGCTTCCCACTGGCCCGGGACCAGGTCAGGTTCACGGTCCACTTGCTGGGTGCCAGGTCCACCACCAGACAGGTGATCGTGGGCGACTTGCGGATGAACAGGTCGAACGGGCTGGGCCGGCTTAGGTAGGCGCTCACCCCTCTCGGGTTGAACCCAGTGTAGTGTCAGCTGAACCCAGTGTAGTCTAGCCGAGCCCAGCTCAGCTGAACCCAGTTGAGACCAACCCAGCTGAGTCCACTCAGGCGAGCCTAGTTTAGCCCAGTTCACGTGGGCACAGTTCAGCCCAGCCCAGCTCATCCCAGCTAAATTCAGATCACCCCAGCCCAATTTAGTTCAATAATTTAAGGCCTGCTCACTCCAGCTTTTAACCCTGTCCGTCGTCAGGTCTCTCCCCCAGCCTAGCCCTCCTCAGCTCAATCCCATTTAGCTCAGCCCAGCTTACTCAGCCCAACCAGCTAAGCTTGGCTCAGGTCTGTCCAGCTCAGCGCAGCCCTGCTGAACTCAGGCCAGGTCAGGTAAGCTCAGCAGGTAATACCCCAGCTTGGTCTCCTTCAGCCCGGATAGTCCACGAGCACCCATTTTATCCTAAGTAGAGAACTGTAGCTTGTCCCTACTCCTGTGTCGGCCCAGCTTATTTCAACCAAGTCCAGTCAAGTCCAGGTCAGCCTAATTCAGCTTAACTCAATCCTGGACCACCCAGGGCAGGCCACCTCAGCTCAGCCTGACTTTGCCCTGCTCCCCAGATAAGTCCAGCTCAGCCCAGCTCAGTCCACCTTAGGGCTTAGGATAACCCAGCTCAAGCCTAGCTCAGCTGAGCCTAGCTCATTTCCCTCTACCCAGTCCACTCACTCAACTCAGCTAAACCCGCCTGGCCCGGGCCAGCCCCGATCGCCCTGGCTCAGGACAGCCCAGCTTGGCCACCTGTCCTCTAAGGGACAGGGTAGCCCTCTCAGCCCACCCAGCTCGCCTCAGCTCAGTCTGTTAGGCCCGTCTCAGTCTAGTCCACTCAGCCAAGCCCCCCTCAGTCCACCCAGCTCGGACTTGCCAAGATCAGCCAGTTGCGCAGTGGAGCTCAGGACAGCTCCCTGCTGCCGCCTCCCCACCCTCCCTCCCGGCTCTGGGTTGGCTGTCCCTGTCCTGGGGGTGACAGGCAGTCTGCACCCAGCCTAGCCCTGCCCAGCATGGGGCCTCTGACCTTCTTAGTCTTGGGCCCAGCCAAGATTCCCAGCCCCCTGCCTTCTCCAGGTCGGCGTTAGGCTGTTTCTAGCTTTCCTGTGTCCCCATGCAGGGAAGGGACGTCTGGAGTCCATGCAGTAACTAAGAAGCTTGGTTGATGCTGTGAGGGTGGCCCAGGAGTCCCCTCGCTGTCAGGGACCCAGGCAGCCTCTCCCTCACTGCTGCCTGGGCCGGCCCCTTGATTGGGGCTCCCGGTGGGCTGGGATACCTGAAGCGCCGGGTCGTCCATTTGGTGCCTGTGGCTGGTGTGGCCCGTCCGGCTCCCTGTCGGGTTCCTGGACAGCTCCCAGATGATCAGTAACCGTGGTTGTTATTTCTGTGTCGGGCAGTGGAGCCTGGGTGGGGGGAGCTCTGCCTCAGTGCTTTCAGCTAAAAATGGAGTGGGAACCCCTGGAGGCCCGGGCCACCCTGGAAGTTCCCTTTTCTCTCTGTTCTTGGGAATTCGATTGAGCAACAGCGGGGGCTCAGGTGAGGCTCCTTCACTACCGATGCACACCGAGTGCTGGGGGAGGTTCTCTTCTCTCTCAGGCCCCAGTGTTGGAGGTGGGCCTGGTGGGAGGTGATTAGATCATGGGGCTGGACCCCTCATGAATGGCCTAGCACCATCTCCCAGGTGATGAGTGAGTTCTCCCTCAGTTAGTCCCTGTGACAGCTCGTTGTTTACAATTCTGGGACGTGCCACTTCTTTTCTCTTGCTCCCTCTTGCCATGTGACATGCCTGCTCCCCCTTCGCCTTCTGCCATGATTGCAATCTCCCTGAGGCCTCACCAGAAGCAGATGCCAGGGCCGTGTTTCCCTTCTGCTCTTCTGCTCTCCCCCGCCCTTCCCTTCTTCTTGTCTTTTCAAGACAAGTTCTCACTATGTTGCCCAGGCTGGTCTCAAACTTCTGAGCTCAAGTGATCCTCCTGCTTCTGCCTCCCAAAATGCTAGGATGACAGGTATGAGCCACAGTGCCTGGCCTAAACACCTTTTCTTTATAAATTACTAGCCTCATGTATTTTTTTTTCTAGTAACACAAACTAACACAGAACATTGGTATTGAGGAGTGGAACATTGCTATAAAGATACCTGAAAATGTGGAAGCAGCTTTGGAATTAGGTAACAGGCAGAGAGGTTAGAAGAATTTGGAGGACTCAGAAGAAGACAGGAAGATGAGGGAAAGTTTGGAATTTCTTAGAGACTATTAAATGGTTGTCACCAAAATGCTGATAGACATATGCACTGTGAAAGCCAGGCTGATGAAATCTCAGATGGAAATGAGGAACTTATTGGGAACTGGAGTAAAGGTCACGCTTGTTAAATCCTAAGATACAACTTGGCTGCATTGTGTTCATGCCCTAGGGATCTGTGGAAGTTTGACCTTAAGAGTGATGACTTAGGGCATCTGGGGAAGACATTTCTAAGCAGACGTTTCTAAGGTGTGACCTGGTTGCTTCTAACAGTCTAGGGTAAGATATGGGAGCAAAGAAATGACTTAAAGTTGGAACTTATATTTAAAAGTTGCAAATGAAAAAATAAAATGCTAATCCAAGGGGATTCCAAAGAAACCTGGAAAACCAGTTCAGGCCATGACAGGAAGGGGAGGGTGGTTTGGACTCCCTCACTATACCCTCTCCCTGTTGGAGCTTAGGCTCAGCTGACCAGTGTTAACATTAAAACAGGGAGCTTAAGACTGACAAAGCAGACTCTTTGTAGCAATAAGGTATCAAATCCCAACCTGACTCTGGTATAGCATCACATGACAGGTGGCAGGCATGGAAGGAAATTAAAGTATTTTATCCCAGAATATGTTTCTCTGACACATTTTGGAAGGGCCCTGCAAAGCCGTCTCTTGTGGAGGAAATGTATATTCTGTTGAGAATCTTTTTCCCTTTCCAGGTCTCTTCCTGATTCAGGAGAGATTTATCCAAGAGTCTGGCACCTTTTAGGTTCTGATAAGAGACATTGACCATCTCTTCTCTCTGGAACGTGGAGGCTTCGTCTACATAACAAGAACCTTGGCTTCCACAACCCCCTTATCTTAAGCATTGCTTTTCGCTGACTTCAACTTTTTAGATAATTTAACTTTTTCAGCCAATCGCCAATCAGAAAATCTTCAAATCCACCTATGATTTGGAATTCCCCACTTTGAATTGTCCTGCTTTTCCAAACCAAACCAAACCAATGTATACTTTACATGTATTGATTGATGTCTCATGTCTCCCTAAAACATAAAACCAGGCCGCAACCCAAGCACCTTGCACACATGTTCTCAGGACCTTTTGAGGCTGTGCCACAGTTCATGGCTCTCATATTTGGCTCAGAATCAATTTTTCAAGTGTTTTATGGAGTTTGGCTTTTTTCATCAACAAAGGGAAGCAGAGCATTAAAAATGTGGAAAATTCACAGCCTGGCCATATGGTAGAAAAGAAAAGGTATTTTCAGGAGACAAATATAAGTAGGCTATGGAGCAGCCAGTTGCTAGAGAGATTAGCATAACTAAAAGAGAGCTAAGTGCTCATATCCAGAACAAAGGGAAGAAGGCCTTGAAGGCATTTTGGAAATCTCTGAGGTGGTCTTTCCCATCACAGGCCCAGAGGCCAAGAGGGAAAGGATGGTTTTGTGGGCCATGGCCATGGCCACTGCTGCCTGTGCAGCCTTGGGACACTGCTCTCCACATCCTGGTTCCTCTGGCTCCAGCCTTGGCTCAAAGGGCCCCAAGTATAGCTTAGGCTGCTTCTTTGGAGAGTGCAAGCCACTATAAGCCTTGGTGACTTCCATCTGGTGTTAAGCCTGTAGGCCCCCAGAATACAGGAGTGAAGGAAGCTTGGCATCTTCCCTCTAGATTTCAGAAATGTATGAGAAAGCCTAGGTGCCCAGACAGAAGCCTCCTGCCAGCATGGAGCCCTCACAGAGAACCTCTACTAGAGCAGTGCCAAAGAGAATGTGGGGTTGAACCCCCATATAATGTCCCCACCAGGGCACTGCCTAGTGGAGCTGTGGGAAGGGGGCCACTGTCCTCCAGACCCCAGAATGGTGGATCCACTGGCAGTTTGCACCCTGAATCTGGAAAAGCCACAGGCACTCAACTCTATCATGTGAGAGAAGCCACAGGGGCAACATCCTCCAAAGCCACAAGGGTAGAGTTTTCCAAGGCCTTGGGAGCCCACCCCCTGCACCAATGTGCCCTGGATATGGGACATGAAGTCAAAGGAGATTACCTTGGAGCTTTAAGATTTAATGACTGCCCTGCTGGATTTCTGACATATATGGGGCATGTAGATCCTTTCTTTTTGCCAACTTCTCCCTTGTGGAATGGGAATGTTTACCCAATGTCTGCACTCTCATTGTATTTTGGGAGTCAATAATTTGTCTTTGATTTCATAGGCTGATAGGTGGAAGGGAGTCATCTTCAGATGAGACTTGGGACTTGGGAAATTTGGGTTGATTCTGGAATGAGGTAAGACTTTGGGGGACTGTTGAGAAGGCATGATTGTATTTTGCAACATGAGATTTGGGGGACCAGGGGTGGAAGGATATGGTTTATATATTTCTCCCCTCCAAATCTCATGTTGTAATATGATTCCCAGTGTTGGAAGTGGGGCCTGGTAGGAGGTGATTAGATCAAGGGGGAAGATCCCTCATGAATGATTTAGAATCATCCCCTTGGTGATGAGTGAATTCTCCCCCAGTCAGCTCACACACAGTCTAGTTGTTTAAGTCTGGGGCCCCCCCTCAGCCTCTTGCTCCCATTCTTGCCATGTGGCATACCTGCTCTCCCTTCACCTTCTGCTATGACTGTAAGTTTCCTGAGGTCCTCGCCAGAAGCAGATGCTGGTGCCATACTTCCTATACAGCCTGCAGAACTGTGAGCCAATTGAACCTCTTTCCTTCATAAGTTACTCAGCCTCAGGTATTTCTTTACAGTAATGCAAATGGACAAACACAGGTGGCTCCTGACACACCCCTCATCTTCTCCTTTGTCATCATATGGCTTACCTCCATGTGTGTCTGTGTCCTCTCCTCTTATGAGGACACCAGTGTTTGGACTTGGGATCCATCCAAAATTTAGTATGATATCATCTCAAGTCCTTAACCTAATTTGTAAAGACCCCATTTCCAAATAAGGTCACATTCTGAGGTTCCAGGTGGGCATACATTTGGCCAGGGAGATGCCATCAGCCCACCACACCAGCCTACGCAGGTACATTTGCATATAGCTTAGGGTTGACGTTTCTCATGGAAGTATTACATCCCCCTCTGGACTCCAGTTTTGCATGTTTTAGAATGCTTCGCCTTCTCCAGCAGGATGAATCTCTTTTCATTTTTTAGTATTTTTCTCTTTCTTCTTTGGATTGGATTAAAAAGAATTGATATACTCTATTGATGCATCTTTAAGTTTTCTGTTCCTTCTTATGTCTTGTCCAATCTGTTATTAAACTTGGGTAATGTTTTTCTCTTTCTTTTCTTTTTTAATAAAATAGAGATGGGGTTTCACCATGTTGCCCAGGCTGGTCTCCAACTCCTGAGGTCAAGTGATCCTTCCTTGTTGGCCTTCCAAAGTGCTAGGATTACAGGTATGAGCCACTGGGCCTGGTCAAATGATGTTTTTCATTTCCGAATCATACTTTTAGTTCTAGAATTTTCATTCGCTTCTTGTAACTATTTTCAGTTTTTTATAGAGATACCTCATCTAGTCACTCATGATAACCATATTTTCCTTTAAGTCTTTGAACATATTTAACATAACTTCTTTAAAGTCCTTGTCTGATAACTGTATCTGCATCTAGGTCATCTTGGAGTTGATCTCCATTGATCCCTTTTTCTTTTGACTTTGGATCACATTTTCATGTTTCTTTGCATACATAGTAATTTTGGATGTGTGCCTGATGTTGTTGATAACATGTGGTACAGGCTATGGGGTTTGCATTCTTTCTTAGCAGAGCATTAATTGTTTTTTTCAATGTTAGCAAGCAGTTAGCTTGAGTTGACTCAAACTCCCAAGTCTGCCTGCCTGGCAGTTGGCAGTAGCTGGAATCTCAGTTCTCTTGACCTTACAGGTGTTGCTTTCTGCTGGACCCTTTGGAGTTTTCCCTACCCATGCACACCTAAGGAATCGGCCAGAGGTTTCACTGGAGTTTACTTGCAGATTGTGGGGTTTCCCTTCGGTGACCTTCTCCTTTACGGATATCTTCTCTTCATTTCCAGCTGCTCTGAAAATGCAGCCCTGCATCCCACTCCTCACCAGGAGGGCTGCAGTTTCCTGCTTAAACTCTAGCTGCACCCATTACCTGCACTGGGGTGTGACTTCAGACGAATATTTCACGGAATAATCCTTACTAGTGTTTGCCTACTTCTGGTCATGTCCCAGTGCCTGCAATTGGTGTGTGTGGGTGTTGTGTGTGCTTACAGCATTTCCAGTGTTTATAATTGCCTTCTGCCAAAGGGCTGGTCTGATATTAGCTGCTCCAGCATTATTGGAATCAGAACTACTTTCTCTCACGTGGTTTTTCATTTTCATTTCCCTGTTGACTAGTGTGGTTCAACATGTTTTCATATGTTTAGTGGCTATTTGGATATCTTCTGTAAAACATCTGTTCAATTCTCTTGCCTATTCCTCATTAGATTATTTGATTTTTTTTTCTCATTGGTTTACAGGGGTCTTCTTTATATTATGGATCTGTTTGTGTCAGTCAGTTATATATGTTTATAGGAAACATTGAGAAAAACTGAAATGGACCAAATGATTACTTGGTGCCTTCCATGGAAAGCAAGGCATCGTCTTGTAGACTCTTCCAAGTTATTTTATTCTATGGAGCTCTGCATCTTTTATTTCCTTTGAACTATTTTACACCTCTATAAGCCAGGGGTCCCCAACCCCTGGGTCATGCACTGGAACCAGTTCATGGCCTGTTAGGAACTGGGACACAGAGCAGGAGGTGAGGGGTGTGTGAGCATTCCTGCCGGAGCTCCACCTCCCGTCAGGTCAGTGGCAGCATTAGATTCTCATAGGAGCGAACCCTATTGCGAGCTGCACATTCCCGGGATCTAAGTTGCATGCTCCTTATGACACCCTAATGCCTAATGATCTGAGGTGGAACAGCTTTGTCCCCAAACCATCCCCCGATCCTGGTCTGTGGAAACATTGTCTTCCATGGAACTGGTTCCTGGTGCCAAAAATGTTGGGGACCACGGCTCTAAGTTGTACATAATTGATAGCAATGCAAAAACTCTTTGAGTTGGTAGAAATCCAAGTTCTCATCTTTGAAAGGACAATGAATTGCTCCTCCTCTGCCAGGGAAAAGGCCAGTTTTGCATCTATCTATGAACTCCTTTTAGTATTCCTGAATCAATTATGTAAGTGTAGTACTTAGAATTCCACTTTGAACTGGTTGCAACACCTTAATTAATGAGATAAAGAGCATCTCTGAAATGTGTCGTCATATGTTTATGTGAGTCCTGATCATAATACTTTTAAAAAATGATCTCTTAACTCGTGATTTCTTCTCCCTCATGGCCCCACCCAGCCGCAGTATCCAGGGAGCTTAGTTTTCTGTGGCCCGGGAGGGCAGGAGAACCGGTGTTGATGGGGAGATCTGAGGTTGGCCCCAACTTTTCCCCACAGCTCTGCTTCAAGGAGTGCCGTGGGAAGGCCTCCCAACCCCACACCTGTCCTGTTGGCCAAGGCGAGCTCCATGCCATGTGGCATCTCTGCCGCTGGCCACCTGGTGAGTATCTGTTGAATAGAGAAATGTGCAGCATCTCCACAGAGCCTCCAGGGCTTCTGTGCTCTCCAAACATCTCTGGGCTCCTGGCACCCTCTCAGGGTATGATGTGTTGGTGTCTGGGTTGGGCCCCTGTCCCTGAGGGTAGGACTCAGGCAAGGACAAAGCTCTGGACTCAAAGAGGTGGTGTGGGGGTGAGTGAAAAGAACAGGAGCTTTGAGGTCAGAAATGCGGGTTTCAGCCTGCATTGTCCCCATGAGCAGGGGCTGCAGACTCGCCAAGACCTCAGTTTCTACCATGGTGAGAGAGTGTCAGAGACTGCAGCACGTATTTCAAGTGTCCAGGGACAGCAGGGGTCTGGGTTGGACCAGCTCTCCTGAATACTGAGGGTGCGATCTTGACCATTGTGAAAGGAAAATAAAATCTCAGGACTCCAAACTCACTATGCCAAAATGAACCGTTGAGGTGGGAAGCTGAGTCATGAAAAAAAAAAAAAGTCATGCGTTTCCTTTTGTTTCCAAACTGATAGCAGCAGCAGATAGGCCAGGTCTACCCAGGTGGCCTCCCTCACCCTGAGAATATAAATTAACAGCTGGTCTTCATGACATGGGACAAAATGAGACAAGAAATCGTCCCTCCTACCCCTGAGACGAATGCATATTTGACTTCTTCCTCTACTCTGTTTATTTGCTTATAAAGTGTAGATTTAGTGAGCACAAGGCGAATGCGTAATTGCTCCCTCCACCCCTCCTTTTCATGCAACGTGGGGGGCTCAGTGAGATGTAATCAAAGCCTCAGAAGAATGTGACCCTCCCCTCTTGCTTTTTTCTCTTTCATCTTTACCCTCCTCCAGCTTTTCCCCCTTTCAATATTGAAGCAGGACGTAGTGTGACTGCATCTGAGGTCAGGTGTGGGGTGGTCCATGTGGACAGTGAGGAAGGTGGTCCCTGCCCGTGGTGGTCCGGGTTTCCTGGGAGATGGCCAGACGTGGGTGCTGAGGGGAAGAGGCCGGTGCAGTCACTGGATGGTAGAGAGCATGTCCATTGTGCTGAGTGGGCTGGGAGGGATCCACAGAGAAGACAGTGTGGCTCAATAGCTAGCACCGGGGACGGGAACGTGGGTGAAGAGCCTGGCACATGGAGTAGCTCAAGGTGTGAGGTTGTGACCCGCCCAGGGAGCCTGTGCCTGAGTGTGCTGGGTGGGTGCTGGGGTTGCAAACATTCGTGTGCCTGTGAGGCCCGTGTGTGTATGTGTGTGTCACGTGTCCCCATGCATGGCAGGCATCGTCGCGTGTCCCCCACGCGTGGCAGGCATTGTTGTGTGGCCACTATGCATGGCAGGCATTGTCGTGTGTCCCCCGTGCGTGGCAGCATTGTCGCGTGGCCCCCGTTCGTGGCAGGCATGTGCAGCCTGAGTACCATGCCGGATGGGGTGTTCTGTCTTCTCCAGGCCCGGCCCTGCCGTGTGAGCAGGGAGCTTCCCCATGGGACTGATGTTCTGTCTCCTCCAGGCCTGGCCCTGTCCTGCCATGTTAGCAGCGAGCTTGGCCATGGGAGTGGTGGGCACAGGCGTGGCTGTGCCGGGCCTCACTGGCTGGACTCGGTGGGGACACCATACCCCTTGCTGAGTGTGGGTAGCAGAGGGGTCGAGGTGCCTTCTGGGAGGTGGTCGGGCAGAGGCAGGGTTGGGAGTGTGTGGGGAGATGGGTGTTCAGCTAGGCTCCTTCCCTGTGGAGGGGCTCAGCTGAAACCTGGGCTCTCACTCCCCTCACCCCTGCCTCCCCAGCATCCTCCCTCTGCCCGTCTCTTCAGCCTGCCTCGGACGCCGAGGTCACAGCCTCGCTCTGTCTCCTCACAAGGCCACGTGGTGGCAGGTCCTTCCTCCTGTCTAACCAGAGTCCTGCTTGCTGCTCTGCAAGCCCACTTGGGTCACGTGGGGCAGGGGCACCTGGAAGGGTGGGCTTCGTGGACTCAAGGGCCACCAATTCCTCCAGGTCAACATGCTCAGATGGTTCCATTCTCCCCCTTCCCTTGGCCACAGAGACCTCTGTATCCTGGGGTGACCACAAATGTCACAACACAAGAATCACACCAGGAACGTCACACCATGTCACACTGGGGAAAAGAAAGATCAGACTGTTACTGTGCCTATGTAGAAAAGGAACACATAAGAAACTCCATTTTGATCTGTACAAAGAAAAATTGTTCTGCTTTGAGACGCTGTTAACCTGTAACTTTAGCCCCAACACTGTGCTCACAGAAACCTGTGCTGCATGGAATCAAGGTTTAAGGGGTTTAGGGCTGCGCAGGACGTGCCTGGTTCACGATACGTTTGCAGGCAGTGTGCTTGGTAGAAGTCATCGCCATTCTCCATTCTCTGTTAACTAGGCACAGAATACGCTGCGGAAAGCTGAAGGGACCTCTGCCGGAGAAAGCCTAGGTATTGTCCCAGTTTCTCCTCACTGAGACAGCCTGAGATATGGCCTCATGGCAAGGGAAAGACCTGACTGTCCCCCAGCCTGACACCTGTAAAGGGTCTGTGCTGAGGAGGATTGGTAAAAGAGGAAGGCCTCTTTACGGTTGAGATAAGAAGAAGGCCTCTGTTTCCTGCACGTCCCTGGGAATGGAATGTCTGGGCTTTACACCCACCATTCATTCTATTCTGAGGTAGGAGAAAACCGCCCTAAGGCTGGAGACAAGATATGCTAGCGGTGATACGGCTCTGTTACTCTTCACTACACTGAGATGTTTGGGTAAAGAGAAACATAAATCTAGTCTATGTGTACATCCCAGCACGGTACCTTCCCTGGGAGTTATTTATGATGCAGATTCCTTTACTCACATGTTTTCCTGCTGACCTTCTCCCCATCATCACCCTGTTCACGCTGTTCTCCTGCCGCACTCCCCGTATGGAGATAGTGAAAATAGTCATCAATAAATACTGAGGGAACCCAGAGACCGGTGCCGGTGCAGGTCCTCGCGTGCTGAGTGTGCCGGTCCCCTGGGCTCACTGTTCTTTCTCTGCACTTTGTCTCTGTGTCTTATTTCTTTTCTCAGTCTCGTGTTTCCACCTGATGAGAAATACCCACAGCTGTGGAGGGCGAGGCCCTCTTCATCACACCACATCACACTATGTCACACTAGGGATGTCACACATCACACCATTAACTCATCACACTGGGGATGTCGTACCGGGTCACACCCCATCATGCCACATCACACCGTGTCACACCGCATCACATCACAGCAAGGATGTGGCACCCTGACACAGCACGTCACAGGTCACATCATGTCACACCACACCTCATCACACCCCACACCACCACACCCGTCAAACGACATCATACCCCATTACCCCAAGGATGTTACGCCACATCACATCATGTCACACCATACCACATAATCTCATACCGCATCATACCAGGGATGTCATACCCATCACACTCTGTCACACCACATCACATCATGTCCAACACCACCTCACACCAGGGACATTATACCATGTCACAACACCTCACACCATGTCATACCACCTCACACCAGGGACATTACACCATGTCACAACACCTCACACCATGTCACACCACATCTCACCAGGGATGTCACACTCGGTCACACCACATCACACTATGTCCAACCATGTAGTCCAACACCACATCACACAAAGGACATCACGCCACATCACACCACATCACACCAGGGATGTCACCCTGTCATAGGACATCACACCACATCACATGATGTCATGCTACATCACAGCATGGGCTGCTGGGGGCGTGCAGGGGCAGCCTTGCTGGAGAGTTGAGGGAGGGTCCTGGGGCTGGGCATGGTGTTCCCGCAGGAGGGCTGACCCTCTGGAGGATGCTCGGTCCCAGGTAGAAAGTGGGAGGTGGGCCCCGGGTGGCTCAGGGAGGGGCCCAATTTCCCCAGGGGAACCTGGTCCAGGCGCCAGGCCCTGCAGGGGCAGGAGCTGCAGGAAGCATCTGCTTCTTCCCAACTCAGCCTGCTCAGTGCACGGAATGACCCGGAGCCCGGCACCGTCCTGGGTCTCCTTTCCTTATCCTGGCCAGGCCGTCCATCCTCAGACAGTGGACTGGAGCCCACCCCACCAGGGCACCCGGAGGCCCGTAGGGCCCCTTGAAGGGCAGAGGGTGGAGAGCTGTCCAGCAGGGTCCCTGAGGGCTGGCACCTTCTCTGGACAAAGCTCTCCTGCATCTCTGGGACGCCATCCTTGGGCTTGGGATAGAGCCGGTGATGCAGCAGCTGCCCGCCCTGCACCCCAGGTGCTGTCTCCCTCACCCCCCGCGGGGCTGCAGCAGCGTGTCCTGAGAGTTAAAGGGCTGGGCTTCAGCACCCAGTTCAGGCCAGGCCCCCTGGAGCCCACCCTCCAGCAGCGAGCCTTCCCACGGCATGGCAGGGTCCGGGCTCTGGGGATTTCATCCCCAACTCTGTGTTTGGTGAAGCTCCAGCTGCTCGATGCCACACAAACGAATCCAACCACTCCTCCTTCCTGGGTGAGATGGTCTCTCTCCTGCCACAGGCAACTCCGACGGCATTTCGCAGCCACCGCAGCCACCGCAGCCACTGCAGTAACAAGACCCTGTCCTTGACTGAGTTCCAGCCAGGCTCCTCGGAGCCTCTCCACTCGGCCTCAACCTTGGCTTGTAAAGACTTGAGCAGACACTAACAGTTTCTAACAGCTTCTGGCCGTACCCCTAGGCCGACCCCTGCCCCGTCAACACCTGCCTGAGAAAGCTCCGTGCACCAGAACTCACCGTTTGGACCAACCCCGACCTCCCTTTCTCAGGGTATCTGCTGAGAGGGCCGCAACCACACGACCTTCTATCCGTTCCTGATGTCTGTGCATTTCCTGTGACCCAGGAGGGTCTTTCTCGGGACCTGAGAGCCACTCCCTGAAGTGTCCCCTTTGTGAAGGATGGGGCCTGTGTCTCCAGGCTCTGGGAGGACAGAATCCTGACCTCAACAGTGGCCGGCACGGACACAGCGGGTCCCATCCCGGGGACGCTGACCAGCGCTGGGAAACTTTTCCCTTCCCCAACGACTGAGCCCCGAGCACCCACCCTGCTCCCCCTACCACCTCCCTTTACAAGGCTGTGGCCTCTGCACAGATGAAGGTGAGTCCAGGTCATGCCGGACTCTTTCTTCCGTTGCAATAGTTATTTCTGTTGAGAATCCGTCCTTGCTACATGACCTAGTGCCCAGGGGGATGCTGAGACAGGATGAATGTGTTTTGCATGTGAGAAGAACATGAATTTTGGGGGCCAGAGTCTGGACTGTGATGGGTTAAATCGTGGCCCCTACAAATTCATATATTCAAGTCTTAATCCCTGGCCTCACAATGTGACTATTTGGAGATGGGGTCTTTACAGAGGTCATTAAGTTCATAGGGGGTCACTAATCTAATCCGATGTGTGTTCTAAGAAGAGAAGCTTAGGACACGGGCACACAGAGGTATGGCCATGTGAGGACCAGGGAGGAGACGGTGTCTACAAGCCAAGGAGAGAGGGCTTGAGAGAAACCAGCCCTGCCTGCATCCTGATCTCAGATTCCTGGTCTCTAGGCCTGGGAGGATCCATGTCTGCCGTGGGAGCTGCCCCGCTGTGGTCCTGAGCTGACGCACACAGATCTGACACCCACCTCTCGCTTCGGACCATGGTTGGTTCTGGAAGGCCCTCCCTGTGGCTCTGCCTGGCCAGCCTGAGCCAGCTCCCAGCCTCGACCCAGCTTTCCCTGGAGGCCCTGTCCCCCGCAGAGTGACCAGGGCAGGCAGCACCGTGCCCAGCAGGAGGAGAAACTGCATCCATGTAGAAAAGAGGAGAAGCCCCGGGGGTCCATGTAGTGACAGGGGCCAGGGAGGGTCGCTCGGGCAATGCGTGTGGCTGCAGGAGGCGGGGGGCGTATGCAGGGAGCCCCCGAGGTGCAGCTGGACCAGCCTCCTCCTGACCGTGTTTTCCACCGGGGGCAGGAGGCGCGTGGACACAGGAAGGCGGCTCCCATCACGAAGTACAAGACTTAAAAAGGATATTTTATTGTCATCACAAAAGAAACATCAAAGACAATTAATGAGCTTTAGAAAATTTAAAAGAAGAAGAAAAGCTACCAAAGCTGAAATGGTGGCACCTCCTTCGAGTGAGCCCAGGAGTCCTCCCTGACGGCCGAGGCAGGCGCTGGCCGCACTCCCGCTCGAGTCTCCCTTCCTGTCTGCAGATTCTGCGTGACAGTCACGGAACGGCGTGATGGGGGCAGCAGAGCGTGGGGGCCTCTGTCCAGCACTCGTGGCCAGCAGCCCTGCTTTCGCAAGAACACGGGCACCCTCTTTGTCGTCTTGCCTCTCCACCTGGTGCCCCCAGAGTGGCTGCTTGTTCCTGCTGCACGTGACCCGGGGCTGGACGCCAGCCTCTGTGATGAGTTCTGGCTGTGTCCACGCTCCTGGCTCTCCCGGTGTCCCTCCACCTCTCTCCCCGATGCTCCTGGGCCTCCTCTGTCCTCAGGCCCCACCAAGGCTGAGTCTTGCCCGCCTGGGACCTGGTCACCAGCCTTCTCTGGGAGGCCTGTCTGGGCAGATGCCCAGCCCTTCCTTGGGCTATCCTCACCCTTGCACTGTGGGGCTCCTGCAGCGGCCACATGGCCCAGGCTCTTCTCTGAGTGATCTCGGTGGACTGGAGTGGGTGGGAGGTGGCAGTGTCCTGGGCCTGGCCCCTTCTCTCCCCAGTGCGGACTCTGGGGCTGGCTGTCCCTGCGGGTCCAGTTCCACCCGAGAATCCAGCAGTGTGGGCAGGCAGCCAAGGGGTGGTGCTGGCACTGAGACTGTTCCCAGGAGCCAGAGAGCAGCGTTCTTTGCTTGAAATCAGAACAACCTCATTCCTCATGTCAGGAGTTCACGGGAGTGCCCGGAATGGAGGCTGGCTGGCTGCGGGCTGGGAGGAAGGCCGTCTGAGTGAGCCTTCGCAGCTCTCGGAAGCCTCCCCAACAGGGCCTGATGGTGCTGTGGCTTCCCTACCTTGGCGGCTGACGCTCCCACTCACCATCTGGAAACCACGCCTGTGTTCAGGAGGCTGGCGTGGACGGGGTTGGCTCCAGGGCGAGGTCCTGCCTGGGTGGGGGCCTGGGATACCGGTCACTGCCTCCTTTTGTGTGAGCACCTTGTGGTCCGGAGGGCAAGGACGTCCTGCTGAGGGGACACCTGGCCCCCAGTGCCCTGCATGCACCAAGCAGCGGAGGTCTGGGGTAGACCTGCTATGCACAGGGTCTGGAAGGGGGGCGTGTCAGGTGTGTCAGGGTCAGAGGGCAACTGCGAGGCCAGAGAGTCATGGGGTTGAGGGCGGTGAGGTCGGGGGCAGGTGTGGCCTGGGTGGTGGCTGAGCATGGCCCATGGCTGGTGTGTGGGGTCTGGGCGGCCCTGGACACCCCGCAGAGGGTGGCCCTAGGCCCCCTGTCCGATCATGTTCCTGTAGTCGGGGATGATGGTCTGCTTCAGGTCCACCACCGAGGAGAAGATCCACTTCACCTGTAGGCAAGGCACAGCACAGGGGTGAGCGAGGCCACAGCCCTGCCCCCGAGCCCCACCCACCCCTCAGGGCACTGAGGCCACCTCTCTGCCCCCAAGGCCCACCCACCCGTCAGTCCACGCAGGCCACAGCCCTGCCCCTGAGGCCCATCCGGCCCCTCATGCCACCCAGGTGCCATGGCCTCACCACTGCCTGCTCTGAGGCTTGGTGATAGAGAGCAGAGCCAGGGCACCAACAGCATGTGGACAGCACAGAAGACAGCGTCAGGGACAGGTGGGGACAGCGTGGGGGACAGTGTCAGACACAGGTGAGGACAGTGTGGGGGACAGTGTCAGGGACAGGTGGAGACAGAGTGTGGAAGAGTGTTGGGGACAGTTAAGGACAGCATGGAGGAGAGTGTTGGGGAGAGATGGGGACAGTGTCAGGGAGAGGTGGGGACTGTGTGGAGGACAGCATCAGGGACAGGTGGGGACAGCATGGGGGACAGTGGTGCATACAGGAGGGGACGGTGTGGGGGACAGTGTCAGGGATTATAGGGGACAGAGTGGGAGACAGTGTCAGGGACCGGTGGAGACCATGTGGGGGACAGGTGGGGACAGCATGGGGGACAGTGTCAGGGATAGGAGGGGACAGGAAACAGTGGGGACATTGTCAGGGACAGGGGAGATAGCATGGGGGACAGTGTTGGGGACATGGGGGACAGCATGGAGGACAGTGTTGGGGACTGGTGGGGACAGCATGGGGGACAGTGTAGGAGACAGGTTGGGACAGGATGGAGGATAGTGTTGGGGACAGGTGGGGACAGTGTGGGGGACAGTGTCAGGGACAGGAGGGGAGAGCGTGGAGAACAGTGTCCGGGACAGGTGGGGACAGCATGGGGGACAGTATCAGGGACAGGTGGGGAGAGTGTGGGGGACAGTGTTGGACTGGTAGGTACAGCCCGGGGGACAGCATCGGGGACAGGTGGGGACTGCATGGGGGACAATATCAGGGACAGGTGGGGACATGGAGGAGAGTGTTGGGGACAGGTGGGGACAGCATGGGGGACTGTGTTGAGGACAGGTGGGGACAGCTTGGGGGACAGTGGTGCATACGGGAGGGGACGGCGTGGGGGACAGTGTCAGGGATTATAGGGGACAGAGTGGGAGACAGTGTCAGGGACAGGTGGGGACAGCATGGCGGACAGTGTCAGGGATAGGAGGGAACAGGAGGAAACAGTGGGGACATTGTCGGGGACAGGGGGGATAGCGTGGGGGACAGTGTTGGGGACAGGTGGGGACAGTGTGGAGGAAAGTTTTGGGGACTGGTGGGGACAGCATGGGGGACAGTGTAGGGGACAGGTGGGGACAGGAGGGGACAGCATGGAGGATAGTGTTGGGGACAGGTGGGGACAGTGTGGGGGACAGTGTCGGGGACAGGAGGGGACAGCGTGGGGGACAGTGTCAGGGACAGGTGGGGACAGCATGGGGGACAGTGTTGTACTGGTAGGTACAGCCTGGGGGACAGCATTGGGGACAGGTGGAGACTGCATGGGGGACAATATCAGGGACAGGTGGGGACAGCATGGAGGAGAGTGTTGGGGACAGGTGGGGACAGCATGGGGGACAGTGTTGAGGACAGGTGGGGACAACGTGGGGTACAGTGTCGGAGATGGGTGGGGACAGCATGGAGGAAAGTGTCGGGTTTAGGTAAGAACAACGTGGAGGAGAGTGTCGGGGACAGGTGGGGACAGTGTGGGGGATATTGTCACGGACAGGTGGGGACAGCATGTGGGACAGGGTTTCATACAGGAGGGGACAGCATGGGGGACAGTGCCAGGTACTGTAGGGGACAGCGTGGGGGACAGGGCCAGGAACTATAGGGGACAGAGTGGGGGATGGTGTCAGGGACAGGTGGGGAAAGCATGGGGGACAGTGTCAGGGACAGGTGGAAACTGTGGGGGACAGTGTTGGGGACAAAGGGGGACAGGGTGGGGGACAGTGTTGGGGACAGATGGGGACAGCATGGGGGACAGTGTCGGGGACATGTGGGGAGAGCCTGGGGGACACTGTTGGACAGGTGGGGGCAGCATTGGGGACAATGTCAGGGACAGTTTGTGAGAGCATGGGGGACAGCGTCAGGGACAGGTGGGGACAGCCTGTGGGACAGTGTCAGAGACAGTTTGTGACAGCATGGGGGACAATGTCAAGGACAGCTGGGGACAACGTGCGGCCGACCTTGAAGAAGGTGACGGTGGCACTGTAGCACACGCTTAACAGGAAGAGTGTGATGAAGATGGTGATGGTCGTCCACAGCCCGTCCAGCTCCCCGTCCTGCGCCTCCGCACAGCTCTCCTCCAGTTGCAGCTCTGGACAGGAAGGGGGTGGTCAGTGCTGTGTCCCCCTGGGCTTGGGCCTCTGGGGGTGATTCCCTCTGTGGCAGGACCCAGGATGTAGGGCCCGGCCGGGATGGGCCAACAATGTCCTGAGGTCAGCTCCCCACAGCTGCCCGCCCTGGGCACCAGCTTTGGCCCCGGGGCTCAGCCAGACACCCGGCCCTAGATAGCGACCTGGCCCTCAGCAGGACCCGCTCCCCGTCTCCCGTGTCCCTCCCTGAGGCCCAGAGGGCAGGAGGATGGTGAAGCCCACACCTCATGTGACCCCAGCTGCAGGGAAGGGCGGCACTGGGAAGTGGGCCAGGGCCAGGGACGTGACGTGGTGTGTGATCCCCTGTGTGTGTGTGGCGGCTGCAGGGGCACCTTGTGAGAGGAGGGCTGGGTTTGTCTGAGCAGGTCAGCATGTGGAGAAGCTGCCGAGCGGCTCGTGGGCCTTGAGGTGCCGCGTGGGGCTCGTGGGGGCCTGTGTCCGAGGAGTGTTCACGTGTGCGAGGACCTTGCTCTGGTCTGGGTGCTGTGCGGTTCGCCCGGGTGAGGCTCCGTGTGTGAGGCGTGCACGTGTGTGTGTGGTGGCCGTGTGGCCGGCCAACCTCAGTGCGGGGTTTGTTGAACGGGTCTGGGCTGAGTGTGTGTGTGGGCATCTGGACCAGTCTCTCCACAGGGCCCGAGAGTGCATGTCCCCGGAGTCGGTTGTGTCCCCATGCGGGTGCGAGGCTGGGCAGGGCTGCCAGGGGTTAGTGCCGTGGGGGTAGATGGGTGAGGGAGGGCCTGTCCCTACGCACATGGACTAGGCATGCCCCCGAGTGGGCATGCGGGTCGGAGGACAGGGCGCTCACAGAACAGGACAGTCTCCTACAGAGGCAGGGGCTGTGTGTCTGTCCCCAGGGGCTCCTAGGGCTTCTCGTGGCCCAGCCCAGGGCAGCTGCTGCTGGAGGGAGGGCCACGCTGGCAAATCCCCCACCCTGCCGAGGGCAGCCCCTGGCTGAGCCCCACCCTAGGCGGCCCAGGCACACCTGCACAGCCTGGGCCAGTGTGGGGACAGTGGGACCCACTCTGCCTCCCTCATGCCACTCAGGCCTCAGACTCGGCCTGACCCGTGGAAAGAACCATCACAGTCTCGCAGGGGCCCAGGGAAGCGCTGGGTGCTTTATTTCCATGCTGGGTGCCTGGGAAGTATGTACACGGGGTACGTGCCAAGCATCCTCGCGCGACCCCGAGAGCCTGGGGAGCGGGGGCTTGCCGGCCGTGGCACTCATTTACCCGGAGACAGGGAGAGGCTCTTCTGTGTGTAGTGGTTGTGCAGAGCCTCATGCATCACGGAGCATGAGAAGACGTTCCCCTGCTGCCACCTGCTCTTGTCCACGGTGAGCTTGCTGTAGAGGAAGAAGGAGCCGTCGGAGTCCAGCACGGGAGGCGTGGTCTTGTAGTTGTTCTCCGGCTGCCCATTGCTCTCCCACTCCACGGCGATGTCGCTGGGATAGAAGCCTTTGACCAGGCAGGTCAGGCTGACCTGGTTCTTGGTCAGCTCATCCCGGGATGGGGGCAGGGTGTACACCTGTGGTTCTCGGGGCTGCCCTGTAGGGACAGAGGTTGGTACAGCGGTCACTCTCAGGGCAGAGGGTGGGCCGAGCCGGCCTCTGTCCATGTGGCCCTCGCACCCCACGGGTCCCACCTTTGGCTTTGGAGATGGTTTTCTCGATGGGGGCTGGGAGGGCTTTGTTGGAGACCTTGCACTTGTACTCCTTGCCATTCAGCCAGTCCTGGTGCAGGACGGTGAGGACGCTGACCACACGGTACGTGCTGTTGTACTGCTCCTCCCGCGGCTTTGTCTTGGCATTATGCACCTCCACGCCGTCCACGTACCAGTTGAACTTGACCTCAGGGTCTTCGTGGCTCACGTCCACCACCACGCATGTGACCTCAGGGGTCCGGGAGATCATGAGGGTGTCCTTGGGTTTTGGGGGGAAGAGGAAGACTGACGGTCCCCCCAGGAGTTCAGGTGCTGAGGAAGAGATGGAGGTGGACGTGTCAGCACCCGGCTGGGGCCTGTCCCTGGATGCAGGCTACTCTAGGGCACCTGTCCCGCCTTGAGCTGGAGGGCGAGGCCTGGGCTGGCTTACCTGGGCACGGTGGGCATGTGTGAGTTTTGTCACAAGATTTGGGCTCTGCAGAGAGAAGATTGGGAGTTACTGGAATCTGGGAGGAGAGAAGGTGTCCGAGCTGAGGGAGTGGAGAGTTTGGCCTTTGGGGTGGGCTTAGGTCAGGGGCAGGGTCCTCCCGGATATGGCTCTTGGCAGGTCTGAGCCCAGCACCTGCCCCTTTGTGTGCAGGGCCTGGGTTAGGGGCACCTAGCCTGTGCCTGCCCAGAGCCTGGGGAAAAAGCCAGAAGACCCTCTCCCTGAGCATGAGTGGGGCGGGCAGAGGCCTCCGGGTGAAGAGGCAGACGGGGCCTGCCTTGCTGCCCTGGACTGGGGCTGCATAGCCGGGATGCGTCCAGGCAGGAGCGCTGAGCCTGGCTTCCAGCAGACACCCTCCCTCCCTGTGCTGGCCTCTCACCAACTTTCTTGTCCACCTTGGTGTTGCTGGGCTTGTGATTCACGTTGCAGATGTAGGTCTGGGTGCCCAAGCTGCTGGAGGGCACGGTCACCACGCTGCTGAGGGAGTAGAGTCCTGAGGACTGTAGGACAGCCGGGAAGGTGTGCACGCCGCTGGTCAGGGCGCCTGAGTTCCACGACACCGTCACCGGTTCGGGGAAGTAGTCCTTGACCAGGCAGCCCAGGGCTGCTGTGCCCCCAGAGGTGCTCTTGGAGGAGGGTGCCAGGGGGAAGACCGATGGGCCCTTGGTGGAGGCTGCAAGAGAGGTGGTGCCATGTGACCGCGGTGTGGGACAGAGCTGGGCCCAGGGCGCAGAGGCCCCTGGGTTCTTAACTGTCCGCGAGGTTCAGCGTCCAGTGTCTGGGCTCACGGGCATTGGGTGTGCGCCTGGCTGGCGCCACCTGCGTCACCTTAGCCCACCCCCTGCCCCAAAGCCAAGGTCAGGCCCGGCCTGCCCCAGAAAGCTTGCAGGACCGGTGGCCCTGTGGTGCCCTTCTGCAGGCACCCCTGCAGCCTAGGAGGCGGGGCTCGGCAGCCAGGTCAGCGCTCTGTGTCTGCCGGGAGTCAGCACAGTCCAGGGCCTCTAGCTTGGCCTCAGCTCTGGCCATCGGTGCCACCTCAGGGACGGCTCATGCCCATTGGCCCCACTCCAGCCTTTTATGGGTGCCTGGCTTGACCAGTGGACACTGTTCTCAGATGGCTTCTCGTGGGTCCCCCGAGCCCCCTGAAGCCCCTGACCCTGCCGCCCCAGCGTGGCCCTCCCCTAGTGAGTTGGCCTGACTTGCCCAGGGCCCTGGTCATAGCCTGCCCTCTGCCCTCCAAGGCCCTTTTCTTCTGTGCAGCAGAGGGGCCAGACACTGCATAGGGTCGGCGCCCTTCAGCCCCAGGGCCCCGGAACCCCCTGCCTTGGAATAGCCTCCTGGAGCCTCCTCCTCAGCCTCTCCCCTCCTTTCCCCTTAGCCCCAGTGTGCAGCAGCCCAGGTCAGGGCCCTGAGTGCCTGGATGCCCCCTGCCTCCCAGTGTCCTGCATTACTTCTGGAGGCTCAGTCACCACACCGTCACCCTCCCAGCCCTGGCCTGGCCTTCTCGGCCACCAGCCCACCTCCTCCCTCTCTCCAGAGCTTCCCCCGGCAAGGTCCCTGCTGGGCTCAACCCAGGCCCCCCAGCACAGGTAGGAGCCTTGCACCTGCCCTTGGCCCTCCCCACCCTGCATGGTGCCAGGACCCCCAGGCCACAGGGAGGCCCCATTTCTCTCTGCCGCTGGCCCAGTGGCCCTGGAGTCCCACTGCAGGTGGGGTGTGCCCCTGACCTCTGAGGAGGCTAAGCGCCCTGCCCTCAGCCAGGCCATCCCCTCTGCTCAGCCCCAGGGCCCCGCTCACCACCCCTTCCCCTCACCTGCACCACAGGCTCTGGCTGACTCTGCCCAGGCCCTGAATGGGCCCCTCTGGCTGCCCTCTGCTGCTACACTGCCCTGCACCACCTCCACTCAGCTTCATTGTGCTGGTGGCCCTGGCTCCTGGCAGCCCATCTTGCTCCTTCTGGGGCGCCAGCCTCAGAGGCCTTCCTGCCCAGGGTCCGCTGGGACCAGCCGTGGGACCCTCCTGGTCTCAAGCACACGTTCCCCCTGCAGCCACACCTGCCCCTGCCTGAGAGCTCAGCCCTGAGCCCTGGAACGCCTTCCCTTCTCCATCCCAGCTCGCCCTTGCCAACTGCTCAGTGGGATGGACTCACACTCCCTTCCCGGCACCAGGAGGCTGCACTGCACTTTCACCAGCCCTCAGCTGTCTGTTGCCAGCAACTACCCAGCTCCTGCCAAAGTCTAGGAGCTGAGTGATGCCTCCCACCAGCCCTGCTCACCTGTGGCTGCCTTGCCCTGAGCTCTAGTGCCTGTCCCCTGCTCGTCCTGCCTCCCACCGGCCCTGCTGACCTGCGGCTGCTCTGCCCTGGTCCCCTGAGCTCCAGTGCCTGCCCCCTGCTCCTCCTGCCCCCCACCTGCCCCTGCTCACCTGCGGCTGCTCTGCCCTGGTCCCCTGAGCTCCAGTGCCTGCCCCCTGCTCCTCCTGCCCCCCACCTGCCCCTGCTCACCTGCGGCTGCTCTGCCCTGGTCCCCTGAGCTCCAGTGCCTGCCCCCTGCTCCTCCTGCCCCCCACCTGCCCCTGCTCACCTGCGGCTGCTCTGCCCTGGTCCCCTGAGCTCCAGTGCCTGACCCCTGCTCCTCCTGCCCCCCACCTGCACCTGCTCACCTGCGGCTGCTCTGCCCTGGTCCCCTGAGCTCCAGGAGCTGCCCCCTGCTCCTCCTGCCCCCCACCTGCCCCTGTTCACCTGCGACTGCTCTGCCCTGGTCCCCTGAGCTCCAGGAGCTGCCCCTTGCTACTCCTGCCCCCCACCTGCCCCTGTTCACCTGCGACTGCTCTGCCCTGGTCCCCTGAGCTCCAGTGCCTGCCCCCTGCTCCTCCTGCACCCCACCTGCCCCTGCTCACCTGCGGCTGCTCTGCCCTGGTCCCCTGAGCTCCAGGAGCTGCCCCCTGCTCCTCCTGCCCCCCACCTGCACCTGCTCACCTGCGGCTGCTCTGCCCTGGTCCCCTGAGCTCCAGGAGCTGCCCCTTGCTCCTCCTGCCCCTGTTCACCTGCGACTGCTCTGCCCTGGTCCCCTGAGCTCCAGGAGCTGCTCCTTGCTCCTCCTGCCCCCCACCTGCCCCTGTTCACCTGCGACTGCTCTGCCCTGGTCCCCTGAGCTCCAGGAGCTGCCCCTTGCTCCTCCTGCTTCCCACCAGCCCCTGCTCACCTGCGGATGATCTTCCCTGGCTCTCTGAGCTCCAGGGGCTGCCCACCTGCTCCTCCTGCTTCCCACCGGCCCTGCTCACCTGCAGCTGCTCTGCCCTGGCTCCCTGAGGCTGAGCCTCAGTCCTGCTCACCTTCTGATGCTCTCCCCTTGTCCCCTGAGCTCCAGGGGCTGACCCCTGATCTTTCTGCTTCCTACCTGCCCCTGCTCACCTGTGGCTGCTCTGCCCTGATCCCCTGAGCTCCAGGAGCTGCCTCCTGCTCTTCCTGCCTCCCACCTGCCCCTGCTCACCTGCAGATCTGCCCTGGCTCTCTGAGGTCCAGGGGCTGCCCCCTGCTCGCCCACCTCCCACCAGCCATGCTGACGTTGTGATGCTCTGCCCTGGTCTCCTGAGGTCCAGGGGCTGTCCCCTGCTTATTCTGCCTCCCACCTGCCCCTTCTCACCTGAGGCTCTTCTGCCCTGGTGCTCTGAGCTCCAAAAGCTGCCCACTTGCTCCTCCTGCTTCCTACCAGCCCCTGCTCTCCTGTGGATGATCTGCCCTGGCTCTCTGAGCTCCAGGGGCTGCCCACCTGCTCCCCATGCTTCCCACCTGCCCCTGCTGACCTGCGGCTGCTCTGCCTTGGCTCCCTGAGCTCCAGGAGCTTCCCCCTGCTCATCCTGCCCCCCACTGGCCCCTGTTCACCTTCAGATGCCCTCCCTGGTCCCCTGAAGTCCAGGAGCTGCCCCCTGTTCCTCCCGCCTCCCACCAGCCCGTGCTCACCTGCGGCTGCTCTGCCCTGGTCCCCTGAGTTCCAGGGGCTGCCCCCTGCTCGCCCACCTCCCACTAGCCATGCTCACCTCCTGATGCTCTGTCCTGGTCCCCTGAGCTCCAGGGGCTGCCCCCTGCTTGCCCATCTCCCACTAGCCATGCTCACCTTCTGATGCTCTGCCCTGGTCCCCTGAGCTCCAGGGTCTTCCCCCTGCTCATCCTGCCGCCCACCAGCCCCTGCTCACCTGAGGCTGCTCTGCCCTGGTCCCCTGAGCTCCAGGAGGTGCCCCCTGCTCCTTCTGCCCCCACCTGCCCTGCTCACCTGTGGCTGCTTGGTCCTGGTCCCTGAGCTCCAATGCCTGCTCCCTGCTCACTCTGCCCTCCCTCAACCCGGGCAGCAATGTCACTCAGGTCACTGTTGCCCCCCTGCCTGTCCTGGCACCCTCTGTCCAGGTTTGGGCTGTTTTTCTGCCCTCATTTTTGATTTTGCAGCACTTGGCGTGTTCCCTATGCTGTGGAGCAGCCCCAGTGTCCAGTCAGGTCTCCCCAACAGAGCCCCTTGCCCTTGCCCATGTGCCCCTCCTGAATGAGCTCCCGGATCCTCCTGTCCCTGCACTGCTCCTGCTCTGGAAGCCTCTCTGGAACCTCAGCTCCTCAGTGGCCTCTGCTCTGCTGGGTCAGTTCCCTGAACGCACGGAGCCTCAGCCCTTCCCCTCGCCCCAGGCCTGCTGCACTCTGGGCCTTTCTGGGCCTCCCTGGACTCTTCCCTTCTCCCGCCCGTGCACTCAGCACAGCTCTCCCCTCCTCTCCACTGCTGACCACAGCCCTGCTCCCCGCCAGCAGGTGCCCCAACCCCATCAGCTGGCTCTGAGCCCAGCCCCTGTGCCTCCCCTGTCCCTGCCTCTGCCTCTGGGCTCCTTGGCTTCCACCCTCCTGTCCTGCTGCCACACTCACCCTCCCTGCTCTGCTCCCGGCTCACCTGCTGTCCTTGGTCCTGGCTGAGAGGAGGGCCCCACGGCCAGCACTGCTGACCCTGCCCTGGGCTCCGGTGATGCTGCCGGCCTGGACAAGCCCCTCCGTTCACCTGGGGCCTCTCCTCCTCCCTCGCTCTGCTGCCTCCTGAGCTCAGGTCGGTCGTGCCCATCCTGGCATCACCCCACGGCCGGCTCTGCCGCATCCAGTCATGTTCCTCGTGCTCCCAGCCCGGTCGTCCTGGAGGCCTCAGTCAGCCTCTGGTGTGTCCTGCCCTGTTGGCTTGGAAGCCCCTGCCCACGGTCCCCGTCGTCTCGCACTGGGTGGGCATCGGTGCCTGAAGGCTGCCCACCTCCCCCGTGCTGGCTCCGCTTGGGCCTCCATGTGGGGCCGGCCTCGACCCCATGTCTCCCCAGCCTCTTGGAGCCTGTTCAGCATCTCAGGTCCAGGAGCGCCCACGGCTGCCCCCAGGCTCTGTCCTCCTCCCGAGCCTGTGCCCCTGCCCTGTGCTGACCCCACTCACCGAGGTGGGGGTCTCAGCCCTTCCTGTTCTGGCGAGGTACATGTGGGCAGCCCCGCCCCTGCCGTCAGCCGCTATTTGTCTTCCTAGGAAATCACAGCTCGGCCCCCAGGTCCCCAGGTGTGTGAACTCCACGCTGCAAAGACTAAGAACAGGATTGAAACCGGCGGCACCACTTACTTCCTGAAGTTCCCTTTTCTTCTGGTGGTTTCTGGGTCAGAGGGCGAGGGGGAGTCCAGACACAGCCGAGGCTGCCTCATGGGTGTGTGGGGATGGGGGTGGTGGCTGCCCCCATACTCCCCCGTACTCACGGGAGAAGGTGGGGAGCCCAGACCTTGTGTGCTGCTCTTTTCTCTGTCTCTGAGTCCCTGGGGCTGGACTGATACTGGCAGCGATTATGACCATTCTGCCCGTGATCTCAGCCTCTCAATACCTGGGCCTCTCATCTGAAGCTTCTGGCCCCCACTAGGCCCTGGTGGCTGCTTTGGCCTGGGCGTGTCTCCAGCTGGCTCTGACTCATGGTGCAGGGAGGGGAGTGTGAGTTCATCCTGCTGAGCAGCTGGCAAAGGCGAGCTGGGATGGAGATGGGAAGGCATTCCAAGGCTCAGGGCTGAGCTCACAGGCAGGGGCAGGTCTGGCTGCAGGGAGAACGTGTGTGCTTGAGACCAGGAGGGTCCCAGGGCTGGCCAAGTGGACCCTGCACAGGAAGGCCTCTGAGGCTGGTGCTCCAGAAGGAACAAGATGGGCTGCCAGGAGCCAGGGCCACCAGCTGTGCTCCTGGGGGCCGAGGGGACTTGGGACAGGTGGATGAACACACTGAAGCTGAGTGGAGGTGGTGCAGGGCAGTGTAGCAGCAGAGGGGAGCCAGAGGGGCCCATTCAGGGCCTGGGCAGAGTTGGCCAGAGCCTGTGGTGCAGGTGAGGGGAAGGGGTTGGGGGCAGGGCCCTGGGGCTGAGCAGACGGGATAGCCTGGCTAGGGACAGGACACTTAACTTCCTCAGAGGTCAGGGGCACACCCGAGTTGCAGTGGGACTCCAGGGCCACTGGACTACAAGCAGAGAGAGAAATGGGGCCTCCCTGGGGACCGGGGGATGCTGGCACCATGCAGGGTGGGGAGGTCCAAGGGCAGGTGCTAGGCTCCTACCTGTGCTGGGGGAGCCTGGACTGAGATCAGGAGGGACCTTGCCAGGCCGAAGCTCTAGAGAGAGGGAGGAGCTGGGCAAGGACGATTGTGGAGGTGGGAGGTAGCAGGGAACGGGATGAGGATAGAGGGACTGGGCAGACAGAAAACCCAAGGAGGTGTCGCACAGGAAGTGTCCAGAATGGAATAGGAATTGTGCGGAATGGAAAAGGAAGCATCCAGCATGGAACAGGAAGCATCCAGAATGGAACTGGAAGCATCCAGAGTCAAACAAAAAACATCCAGCATGGAACAGGAAGCATCCAGGATGTAACAGAAAGCATCCAGCATGGAACAGGAAATGTCCAGCATGGAACAGGAAGCATCCAGAATGGAATAGGAAGCATCCAGAGTGGAACAAGAAACATCCAACATGGAACAGGAAGCATCCAGAATGGAAAAGGAAGCATCCAGCATGGAACAGGAAGCATGCAGAGTGGAACAGGAAACGTCCACCATGGAACAGGAAGCATCCAGAGTGGAACAGGAAGCATGCAGAGTGGAACAGGAAATGTCCAGCATGGAACAGGAAGCATCCAGCATGGAACAGGAAGCATCCAGCATGGAACAGGGAGCATCCAGAGTGGAACAGGAAATGTCCAGCATGGAACAGGAAGCATCCAGGATGGAACAGGAAGCATCCAGTGTGGAACAGGAAGCATCCAGAGTGTAACAGGAAACATCCAGCGTGGAACAGGAAGCATCCAGTGTGGAACAGGAAGCATCCAGCGTGGAAGAGGAAGCGTCCAGCATGGAACGGGAAGCGTCCAGAATGGGCACTTTGAAGGGAAATCATGTCCCTCCCACTAAATGTGCTCTCCACAAGGACCCGGCCTGCCCTTGTGACCCTGCTGGATCCCTGAGCTGGCACCAGCCCTGCCCTCAGAGAGAATGTCCAGGAGACAGGTGGAGGTGCACGTGTGGGTCCCTGGGGAAATCCATCCTCCAGCCGCAGGCTCCCAGTCGGCTCCCAGCCTCTCGTTCCAGCTTCACCCCATGGAGCTCATAATGGGCTCAACCTCCCAGGCTGGGGGAGGACGGAGTGAGGGGTCCCCGCACTGCCCATGGCACACCCAGGGGGCTGGGGAGTCTGCACTGGGCTGGGGCAGGGAGGCCTCGTGCAGCCTGTGGGGCTGGCAGCTCAGGACAACACTCGTATCCGTTAACTGTGGCCCTGGCAACACAGCACCCCAGACTGCGTGGCTTAAACAACAGACGTTTATTCCGTCCTGGTTCTGGAGGCCGGGCATCTGGGATGGAGGCCTCGGTGGGGCTGGCACCTCTGTGTCATGGGAGACTCTGTCCCAGGCTCTCTCCCTGCTGCTGGGCTTTGCCGGCCGTCTCTGCTGCTCTTGGCTTATGGAAGCAGCACCATCTTCACAGGGCGTTCTCCCCACGTGCTGTCTGTGCCCAGATTCCCCCTTTTCATGAGGACAGCAGTCATATTGGATCAGAGGCTTGCGCTACTCCAGGGTGACCTCATCTGAACTTGATTGCAGCTGCAAAGACTGTTTCCAAACAAGGTCACATTCTGTGGTCCTGGGGGTTAGGACTTCAACACATGAATTTATAGGGGACACATTTTAACCCATGACAGTTTGCCCTCCGCTCCCCCCATAATCATGTCCTTCTCACACGCAAAATCCCTGCACCCCATAGCAACATCTCCAAGATGGCTAACCCCTTCCAGCACCAACTCTTAGTCCACAATGTCAGAGAAACATCACCTGCATCAAGTGTGGCAGAAACCCAGGGTGAGATTAGGAGAGAAACCACAGCGGGGTGGCGAGCCTCCTGCCCCCTCCGGCCCAGGTGAGGCCGTGTGCACTGTGTGGGTGTGCCTGGGGCTCCACTTGCCCCTCCCATGTACCTGCTCATTTTCCCCAGGCTGTGGGCATTTGGGGCAGGGGCCTCAGTGCCTGGTCGGCTCTCTCCCGGTTCTATCCAATGCCCCAAGCTGTGCTGGGCTGGAGGGGCCGGGCAGGGTGGGCCCCCAGGAAGGAGGATGGCATCCCAGGTGGGGCTCCATCTCTGGCCTCTGCCAGCCTTGAGATCCCCGGTCGTCTGTGTCTCCCTCCTGGGGCCCAGCAGGCCTGCTCAGCTCTGAGCCCCATGTCCGTTCTCACCCTGCTCTGCTTTTCCTTGGGGTGCTGGCCCTGCCCTGGCCTCCAGAAATGGCCCCTGCCCCCACCCCTTCCTCAGGGGCTGGGCTGTTCCTCTCCTGCCAGGCGTGTGCCCACCTAGGCCCAATAGGCACAGTGCCTACGGCCCCTCCTGCCCTCTTCTGGCCTTCACGCCCAGCCATGCCGGCAGCCCGCCTCAGTGGCCTGGGCCTTCGCCAGCGCCTGGCTCTGTGTCCAGCTGCCACTCCTGTGGCCCCGTGGTGCTGCCCCTTTCCCTCAGTGACGGGGGCTGGACTGCCTGGGAATGGGCTGTGTCTCAGCTGCACACACCTGTGTGTGTCAGTGTGCGCATGGGAGTGTGTGTGTGTGCTGGGGGTATGTGCAGGAATGCTTGTGTCTGGGGGCAGGGGGAGCATCTGCCTTCCTGCCCCAGGCCTGGAATGGCCATGCCAGGGTGGGTGGGAGCAGCGCGTGCGAGGACAGTGCTGCTTTGACGTCTGCGTGTGGCTGGTGGGGGTGGGAGGACGTGGTGTGGCACGAGTCTCGGGCTCCCCATCTCCATCCAGCTGATCCCGGATGGCTGCGCTCCTGAGGGTTTAGAGCAGCCCAGGGGGTCAGGAGGCTGTTGGGACGCTGGAGGCAAGCGCTGGCAGGGATGCGGGTGGGCTGGCCAGGCAGCGTGGCCAGGGGGCTTCGAGCCGGGGCAGTGAACCATCCCCCAACTTTTTAAAGTTTTAAAAGTCATATTTACGCAAGTGTAGTTTACATTCAGTATAATCCATCCTGTGACATGTGAGTTTCAACAAATGCACACTCATGCAACCACCACCGTAATCCAGATGAACAGTTGCAAGAAGATGTAGAATCTCTCCAAATATTCCACCAGGCCCCTTTGCAATCAACGCCTCCCTGATGGCCAGGAATCCATTGATCTGCATTCTGTCAGAAGATTCAGAGTTTATCATTAAAATGATCTATTATGGAAAATATTATAAGCATACAAAACACAAAACCAAGTTTTAAAAAGTGAGGTATTTCTTAAAAGTTTAGTATACAAACAAAATGAAGGTACCTTCACATTTTACTACAGATGTGCAGATAGTTTTCTTGTTGCACAGAGATAAGGCAGAATTAAGTCAGAATAATGTTCTAAAACTGACCTCCGGAAGAACTTGTCTTAGTCATTTCTTTGCAGAGTATGTGAACCAAGATTCGGGTTTGGTCTTTGGTGTTAGCACTGTGTCAAGGATCAGATAGAAAGTACAAATGGAGGGGCCCCTTTCTGAGGCCAGGCCCCACTGTCGGGGCATGTGGGGTGACCAGGGGCCAATACCAGCTGAGGCTAAGAGGCTGCTCTCAGAAGGGTAGGTTTCCAGGTGTCTCTTGAACCCTTTGTTCAGAACCAGGACATGTGTGGCTGGGCAGCAGCCTTCAGACCCCCCACAGGCTGGTGCCCGGTGCCCACAGCCCTCTGTTGGGTTGTCAGGCCCCTGCACCCGTGGTGGGGTGTTGGGCTCCAGAGTTCCCTGGGACCAGCTGATCTCTTGTCCTTGGTTTTGGCCCAAATGCAAGCCCCTGGTCTCCTCCAAGTAACTTCCTTTCCCCAGGGCTGTCCAGGCCCCACCGCTGCCTGTTCCTTCCCAGGGCCTCCCGCAAGTCCCGATGCTGACGCCTCTCTGCCCACCTAGTTTGTGGCCGCCGCCTCCAGCTCTGTGTCTGCCTCCCAGCGAGGGAGCCGTGGTTGATTATCTCGTGAGTGTCTGCCCTTCTGAAGGGTACAGTGTGAAGTCTCATCAGTCTCACTTCAATGCCTAAGCACCTCTTCAGAAACCAGGGAGTCATCCGGGTTTCTCCATCTTTAACCATGTTTTCTAAAGGTTTTCTTGGCAATTTCCTGGCCATTTGCAAGACAGGATTTTTTGGTTGCCAACTTCCAATTAGCTTTAAACTTGCCACGATCTCCCAGGTCATCCCGTCCATCGATGATGCTTATTACATTCTTCCTGATTTCCATGTGGCCAAATTCAATAGTTATTTACCCCAGGCTTGTATTTTGGAGGCTAAAGAACTCTGTTACCAGCTATATCCGTGCTGTGGCTGCCGTAACAAAATATCACAAATGTGGCTTAAAACAACAAAAATTTTTTCAGAGTTCTGGGAGTCAGAAATCTGAGATCAAGGTGTTGGTGGCTGTCTCTGAGTGCTCCAGGGGAGGACCGTCCACCTCTTCCAGCTTCCTGTGGTGCAATAGTTTGGATGTGCGTCTCTCCAAATTTCATGTTGAGATGTGATTCCCAGTGTTGGAGGTGGGCCTGGTGGGAGGTGATTAGATCATGGGGCTGGACCCCTCATGAATGGCCTAGCACCATCTCCCAGGTGATGAGCGAGTTCTCCCTCAGTTAGTCCCTGTGACAGCTGGTTGTTTAAAAGTCTGGGACGTGCCACTTTCTTCTCTTGCTCCCTCTTGCCATGTGACATGCCTGCTCCCCCTTCGCCTTCTGCTGTGATTGCAATCTCCCTGAGGCCTCGCCAGAAGCAGATGCCAGGGCCGTGTTTCCAGAACGGCCTGCAGAAATATGAACTAATTAAACCTCCCTTCCTTCCTTCTCTTCTGCCTTCCCTGCCCTTCCCTTCTGCCCTGCCCTTCTGCCCTTCTGCTCTTCCCCACCCTTCCCTTCTTCTTGTCTTTTCAAGACAAGTTCTCACTATGTTGCCCAGGTTGGTCTCAAACTTCTGAGCTCAAGTGATCCTCCTGCCTCTGCCTCCCAAAATGCTAGGATGACAGGTATGAGCCACAGTGCCTGGCCTAAACCTCTTTTCTTTATAAATTACTAGCCTCATGTATTTTTTTTTCTAGTAACACAAACTAACACAGAAATTTGGTATTGAGGAGTGGAACATTGCTATAAAGATACCTGAAAATTTGGAAGCAGCTTTGGAATCAGGTAACAGGCAGAGAAGTTAGAAGAATTTGGAGGACTCAGAAGAAGACAGGAAGATGAGGGAAAGTTTGGAATTTCTTAGAGACTGATTAAATGGTTGTCACCAAAATGCTGATAGACATATGGACTGTGAAAGCCAGGCTGATGAAATCTCAGATGGAAATGAGGAACTTATTGGGAACTGGAGTAAAGGTCACGCTTGTTAAATCCTAAGAAACAACTTGGCTGCATTGTATTCATGCCCTAGGGATCTGTGGAAGTTTGACCTTAAGAGTGATGACTTAGGACATCTGGTGGAAGATACTTCTAAGCAGACATTTCTAAGGTGTGACCTGGTTGCTTCTAACAGTCTATGGTAAGATATGGGAGCAAAGGAATGACTTAAAGTTGGAACTGATATTTAAAAGGTGCAAATGAAAAAATAAAATGCTAATGCAAGGGGATTCCAAAGAAACCTGGAAAACCAGTTCAGGCCATGACAGGAAGGGGAGGGTGGTTTGGACTCCCTCACTATACCCTCTCCCTGTTGGAGTTTAGGCTCAGCTGACCGGTGTTAACATTAAAACAGGGAGCTTAAGACTGACAAAGCAGACTCTTTGTAGCAATAAGATATCAAATTCCAACCTGACTCTGGTATAGCATCACATGACAGTTGGCAGGCATGGAAGGAAATTAAAGTATTTTATGCCAGAATATATTTCTCTGACACATTTTGGAATGGCCCTGCAAAGCCGTCTCTTGTGGAGGAAATGTATATTCTGTCGAGAATCTTTTTCCCTTTCCAGGTCTCTTCCTGATTCAGGAGAGATTTATCCAAGAGTCTGGCACCTTTTAGGTTCTGATAAGAGACATTGACCATCTCTTCTCTCTGGAACGTGGAGGCTTCATCTACATAACAAGAACCTTGGCTTCCACAACCTGCTTTATCTTAAGCATTGCTTTTTGCTGACTTCAACTTTTTAGATAATTTAAATTTTTCAGCCAATTGCCAATCAGAAAATCTTCAAATCCACCTATGATTTGGAATTCCCCACTTTGAATTGTCCTGCCATTCCAAACCAAACGAATGTATACTTTACATGTATTGATTGATGTCTCATGTCTCCCTAAAACATAAAACCAGGCCGCAACCCAAGCACCTTGCACACATGTTCTCAGGACCTTTTGAGGCTGTGCCACAGTTCATGGCTCTCACATGTGGCTCAGAATCAATCTCGTCAAGTGTTTTATAGAGTTTGGCTTTTTTCATCAACAAAGGGAAGCAGAGCATAAAAAATTTGGAAAATTCATGGCCTGGCCATATGGTAGAAAAGAAAAGGTATTTTCAGGAGACAAATATAAGTAGGCTATGGAGCAGCCAGTTGCTAGAGAGATTAGCATAACTAAAAGGGAGCTAAGTGCTCATATCCAGAACAAAGGGAAGAAGGCCTTGAAGGCATTTTGGAAATCTCTGAGGTGGTCTTTCCCATCACAGGCCCAGAGGCCAAGAGGGAAAGGATGGTTTTGTGGGCCATGGCCATGGCCACTGCTGCCTGTGCAGCCTTGGGACACTGCTCTCCACATCCTGGTTCCTCTGGCTCCAGCCTTGGCTCAAAGGGCCCCAAGTATAGCTTAGGCTGCTTCTTTGGAGAGTGCAAGCCACTATAAGCCTTGGTGACTTCCATCTGGTGTTAAGCCTGTAGGCCCCCAGAATACACGAGTGAAGGAAGCTTGGCATCTTCCCTCTAGATTTCAGAAATGTATGAGAAAGCCTAGGTGCCCAGACAGAAGCCTCCTGCCAGCATGGAGCCCTCACAGAGAACCTCTACTAGAGCAGTGCCAAAGAGAATGTGGGGTTGAACCCCCATATAATGTCCCCACCAGGGCACTGCCTAGTGGAGCTGTGGGAAGGGGGCCACTGTCCTCCAGACCCCAGAATGGTGGATCCACTGGCAGTTTGCACCCTGAATCTGGAAAAGCCACAGGCACTCAACTCTATCATGTGAGAGAAGCCACAGGGGCAACATCCTCCAAAGCCACAAGGGTAGAGTTTTCCAAGGCCTTGGGAGCCCACCCCCTGCACCAATGTGCCCTGGATATGGGACATGAAGTCAAAGGAGATTACCTTGGAGCTTTAAGATTTAATGACTGCCCTGCTGGATTTCTGACATATATGGGGCATGTAGATCCTTTCTTTTTGCCAACTTCTCCCTTGTGGAATGGGAATGTTTACGCAATGTCTGCACTCTCATTGTATTTTGGGAGTCAATAATTTGTGTTTGATTTCATAGGCTGATAGGTGGAAGGGACTCATCTTCAGATGAGACTTGGGACTTGGGAAATTTGGGTTGATGCTGGAATGAGGTAAGACTTTGGGGGACTGTTGAGAAGGCATGATTGTATTTTGCAACATGAGATTTGGGGGACCAGGGGTGGAAGGATATGGTTTATATATTTGTCCCCTCCAAATCTCATGTTGTAATATGATTCCCAGTGTTGGAAGTGGGGCCTGGTAGGAGGTGATTAGATCAAGGGGGAAGATCCCTCATGAATGATTTAGAATCATCCCCTTGGTGATGAGTGAATTCTGCCCCAGTCAGCTCACACACAGTCTAGTTGTTTAAGTCTGGGGCCCCCCCTCAGCCTCTTGCTCCCATTCTTGCCATGTGGCATACCTGCTCTCCCTTCACCTTCTGCTATGACTGTAAGTTTCCTGAGGTCCTCGCCAGAAGCAGATGCTGGTGCCATACTTCCTATACAGCCTGCAGAACTGTGAGCCAATTGAACCTCTTTCCTTCATAAGTTACTCAGCCTCAGGTATTTCTTTACAGTAATGCAAATGGACAAACACAGGTGGCTCCTGACACACCGCTCATCTTCTCCTTTGTCATCATATGGCTTACCTCCATGTATGTCTTTGTCCTCTCCTCTTATGAGGACACCAGTGTTTGGACTTGGGATCCATCCAAAATTTAGTATGATATCATCTCAAGTCCTTAACCTAATTTGTAAAGACCCCATTTCCAAATAAGGTCACATTCTGAGGTTCCAGGTGGGCATACATTTGGCCAGGGAGATGCCATCAGCCCACCACACCAGCCTACGCAGGTACATTTGCATATAGCTTAGGGTTGACCTTTCCCATGGAAGTATTACATCCCCCTCTGGACTCCAGTTTCACATGTTTTAGAATGCTTCACCTTGTCCAGCAGGATGAGTCTCTTTTCATTTTTTAGTATTTTTCTCTCTCTTCTTTGGATTGGATTAAAAAGAATTGACATATTCTATTGATGCATCTTTAAGTTTTCAGTTCCTTCTTATGTCTTGTCCAATCTGTTATTAAACTTGGGTAATGTTTTTCTCTTTCTTTTCTTCTTTAATAAAATAGAGATGGGGTTTCACCATGTTGCCCAGGGTGGTCTCAAACTCCTGAGATCAAGTGATCCTTCCATGTTTGGCCTCCCAGAGTGCTAGGATTACAGGTATGAGCCACTGGGCCTGGTCAAATGATGTTTTTCATTTCCGAATCATACTCTTAGTTCTAGAATTTTCATTTGCTTCTTGTAACTATTTTCAGTTTTTTATAGAGATACCTCATCTAGTCACTCATGATAACCATATTTTCCTTTAAGTCTTTGAACATATTTAACATAACTTCTTTAAAGTCCTTGTCTGATAACTGTATCTGCATCTAGGTCATCTTGGAGTTGATCTCCATTGATCCCTTTTTCTTTTAACTATGGATCACATTTTCATATTTCTTTGCATACCTGGTAATTTTGGATGTGCACCTGATGTTGTTAACATGTGTACAGGCTATGGGGTTTGCATTCTTCCTTAGCAGAACATTAATTGTTTTTTTCAATGTTAGCAAGCAGTTAGCTTGAGTTGACTCAAACTCCCCAGTCTGTCTGCCTGGCAGTTGGCAGTAGCTGGAATCTCAGTTCTCTTGACCTTACACGTGTTGCTTTCTGCTGGGCCCTTTGGAGTTTTCCCTACCCATGCACACCTAAGGGATCAGCCAGAGGTTTCAGTGGAGTTTACTTGCAGATTGTGGGGTTTCCCTTCGGTGACCTTCTCCTTTATGGACATCTTCTCTTCATTTCCAGCTGCTCTGAAAATGTAGCCCGGCATCCCACTCCTCACCAGGAGGGCTGCAGTTTCCTGCTTGAACTCTAGCTGTACCCATTACATGCCCTGGAGTGTGACTTCAGACGAATATTTAACGGAATAATCCTTACTAGTGTTTGCCTACTTCTGGTCATGTTCCAGTGCCTGCAATTGGTGTGTGTGGGTGTTGTGTGTGCTTACAGCGTTTCTAGTGTTTATAATTGCCATCTGCCAAAGGGCTAGTCTGATATTAGCTGCTCCAGAATTATTGGAATCAGAACTACTTTCTCTCATGTGGTTTTTCATTTTCATTTCCCTGTTGACTAGTGTGGTTCAACATCTTTTCATATGTTTAGTGGCTATTTGGATATCTTCTGTAAAACATCTGTTCAATTCTCTTGCCTATTCCTTGTTGGATTATTTGATTTTTTTTCTCATTGGTTTACAGTGGTCTTCTTTATATTATGGATCTGTTTGTGTCAGTCAGTTATATATGTTTATAGGAAGCATTAAGAAGAACTGAAATGGACCAAAAGATTAGTAGGTGCCTTCCATGGAAAGCAAGGCATCGTCTTGTACACTCTTCCAAGTTATTTCATTCTATGGAGCTCTGCATCTTTTATTTCCTTTGAACTATTTTACACCTCTATAAGCCAGGGGTCCCCAACCCCTGGGTCATGCACTGGAATCTGCTCATGGCCTGTTAGGAACTGGGCCACAGAGCAGGAGGTGAGGGGTGTGTGAGCATTCCTGCCTGAGCTCCACCTCCCGTCAGATCAGTGGCAGCATTAGATTCTCATAGGAGCGAACCCTATTGCGAGCTGCACATTCCCAGATCTAAGTTGCACACTCCTCGTGAAATCCTAATGCCTAATGATCTGAGGTAGAACAGCTTTGTCCCCAAGCCATCCCCCGATCCTGGTCTGTGGAAAAATTGTCTTCCATGGAACTGGTTCCTGGTGCCAAAAATGTTGGGGACTACTGCTCTAAGTTGTACATAATTGATAGCAATGCAAAAGCTCTTTGAGTTGGTAGAAATTCAAGTTCTCACCTTTGGAAGGACAATGAATTGCTCCTCATCTTCCAGGGAAAAGGCCAGTTTTGCATCTATCTATGAACTCCTTTTAGCATTCCTGAATCAATTATGTAAGTGTAGTACTTAGAATTCCACTTTGAACTGGTTACGACACCTTAATTAATGAGATAAAGAGCATCTCTGAAATGTGTCGTCATATGTTTATGTGAGTCCTGATCATAACAGTTTTAGAAAATGATCTTTTAACTCGTTGTGATTTCTTCTCCCTCATGGCCCCACCCAGCCGCAGTATCCAGGGAGCTTAGTTTTCTGTGGCCCAGGAGGGCAGGAGAACCGGTGTTGATGAGGAGATCTGAGGTTGGCCCCAACTTTTCCCCACAGCTCTGCTTCAAGGAGTGCCCTGGGAAGGCCTCCCAACCCCACACCTGTCCTGTTGGCCAAGGCGAGCTCCATGCCATGTGGCATCTCTGCCGCTGGCCACCTGGTGAGTATCTGTTGAATAGAGAAATGTGCAGCATCTCCACAGAGCCTCCAGGGCTTCTGTGCTCTCCAAACATCTCTGGGCTCCTGGCACCCTCTCAGGGTATGATGTGTTGGTGTCTGGGTTGGGCCCCTGTCCCTGAGGGTAGGACTCAGGCAAGGACAAAGCTCTGGACTCAAAGAGCTGGTGTGGGGGTGAGTGAAAGGAACAGGAGCTTTGGGGTCAGAAATGCGGGTTTCAGCCTGCATTGTCCCCATGAGCAGGGGCTTGCAGGCTCACCAAGACCTCAGTTTCTACCATGGTGAGAGAGTGTCAGAGACTGCAGCACGTATTTGAAAAGCGTCCAGGGACGGCAGGGGTCTGGGTTGGACCAGCTCTCCTGAATACTGAGGGTGCGACCTTGACCATTGTGAAAGGAAAATAAAATCTCAGGACTCCAAACTCACTATGCCAAAATGAACAGTTGAGGTGGGAAGCTGAGTCATGAAAAAAAAAAAAAGTCATGCCTTTCCTTTTGTTTCCAAAGTGATAGCAGCAGCAGATAGGCCAGGTCTACCCAGGTGGCCTCCCTCACCCTGAGAATATAAATTAACAGGCCGGTCTTCATGACATGGGACAAAATGAGACAAGAAATCGTTCCTCCTACCCCTGAGACGAATGCATATTTGACTTCTTCCTCTACTCTGTTTATTTGCTTATAAAGTGCAGATTTACTGAGCACAAGGCGAATGCGTAATTGCTCCCTCCACCCCTCCTTTTCATGCAACGTGGGGGCTCAGTGAACTCTAATCAAAGCCTCACAAGAATGTGACCCTCCCCTCTTGCTTTTTTCTCTTTCATCTTTCCCCTCCTCCAGCTTTTCCCCTTTTCAATATTGAAGCAGGTCGTAGTGTGACTCTGCCTGGGGTCAGGTGTGGGGTGGTCCACATGGACAGTGAGAAGGTGGTCCCTGCCCGTGGTGGTCCGGGTTTCCTGGGAGATGGCCAGACGTGGATTCTGAGGGGAAGAGGCCAGTGCAGTTGCTGGACTGGAGAGAGCATGTCCATTGTGCTGAGCGGGCTGGGAGGGATCCACAGAGAAGACGGTGTGGCTCAACAGCTGGCACCGGGGACGGGAATGTGGGTGAAGGGCCTGGCACATGGAGTAGCTCAAGGCGTGAGACTGTGACCCACCTGGGGAGCCCGTGCATGAGTGCACTGGGTGGGTGCTGGGGTTGCAAGTGCGTGTGTCCCTGTGTGAGGACCGTGTGAGTACCCGTGTGTGCCACATGGCCCCCGTGCGTGGCAGGCATGTGCAGCCTGAGTACCATACCAGACGGGGCGTTCTGTCTCCTCCAGGCCCGGCCCTGCCATGTGAGCAGGGAGCTTCCCCATGGGACTGATGTTCTGTCTCCTCCAGGCCTGGCTCTGTCCTACCATGTTAGCAGGGAGCTTGGCCATGGGAGTGGTCGGCACAGGCATGGCTGTGCCGGGCCTCACTGGCTGGACTCGGTGGGGACACCATACCCCTTGCTGAGTGTGGGTAGCAGAGTTTGAGGTGCCTTCTGGGAGGTGTTCGGGCAGAGGCAGGGTTGGGAGTGTGTGGGGAGATGGGTGTTCAGCTAGCCTCCTTCCCTGTGCAGGGGCTCAGCTGAAACCTGGGCTCTCACTCCCCTCACCCCTGCCTCCCCAGCATCCTCCCTCTGCCCCTCTCTTCAGCCTGCCTTGGGCCTTGCTCTGAGACCGCTGCTGAGAGGACAGGAGGAGCTTCAGCAGCACCCTGTGCTGGGTGGACGCTGAGGTCACTGCCTTGCTCTGTGTCTCCTCACAAGGCCACGTGGTGGCAGGTCCTTCTTGCAGTCTAACCAGAGTCCTGCTTGCTGCTCTGCAAGCCCACTTGGGTCACGTGGGGCAGGGGCACCTGGCAGGGTGGGCTTCGTGGACTCAAGGGCCACCAATTCCTCCAGGTCAACATGCTCAGATGGTTCTATTCTCCCCCTTCCCTTGGCTACAGGGACCTCTGTATCCTGGGGTGGCCACAAATGTCAGAACACAGGAGTCACACCAGGAATGCCACACCATGTCACACCACATCTCATTATGTCACGCCAGGGATGTCACGCCACATCATACCATGAAACTTATCATCACACTAGGGATGTCGTACCCTGCCACACCCCATCATACCACATCACACCACCTCACACCAGGGACATTATACCATGTCACACCACATCCCACCATGTCACGCCACCTCACACCACATCACATTATATCACACCACGTCACACTATGTCACAGCCTGTTACGCTTCATCACACCACATCACACCAGGGATGTCACACTGTGTCACACCACATCCCAGCATGTCCAACGCCACCTCACACCAGGGACATTACACCATGTCACACCACATCACATCACCCCTCGGATATCACACCGTCATACCACATCATACAACATCACACCATGTCCTGTCGCATCATGCCACATGACATCCACGTCACACCAGAGACATCACACCACGTCACACCATGTCATGTTACATCACAGCATGGACTGCTGGGGTATGTGCAGGGGCCGCCCACAGTGCAGCCTTGCTGGAGAGTTGAGGGAGGGTCCTGGGGCTGGGCATGGTGTTCCCTCAGGAGGGCTGACCCTCTGGAGGATGCTCGGTCCCAGGTGGAAAGGGGGCGGTGGGCCCCGGGTGGCTCAGGGAGGGGCCCAATTTCCCCAGGGGAACCTGGTCCAGGCGCCAGGCCCTGCAGGGGCAGGAGCTGCAGGAAGCATCTGCTTCTTCCCAACTCAGCCTGCTCAGTGCACGGAATGACCCGGAGCCCGGCACCGTCCTGGGTTTCCTTTCCTTATCCTGGCCAGGCCGTCCATCCTCAGACAGTGGACTGGAGCCCACCCCACCAGGGCACCCGGAAGCCCGTAGGGCCCCTTGAAGGGCAGAGGGTGGAGATCTCTCCAGCAGGGTCCCTGAGGGCTGGCACCTTCTCTGGACAAAGCTCTCCTGCATCTCTGGGACGCCATCCTTGGGCTTGGGATAGAGCCGGTGATGCAGCAGCTGCCCGCCCTGCACCCCAGGTGCTGTCTCCCTCACCCCCCGCGGGGCTGCAGCAGCGTGTCCTGAGAGTTAAAGGGCTGGGCTTCAGCACCCAGTTCAGGCCAGGCCCCCTGGAGCCCACCCTCCAGTGGCGAGCCTTCCCACGGCATGGCAGGGCCTGGAGTCTGGGGATTTAGTCCCCAACTCTGTGTTTGGTGAAGCTCCAGCTGCTCGATGCCACACAAACGAATCCAACCACTCCTCCTTCCTGGGTGAGATGGTCTCTCTCCTGCCACAGGCAACTCCGACGGCATTTTCCAGCCACCGCAGCCACCGCAGCCACTGCAGTAACAAGACCCTGTCCTTGACTGAGTTCCAGCCAGGCTCCTCGGAGCCTCTCCACTCGGCCTCAACCTTGGCTTGTAAAGACTTGAGCAGACACTAACAGTTTCTAACAGCTTCTGGCCGTACCCCTAGGCCGACCCCTGCCCCGTCAACACCTGCCTGAGAAAGCTCCGTGCACCAGAACTCACCGTTTGGACCAACCCCGACCTCCCTTTCTCAGGGTATCTGCTGAGAGGGCCGCAACCACACGTCCTTCTGTCTGTTCCCGATGTCTGTGCATTTCCTGTGACCCAGGAGGGTCTTTCTCGGGACCTGAGAGCCGCTCCCTGAAGTGTCCCCATTGGGAAGGATGGGGCCTGTGTCTCCAGGCTCTGGGAGGACAGAATCCTGACCTCAACAGTGGCCGGCACGGACACAGCGGGTCCCATCCCGGGGACGCTGACCAGCGCTGGGCAACTTTTCCCTTCCCCGACGACTGAGCCCCGAGCACCCACCCTGCTCCCCCTACCACCTCCCTTTACAAGGCTGTGGCCTCTGCACAGATGAAGGTGAGTCCAGGTCATGCCGGACTCTTTCTTCTGTTGCAATAGTTATTTCTGTTGAAAATCCGTCCTTGCTACATGACCTAGTGCCCAGGGGGATGCTGAGACAGGATGAATGTATTCTGCATGTGAGAAGAACATGAATTTTGGGGGCCAGAGTCTGGACTGTGATGGGTTAAATCGTGGCCCCTACAAATTCATATATTCAAGTCTTAATCCCTGGCCTCACAATGTGACTATTTGGAGATGGGGTCTTTACAGAGGTCATTAAGTTCATAGGGGGTCACTAATCTAATCTGATGTGTGTTCTTATAAGAAGAGAAGCTTAGGACACGGGCACACAGAGGGATGGCCACGTGAGGACCAGGGAGGAGACGGTGTCTACAAGCCAAGGAGAGAGGGCTTGAGAGAAACCAGCCCTGCCTGCATCCTGATCTCAGATTCCTGGTCTCTAGGCCTGGGAGGATCCATGTCTGCTGTGGGAGCCGCCCCGCTGTGGTCCTGAGCTGACGCACACAGATCTGACACCCACCTCTCGCTTCGGACCATGGTTGGTTCTGGAAGGCCCTCCCTGTGGCTCTGCCTGGCCAGCCTGAGCCAGCTCCCAGCCTCGACCCAGCTTTCCCTGGAGGCCCTGTCCCCCGCAGAGTGACCAGGGCAGGCAGCACCGTGCCCAGCAGGAGGAGAAACTGCATCCATGTAGAAAAGAGGAGAAGCCCCGGGGGTCCATGTAGCGACAGGGGCCAGGGAGGGTCGCTCGGGCAATGCGTGTGGCTGCAGGAGGCGGGGGGCGTATGCAGGGAGCCCCCGAGGTGCAGCTGGACCAGCCTCCTCCTGAATGTGCTTCCCACCGGGGGCAGGAGGCGCGTGGACACAGGAAGGCGGCTCCCATCACGAAGTACAAGACTTAAAAAGGATATTTTATTGTCATCACAAAAGAAACATCAAAGACAATTAATGAGCTTTAGAAAATTTAAAAGAAGAAGAAAAGCTACCAAAGCTGAAATGGTGGCACCTCCTTCGAGTGAGCCCGGGAGTCCTCCCTGACGGCCGAGGCAGGCGCTGGCCGCAGTCCCGCTCGAGCCTCCCTTCCTGTCTGCGGATTCTGCGTGACAGTCACGGAACGGCGTGATGGGGGCAGCAGAGCGTGGGGGCCTCTGTCCAGCACTCGTGGCCAGCAGCCCCGCTTTCGCAAGAACACGGGCACCCTCTTTGGCATCTTGCCTCTCCACCTGGTGCCCCCAGAGTGGCTGCTTGTTCCTGCTGCACGTGACCCGGGGCTGGACGCCAGCCTCTGTGATGAGTTCTGGCTGTGTCCACGCTCCTGGCTCTCCCGGTGTCCCTCCACCTCTCTCCCCGATGCTCCTGGGCCTCCTCTGTCCTCAGGCCCCACCAAGGCTGAGTCTTGCCCGCCTGGGACCTGGTCACCAGCCTTCTCTGGGAGGCCTGTCTGGGCAGATGCCCAGCCCTTCCTTGGGCTATCCTCACTCTTGCACTGTGGGGCTCCTGCAGTGGCCACATGGCCCAGGCTCTTCTCTGAGTGATCTCGGTGGACTGGAGTGGGTGGGAGGTGGCAGTGTCCTGGGCCTGGCCCCTTCTCTCCCCAGTGCGGACTCTGGGGCTGGCTGTCCCTGCGGGTCCAGTTCCACCCGAGAATCCAGCAGTGTAGGCAGGCAGCCAAGGGGTGGTGCTGGCACCGAGACTGTTCCCAGGAGCCAGAGAGCAGCGTTCTTTGCTTGAAATCAGAACAACCTCATTCCTCATGTCAGGAGTTCACGGGAGTGCCCGGAATGGAGGCTGGCTGGCTGCGGGCTGGGAGGAAGGCCGTCTGAGTGAGCCTTCGCAGCTCTCGGAAGCCTCCCCAACAGGGCCTGATGGTGCTGTGGCTTCCCTACCTTGGCGGCTGATGCTCCCACTCACCATCTGGAAACCACGCCTGTGTTCAGGAGGCTGGCGTGGACGGGGTTGGCTCCAGGGCCAGCTCCTGCCTGGGTGGGGGCCTCGGATGCTGGTCACTGCCTCCTTTTGTGTGAGCATCTGGCGGTCTGGAGGGCAGGGACATCCTGCTGAGGGGACACCTGGTCCCCAGCTCCCTGCATGCACCAAGCAGCGGAGGTCTGGGGTAGACCTGCTATGCACAGGGTCTGGAAGGGGGGCGTGTCAGGGCTCAGAGGGCGACTGCAAAGACAGAGAGCCATGGGGTTGAGGGCGGTGAGGTCGGGGGCAGTTGTGGCCTGGGTGGTGGCTGAGCATGGCCCACGGCTCGTGTGTGGGATCTGGGTGGCCCTGGACACCCCGCAGAGGGTGGCCCTAGGCCCCCTGCCCAATCATGTTCCTATAGTCGGGGATGATGGTCTGCTTCAGGTCCACCACCGAGGAGAAGATCCACTTCACCTGTAGGCAAGGCACAGCACAGGGGTGAGCGAGGCCACAGCCCTGCCCCCGAGGCCTGCTCACCCCTCAGGCCACCCAGGCCACAGCCCTGCCCCTGAGGCCTATCCGGCCCCTCATGCCACCCATGTGCCAGGGCCTCACCACTGCCTGCTCTGAGGCCTGGACATGGAGAGCAGAGCCAGGGCAGCAACAGCATGTGGACAGCACAGAAGATAGTGTCAGGTGGGGACAGCACGGGGGACAGTGTCAGAGACAGGTGAGGACAGCATGGGGGACAGTGTCAGGGACAGGTGAGGACAGCATGGGGGACAGTGTCAGGGACAGGTTGAGACAGTGTGGGGGGAGAGTGTTGGGGACAGGTGAGGACAGTGTGGAGGAGAGTGTTGGGGACAGGTGAGGACAGCATGGGGGACAGTGTCAGGGATAGGTGGGGACAGCGTGGAGGACAGTGTCAGGGACAGGTGGAGACAGTGTGGGGGAGAGTGTTGGGGACAGGTGAGAACAGCGTGGAGGAGAGTGTCAGGGGCAGGTGGGGACAGCATGGGTGACAGTGTCAGGGAGAGGTGGGGACATCATGGAGGACAGCATCAGGGACAGGTGGGGACAGTATGTGTACAGTGTCAGAGATGGGTGAGGACAGCATGGGGGACAGTGTCAGGGACAGGTGGAGACTGTGTGGGGGACAGTGTTGGAGACACGTGGGAACAGCATGGGAGAAAGTGTCGGGGACAGGTAGGGACAGTGTGGGGGACAGTGTTAGGAACCGGTGGGGACAGCATAGGGGACAGTGTCAGGGAGGAGTGGGGACAGTGTGGGGGACAGCATCAGGGACAGGTGGAGACAGCGTAGGGGATAGTGTTGGCTACAGGTGGGGACAGAGTGGGGGACAGTGTCAGGGAAAGGAGGAAACAGAGTGGCGGACAGTGTTGGGGACAGGAGGAAACAGCATGGGGGACATTGTTGGGGACAGGAGGGGACAGCATGGGGGACAGTGTTGGGGACAGGTGGGAAAAGCATGGTGTACAGTGTTGGGGACTGGTGGGGACAGCATGGGGGAAAGTGTTGGGGACAGGAGGGGACAGTGTGTGGGACAGTGTTAGGGAGAGGTGGGGACAGTGTGGGGGACAGTGTCAGGGGGAGGTGGGGACAGTGTGGGGGACAGCGTCAGGGACAGGTGGGGACAGTGTGGGGGACAGCATCAGGGACAGCTGGGGACACCATAGGGACATTGTCGGGACAGATGGGGATGGCATGGGGGACAGTGTCAGGGACAGGTGGGGACAGTGTGGGGGACAGCATCAGGGACAAGTGGGGACCACGTGGGGGACAGCGTCAGGGAGAGGTGGGGACAGTGTGGGGGACAGCATCAGGGACAGCTGGGGACACCCTGGGGACATTGTCGGGACAGATGGGGATGGCATGGGGGACAGTGTCAGGGACAGGTGGGGACAGCGTGGGGGAGAGTGGTGGGGACAGATTGGGACAGTGTGGGGGACAGCATCAGGGACAGGTGGGGACAGCATGGGGGACATTGTTGAGGACAAGTGGGGACAGCGTGGGGTACAGTGTCGCAGATGAGTGGGGACAGCATGAGAGACAGTGTCAGGGACAGTGTCAGGGACAGGTGGGGATAGCATGGGGGACAGTGTCAGTGACAGTTTGTGACAGCATGGGGGACAGTGTGAGGGACAGTTTGTGAGAGCGTGGGGGACAGTGTCAGGGACAGGTGGGGACAGCCTGGGGACAGTGTCAGGGACAGTGTGTGACAGCATGGAGGACAATGTCAAGGACAGCTGGGGACAACGTGCGGCCGACCTTGAAGAAGGTGACGGTGGCACTGTAGCACACGCTTAACAGGAAGAGTGTGATGAAGATGGTGATGGTCGTCCACAGCCCGTCCAGCTCCCCGTCCTGCGCCTCCGCACAGCTCTCCTCCAGTTGCAGCTCTGGACAGGAAGAGGGTGGTCAGTGCTGTGTCCTGCTGGGCTCGGGCCTCTGGGGGTGATTCCCTCTGTGGCAGGACCCAGGATGTAGGGCCCGGCCGGGATGGGCCAACAGTGTCCTGAGGTCAGCTCCCCACAGCTGCCCGCCCTGGGCACCAGCTTTGGCCCCGGGACTCAGCCACACACCCGGCCCTAGATAGCGACCTGGCCCTCAGCAGGACCCACTCCCCGTCTCCCGTGTCCCTCCCTGAGGCCCAGAGGGCAGGAGGATGGTGAAGCCCACACCTCATGTGACCCCAGCTGCAGGGAAGGGCTGTATTGGGAAGTGGGCCAGTGCCAGGGACGCGACGTGGCGTGTGTTCCCCTGTGTGTGGGGGCCTGTGTGTGTGTGGCGGCTGCAGGGGCACCTTGTGAGAGGAGGGCTGGGTTTGTCTGAGCTGGTCAGCATGTGGAGAAGCTGCCGAGCGGCTCGTGGGCCTTGAGGTGCCGCGTGGGGCTCGTGGGGGCCTGTGTCCGAGGAGTGTTCACGTGTGCGAGGACCTTGCTCTGGTCTGGGTGCTGTGCGGTTCGCCCGGGTGAGGCTCCGTGTGTGAGGCGTGCACGTGTGTGTGTGGTGGCCGTGTGGCCGGCCAACCTCAGTGCGGGGTTTGTTGAACGGGTCTGGGCTGAGTGTGTGTGTGGGCATCTGGACCAGTCTCTCCACAGGGCCCGAGAGTGCATGTCCCCGGAGTCGGTTGTGTCCCCATGCGGGTGCGAGGCTGGGCAGGGCTGCCAGGGGTTAGTGCCGTGGGGGTAGATGGGTGAGGGAGGGCCTGTCCCTACGCACATGGACTAGGCATGCCCCCGAGTGGGCATGCGGGTCGGAGGACAGGGCGCTCACAGGACAGGACAGTCTCCTACAGAGGCAGGGGCTGTGTGTCTGTCCCCAGGGGCTCCTAGGGCTTCCCGTGGCCCAGCCCAGGGCAGCTGCTGCTGGAGGGAGGGCCACGCTGGCAAATCCCCCACCCTGCCGAGGGCAGCCCCTGGCTGAGCCCCACCCTAGGCGGCCCAGGCACACCTGCACAGCCTGGGCCAGTGTGGGGACAGTGGGACCCGCTCTGCCTCCCTCATGCCACTCAGGCCTCAGACTCGGCCTGACCCGTGGAAAGAACCATCACAGTCTCGCAGGGGCCCAGGGCAGCGCTGGGTGCTTTATTTCCATGCTGGGTGCCCGGGAAGTATGTACACGGGGTACGTGCCAAGCATCCTCGCGCGACCCCGAGAGCCCGGGGAGCGGGGGCTTGCCGGCCGTCGCACTCATTTACCCGGAGACAGGGAGAGGCTCTTCTGCGTGAAGCGGTTGTGCAGAGCCTCATGCATCACGGAGCATGAGAAGATGTTCCCCTGCTGCCACCTGCTCTTGTCCACGGTGAGCTTGCTGTAGAGGAAGAAGGAGCCGTCGGAGTCCAGCATGGGAGGCGTGGTGTTGTAGTTGTTCTCCGGCTGCCCGCTGCTCTCCCACTCCACGGCGATGTCGCTGGGGTAGAAGCCTTTGACCAGGCAGGTCAGGCTGACCTGGTTCTTGGTCATCTCCTCCCGGGATGGGGGCAGGGTGTACACCTGTGGTTCTCGGGGCTGTCCTGTAGGGACAGAGGTTGGCACAGCGGTCACTCCCAGGGCAGAGGGTGGGTCAAGCTGGCCTCTGTCCATGTGGCCCTCATACCCCGCGGGTCCCACCTTTGGTTTTGGAGATGGTTTTCTCGATGGGGGCTGGGAGGGCTTTGTTGGAGACCTTGCACTTGTACTCCTTGCCGTTCAGCCAGTCCTGGTGCAGGACGGTGAGGACGCTGACCACACGGAACGTGCTGTTGTACTGCTCCTCCCGCGGCTTTGTCTTGGCATTATGCACCTCCACGCCGTCCACGTACCACTTGAACTGGACCTCGGGGTCTTCGTGGCTCACGTCCACCACCACGCACGTGACCTCAGGGGTCCGGGAAATCATAAGGGTATCCTTGGGTTTTGGGGGGAAGAGGAAGACTGACGGTCCTCCCAGGAGTTCAGGTGCTGAGGAAGAGATGGAGGCAGATGTGTCAGCACCCGACTGGGACCTGTCCCTGGATGCAGGCCACTCTAGGGCACCTGTCCTGCCTTGAGCTGGAGGGCGAGGCCTGGGCTGGCTTACCTGGGCACCTTGGGCACGGGGGAGGTGTGTCACAAGATTTGGGCTCTGCAGAGAGAAGATTGGGAGTTACGGGGATCTGGGATGGAGGTGGATGCGTCAGCACCCTGCTGGGGCCTGTCCCTGGACTCAGGCCACTCTAGGGCTCTTGTCCCGCCTTGAGCTGGAGGGCGAGGCCTGGGCTGGCTTACCTGGGCACCGTGGGCATGGGGGAGGTGTGTCACAAGATTTGGGCTCTGCAGAGAGAAGATTGGGAGTTACGGGGATCTGGGATGGAGGTGGACGCGTCAGCACCCTGCTGGGGCCTGTCCCTGGACTCAGGCCACTCTAGGGCTCTTGTCCTGCCTTGAGCTGGAGGGCGAGGCCTGGGCTGGCTTACCTGGGCACCGTGGGCACGGGGGAGGTGTGTCACAAGATTTGGGCTCTGCAGAGAGAAGATTGGGAGTTACGGGGATCTGGGATGGAGGTGGATGCGTCAGCACCCTGCTGGGGCCTGTCCCTGGACTCAGGCCACTCTAGGGCTCTTGTCCCGCCTTGAGCTGGAGGGCGAGGCCTGGGCTGGCTTACCTGGGCACCGTGGGCATGTGTGAGTTGTGTCACCAAGTGGGGTTTTGAGCTCTGCAGAGAGAAGATTGGGAGTTACTCAGATCTGGGAAGAGAGAAGGTATCTGAGCTGAGTGAGTAGAGAGTTTGGCCTTTGGGGTGGGCTTAGGTCAGGGGCAGGGTCCTCCTGGATATGGCTCTTGGCAGCTCTGAGCGCAGCACCTGCCCCTGTGTGTGAAGGGCCTGGGGTAGGGGCATCCAGCCTGTGCCTGCCCGGAGCCTGGTGGAAAAAGCCAGAAGACCCTCTCCCTGAGCATGAGTGGGGCGGGCAGAGGCCTCCGGGTGAGGAGTCAGACGGGGCCTGCCTTGGTGCCCTGGGCTGGGACTGCACAGCCGGGATGCGTCCAGGCAGGAGGGCTGAGCCTGGCTTCCAGCAGACACCCTCCCTCCCTGCGCTGGCCTCTCACCAACTCTCTTGTCCACCTTGGTGTTGCTGGGCTTGTGATTCACGTTGCAGGTGTAGGTCTGGGTGCCCAAGCTGCTGGAGGGCACGGTCACCACGCTGCTGAGGGAGTAGAGTCCTGAGGACTGTAGGACAGCCGGGAAGGTGTGCACGCCGCTGGTCAGGGCGCCTGAGTTCCACGACACCGTCACCGGTTCTGGGAAGTAGTCCTTGACCAGGCAGCCCAGGGCCGCTGTGCCCCCAGAGGTGCTCCTGGAGCAGGGCGCCAGGGGGAAGACCGATGGGCCCTTGGTGGAAGCTGCAAGAGAGATGGCGCCATGTGACTGCGGTGTGGGACAGAGCTGGGCCCAGGGCGCAGAGGCCCCTCGGTTCTTGTCTATCCACGAGGGTCCAGGCAGGGTCCAGTGTCTGGGCTCACGGGCATTGGGTGTGCGCCTGGCTGGCGCCACCTGCCTCACCTTAGCCCCCTCCCTGCCCCAAAGCCAAGGTCAGGCCCGGCCCGCCCCAGAAAGCTTGCAGGACCGGTGGCCCTGTGGTGCCCTTCTGCAGGCACCCCTGCAGCCTAGGAGGCGGGGCTCGGCAGCCAGGTCAGCGCTCTGTGTCTGCCGGGAGTCAGCACAGTCCAGGGCCTCTAGCTTGGCCTCAGCTCTGGCCATCGGTGCCACCTCAGGGACGGCTCATGCCCATTGGCCCCACTCCAGCCTTTTATGGGTGCCTGGCTTGACCAGTGGACACTGTTCTCAGATGGCTTCTCGTGGGTCCCCTGAGTCCCCTGAAGCTCCTGACCCTGCCGCCCCAGCGTGGCCCTCCGCTAGTGAGTGGGCCTGACTTGCCCAGGGCCCTGGTCATAGCCTGCCCTCTGCCCTCCAAGGCCCTTTTCTTCTGTGCAGCAGAGGGGCCAGACACTGCATAGGGTCGGCGCCCTTCAGCCCCAGGGCCCCGGAACCCCCTGCCTTGGAATATCGCCCCGGGAGCCTCCTCCTCAGCCTCTCCCCTCCTTTCCCCTTAGCCCCAGTGTGCAGCAGCCCAGGTCAGGGCCCTGAGTGCCTGGATGCCCCCTGCCTCCCAGTGTCCTGCATTACTTCTGGAGGCTCAGTCACCACACCGTCACCCTCCCAGCCCTGGCCTGGCCTTCTCAGCCACCAGCCCACCTCCTCCCTCTCTCCAGAGCTTCCCCCGGCAAGGTCCCTGCTGGGCTCAACCCAGGCCCCCCAGCACAGGTAGGAGCCTTGCACCTGCCCTTGGCCCTCCCCACCCTGCGTGGTGCCAGGACCCCCAGGCCACAGGGAGGCCCCATTTCTCTCTGCTGCTGGCCCAGTGGCCCTGGAGTCCCACTGCAGGTGGGGTGTGCCCCTGACCTCTGAGGAAGCTAAGCGCCCTGCCCTCAGCCAGGCCATCCCCTCTGCTCAGCCCCAGGGCCCCGCTCACCACCCCTTCCCCTCACCTGCACCACAGGCTCTGGCTGACTCTGCCCAGGCCCTGAATGGGCCCCTCTGGCTGCCCTCTGCTGCTACACTGCCCTGCACCACCTCCACTCAGCTTCATTGTGCTGATGGTCCTGGCTCCTGGCAGCCCATCTTGCTCCTTCTGGGGCACCAGCCTCAGAGGCCTTCCTGCCCAGGGTCCGCTGGGGCCAGCCCTGGGACCCTCCTGGTCTCAAGCACACGTTCCCCCTGCAGCCACACCTGCCCCTGCCTGAGAGCTCAGCCCCGAGCCCTGGAACGCCTTCCCTTCTCCATCCCAGCTCGCCCTTGCCAACTGCTCAGTGGGATGGACTCACACTCCCTTCCCGGCACCAGGAGGCTGCACTGCACTTTCACCAGCCCTCAGCTGTCTGCTGCCGGCAACTACCCAGCTCCTGCCAAAGTCTAGGAGCTGCGTGCTGCCTCCCACCGTCCCTGCTCACCTGTGGCTGCTCTGCCCTGGTGCTCTGAGCTCCAGGAGATGCCCCCTGCTCCTCCTGCCCCCCACCTGCCCCTGCTCACCTGCAGCGGCTCTGCCCTGGTCCCCTGAGCTCCAAGAGCTGCCCCCTGCTCCTCCTGTCCCCTGACCCTGCTCCTGTTTGCCTATGGCTGCTCTGCCCTTGTCCCCTGAGCTCCAGGAGCTGCCCCTGCTCATTCTGCCGCCCACCTGCCCCTGTTCACCTGTGGCTGCTCTTCCCTGGTCCTCTGAGCTCCATGAGCTGCCCCTTGCTCCTCCTGCTTTCCACCAGCCCCTGCTCACCTACCGATGATCTTCCCCGGCTCTCTGAGCTCCAGGGGCTGCCCACCTGCTACCCCTGCTTCCCACCAGCCCTGCTTACCTGCAGCTGCTCTGCCCTGGCTGGCAGAGCTGCAGAAGCTGCCCCCTGCTCTGCAACCTCCCACCGGCCCTTCTCATCTTCTGATGTTCTCCCCTGTTCCCTGAGCTCCAGGAGCTGCCCCCTACTCGTTCTACCTCCCACCAACCCGTGCTCACCTGCGACTGCTCTGCCCTGGTCCCCTGAGCTCCAGGGGCTGCCCCCTGCTCGCCCACCTCCCACCAGCCATGCTCACCTTCTGATGCTCTGCCCTGATCCCCTGAGCTCCAGGACTGCCCCCTGCTCGTCCTGCCCCTCACCTGCCCCTGCTCACCTGAGGCTGCTCTGCCCTGGTCCCCTGAGCTAAAGGGGCTGCCCCTTACTCATCCTGCCTCCCACCAGCCCCTGCTCACCTTCTGATGCCCTCCCCTGGTCCCCTGAGCTCCAGGGGCTGCCCCCTGCTCGTCCTGCCTCCCACCAGCCCCTGCTCACCTGCAGCTACACTGCCCTGGTTCCCTGAGCTCCAGGAGCTGCCACCTGCTTGTCCTGCCTTCCACCAGCCCCTGCTCACCTGCAGCTACACTGCCCTGGTTCCCTGAGCTCCGGGAGCTGCCGCCTGCTTGTCCTGCCTCCCACCAGCCCCTGCTCACCTGTGGCTACACTGCCCTGGTGCCCTGAGCTCCAGGAGCTGCCCCCTGCTTGCCCATCTTCCACTGAGCCCTGCTCACCTGCAACTGCTCTGCCCTGGCTCTATGAGCTCCAGGGGCTGCCCCCTGCTGGTCCTGCCTCCCACCTGCCCTGCGCACCTGTGGCTGCCTCCTCACCTGTGGCTGCTCTGCCCTGGTCCCCTGAGCTCCAGGGTCTTCCTCCTGCTCATCCTGCCCCTCCACCGGCTCCTGTTCACCTTCAGATGCTCTCCCGTGGTCCCCTGAGCTCCAGGAGCTGCCCCCTGTTCTTCCTGCCTCCCACCTGCCCTGTGCACCTGTGGCTGCTTGGTCCTGGTCCCCTGAACTCCAATGCCTGCCCCCTGCTCACTCTGCCCTCCCTCAACCTGGGGCAGCAACGTCACTCGGTCCACTGTTGCCCCCCTGCCTGTCCTGGCACCCTCTGTCCAGGTTTAGGCTGTTTTTCTTGCCTCATTTTTGTTTTTGCAGCACTTGGCGTGTTCCCTATGCTGTGGAGCAGCCCCAGTGTCCAGTCAGGTCTCCCCAACAGAGCCCCTTGCCCTTGCCCATGTGCCCCTCCTGGATGAGCTCCCGGATCCTCCCGTCCCTGCACTGCTCCTGCTCTGGAAGCCTCTCCAGAACCTCAGCTCCTCAGTGGCCTCTGCTCTGCTGGGTCAGTTCCCTGAACGCACGGAGCCTCAGCCCCTCCCCTCGCCCCAGGCCTGCTGCACTCTGGGCCTTTCTGGGCCTCCCTGGACTCTTCCCTCCTCCCGCCCGTGCACTCAGCACAGCTCTCCCCTCCTCTCCGCTGCTGACCACAGCCCTGCTCCCGGCCAGCAGGTGCCCCAACCCCATCAGCTGGCTCTGAGCCCAGCCCCTGTGCCTCCCCTGTCCCTGCCTCTGCCTCTGGGCTCCTTGGCTTCCACCCTCCTGTCCTGCTGCCACACTCACCCTCCCTGCTCTGCTCCCAGCTCACCTGCTGTCCTTGGTCCTGGCTGAGAGGAGGGCCCTACGGCCAGCTCTGCTGACCCTGCCCTGGGCTCCGGTGATGCTGCCGGCCTGGACAAGCCCCTCGGTTCACCTGGGGCCTCTCCTCCTCCCTCTCTCTGCTGCCTCCTGAGCTCAGGTCGGTCATGCCCATCCTGGCATCACCCCATGGCTGGCTCTGCCCCATCCCGTCATGTTCCTCACACTCCCAGCCCGGTCGTCCTGGAGGCCTCAGTCAGCCTCTGGTGTGTCCTGCCCTGTTGGCTTGGAAGCCCCTGCCCACGGTCCCTGTCGTCTCGCACTGGGTGGGCATCGGTGCCTGAAGGCTGCCCACCTCCCCTGTGCTGGCTCCGCTTAGGCTTCCATGTGGGGCTGGCCTCGCCCCAGCCTCTCCCCAGCCTCTTGCAGCCTGTTCAGCAGCTCAGGTCCAGAAGCGCCGATGGCTGCGCCCAGGCTCTGTCCTTCTCCTGAGCCTGTGCTCCTGCCCTGTGCTGACCCCACTCACCGAGGTGGGGGTCTCAGCCCTTCCTGTTGTGGCGAGGTACATGTGGGCAGCCTTGCCCACGCTGTCAGCTGCCACTTGTCTTCCTAGGAAATCACAGCTCGGCCCCCAGGTCCCCAGGGGTGTGAACTCCACGCTGCAAACACTAAGAACAGGATTGAAACCGGCGGCACCACTTACTTCCTGAAGTTCCCTTTTCTTCTGGTGGTTTCTGTGTCAGAGGGCGAGGGGGAGTCCAGACACAGCTGAGGCTGCCTCATGGGTGTGTGGGGATGGGGGTGGTGGCTGCCCCCATACTCCCCCGTACTCACGGGAGAAGGTGGGGAGCCCGGACCTTGTGTGCTGCTCTTTTCTCTGTCTCTGAGTCCCTGGGGCTGGACTGAGACTGGCAACGATTATGACCATTCTGCCCGTGGTCTCAGCCTCTCAATACCTGGGCCTCTCATCTGAAGCTTCTGGCCCCCACTGGGCCCTGGTGGCTGCTTTTGCCTGGGCATCTCTCCAGCTGACTCTCACTCATGGTGCAGGGAGGGGAGTGTGAGTTCATCCTGCTGAGCAGCTGGCAAAGGCGAGCTGGGATGGAGAAGGGAAGGCGTTCCAAGGCTCAGGTCTGAGCTCACAGGCAGGGGCAGGTCTGGCTGCAGGGAGAATGTGTGTGCTTGAGACCAGGAGGGTCCCAGGGCTGGCCGAGTGGACCCTGCACAGGAAGGCCTCTGAGGCTGGTGCTCCAGAAGGAACAAGATGGGCTGCGAGGAGCCAGGGCCACCAGCTGTGCTCCTGGGGGCCGAGGGGACGTGGGACAGGCGGATGAACACACTGAGGCTGAGTGGAGGTGGTGCAGGGCAGTGTAGCAGCAGAGGGGAGCCAGAGGGGCCCATTCAGGGCCTGGGCAGAGTTGGCCAGAGCCTGTGGTGCAGGTGAGGGGAAGGGGTAGGGGGCAGGGCCCTGGGGCTGAGCAGGGGGGATAGCCTGTCTGAGGGCAGGGTACTTAGCTTCCTCAGAGTTCAGGGGCACACCCCACCTGCAGTGGGACTCCAGGGCCACTGGACTACCAGCAGAGAGAGAAATGGGGCCTCCCTGGGGCCTGGGGATGCTGGCATCATGCAGGGTGGGGAGGTCCAAGGGCATGTGCAAGGCTCCTACCTGTGCTGGGGGAGCCTGGACTGATCTCAGCAGGGACCTTGCCAGGCAGAAGCTCTGGATAGAGGGAAGAGCTGGGCAAGGACGTACGTGGAAGTGGGAGGTAGCAGGGAACGGAATGAGGCCAGAGGGCCTCGGGAAAGCCCGAGGAGGTGTCGCACAGGAAGTGTCCAGAATGGAAGAGGAAGCGTCCAGCAAGGAACAGGAAGAATGGACACTTGTGAGGGGAAATCATGTCCCTCCCACTAAATGTGCTCTCCACAAGGACCCGGCCCGCCCTTCTGTCCCTGCTGGATCCCTGAGCTGGCACCAGCCCTGCCCTCAGAGAGAACGTCCAGGAGACAGGTGGAGGTGCACGTGTGGGTCCCTGGGGAAATCCATCCTCCAGCCGCGGGCTCCCAGTCGGCTCCCAGCCTCTCGCTCCAGCTTCACCCCATGGAGCTCATAATGGGCTCAACCTCCCAGCCTGGGGGAGGACGGAGTGATGGGCCCCACACTGCCCATGGCACACCCAGGGGGCTGGGGAGACTGCACTTGGCTGGGGCAGGGAGGCCTTGTGCAGTCTGTGGGGCTGGCAGCTCAGGACAACACTCGTATCCGTTAAGTGCGGCCCTGGCAACACTGCACCCCAGACTGCGTGGCTTAAACAACAGACGTTTATTCCGTCCTGGTTCTGGAGGCCGGTCATCTGGGATGGAGGTCTCGGTGGGGCTGGCTCCTCTGTGTCATGGAGACTCTGTTCCAGGCTCTCTCCTTGCTGCTGGGCTTTGCCGGCCGTCTCTGCTGCTCTTGGCTTGTGGAAGCAGCACCATCTTCACAGGGCGTTCTCCACACGTGCGTCTGTGCCCAGATTCCCCCTTTTCATGAGGACAGCAGTCATATTGGATCAGAGGCTTGCCCTACTCCAGGGTGACCTCATCCGAACTTGATTGCAGCTGCAAAGACTGTTTCCAAACAAGGTCACATTCTGTGGTCCTGGGGGTTAGGACTTCAACACATGAATTTATAGGGGACACATTTTAACCCATGACAGTTTGCCCTCCGCTCCCCCCATAATCATGTCCTTCTCACAGGCAAAATCCCTGCATCCCATAGCAACATCTCCACGATGGCTAACCCCTTCCAGCACCAACTCTTAGTCCACAATCTCAGCGACATATCACCTGCATCAAGTGTGGGAGAAATGCAGGGTGATTCATTCTGGGGTGAAATTCCTCTCCATCTGTGGACCTTTGTAACTTGACAAGAAGTTATCTGCTTCCAAAGTACAATGATGGGGCAGGCATAGGATGGACATTCCTATTCCAAAAGGGATACATTGGAAGGGAGAGAGGAGCCATGGGTCCTAAGCAAGCCCAAAACCTAGTAGGGAAAACTGCATTAGATTTTTTTTGAAGAAAACAATATACTTTTATTTTAGCTGTTTAAAAGTTTTATGATTGTTTTTAATTGACACATAATAATTGTATATATTTTGGGGTACATTGTGATATTTGGATACATATATACAATGGGTGATGATCAAATCAGGATAATTAGTATTGGGGGAACCTGCCCCCAATATTTCAATGTAGGTTCTTTCTGTTTTCCATAATTGTTGGCCAGCTGAGAAATAAAGAGAGACAGTATAAAGAGAGGATTTTACAGCTGGGCAGCCGGGGGTGACATCACATATCAGTAGGACTGTGATGACCGCCTGAGCCTCAAACCAGCAGGTTTTTTGTTAAGGGTTTCAAAAAGGGAGGGGGTGTAAGCACAGGGAGTGGGTACAAAGATCACATGCTTCAAAGGCAAAAAGCAGAACTACTAATAAGGGTCTAACAAAGATCACATGCTTCTGAGGGAACAGGACAAAGGGCAAAAGCAGAACCACTGATAAGGGTCCAACAAAGATCACAAGGCAAAGGGCAAAAACAGAACTACTGATAAGGGTCTATGTTCAGCAGTGCATATATTATCTTGATAAACATCTTAAACAACAGAAAACAGAGTTTGAGAGCAGAGAACCAGTGTGACCACAAATTTACCAGGGTGGAGTTTTTCACCCCCCTAATAAGCTGAGGGTACTGCAGGAGACCAGGGCGTATCTCAGTCCTTATCTCAGTCCTTATCTCAACCACATAAGACAGACATTCCCAGAGCGGCCGTTTATAGACCTCCCCCAGGGATGCATTCCTTTCCCAGGGTATTAGTATTAATATTCCTTGCTAGGAAAATAATTTAGCGATATCTTCCCTACTTGCACGTTCATTTATAGGCTTTCTGCAAGAAGAAAAATATGGCTCTTTTTGCCCAACCCCTCAGGCAGTCAGACCTTATGGTTGTCTTCCCTTATTCCCTAAAAATCGCTGTTATTCTGTCTTTTTCAAGGTGCACTGATTTCATATTGTTCAAACACATATGTTTTACAATCAATTTGTACAGTTAACACAATTATCCCAGTGGTCCTGAGGTGACGTACATCCTCAGCTTATGAAGATAACAGGATTATGAGATTAAAGTAAAGACAGGCATAAGAAATTATAAAAGTATTATTTGGGAACTGATAAATGTCCATGAAATCTTCACAATTTATGTTCCTCTGCCATGGCTCCAGCTGGTCCCTCCATTCGGGGTCCCTGACTTCCTGCAACAATTAGCATATCCATCACCTCAAACATTTATCACTTCTTTGTGCTGGGAACAATCAAAATTTGCTCTTCTAGCCGTATGAAAATATACAATAAATTGTTGTTAGTTATAGTCACCCTATGGTGTTAGAGAACACCGGGGCCTATTCCTCCTACCTGACTGTAATTTTTTATTTATTAATCGACTTCTAGCTATCCTATCCCCTCCCATTCCCAGCCTCTGGTTACCACTATTCTACTCCCTATTTCTATGAGATCAACTTATTTGGCTTCCATATATGAGTGAGAACATGTGATATTTGGCTGTCTGTGTCTAGCTTTATTTCACTTAACATGTCCTCCAAGCTCATCCATGTTACCTCAGATGACAAGATTTCATTCTTTTTCATGGCAGAATAGAATTCCTCTCTCTCTCTCTCTCTGTGTGTGTTTGTGTATAAACACTACATTTTCTTTATGCATTCATCTGTTGATGGACACGTAGGTTGATTCCAACACTGGCATTGTGAATAGTGCTGCAATGAACATGTAGTGTAGATGTCTCTTTGACATAGATTTCCTTTGGATAAATACCCGGTAGAGGATGGTGGGATCATGGGGCAGTACTCATTTCCATTTTTTGAGGAAGCTCTTTATTGTTTTTCAATGGCTGTGCTAATTCCAAAGACAAGATTTCAACCAATAATGCATTAAAGCTCCCCTTTCTCTGAATCTTTGACAGCAATTGTTTTTTGCCTTTTTTAATAATAGCCATTTTAACTGGGGTGAGATTATATCTTATTGTGGTTTCAATTTGCATTTTCCTTATGATTAGTAATGTTGAGCATTTTCTCATATGTCTGTTGGCCATTCGTATATCTTCCTTTTAGAGACGTCTATTCAGTTCCTTTTTTGGTTTTAAAAACTTTTAAATATTTTTTCATTTGCCTATTTTTAATAAAAAAATTTGTTTTCTTTTCTGTTTAGTTGTTTGAGTTTCCAATGTATTCTAAATATTAGTCCCTTGTTGGATGGAGAGTTTGCAAATATTTTCTAACATTCTGTAGATTGTCTTTTCACTCTGTTGATTGTTTCCTTTGTTGGGCTCAAGTGATCCTCCTGCCTTGGCCTCCCAAAGTGCTAGAATTAGAGGCATGAGCCACTACATCTGGCCTGATATCATTGGCTTGTTCCAGATTTTAGAGAAAAGCTTTCAACTCTTGCATGTTCAGTATGATGTTGGCTGTGGGTTTGTCACATATAGCTCTTATTGTGTTGAGGTATATTCCTTTCATACCTAACTTGCTGAGAATTTTTATGAAGGGATGTTGGATTTTATCAAATACTTTTTCTGTGTCTGTTATGATGATAATACGGTTTTTGTCCTTCATTCTGTTGATGTGATTTGCATATGTTGAACCATCCTTGCATTCCTGGGATAAATCTCACTTGATCATGATAAATAATGTTTTTAATATGCTGCTGGATTCAATTTGCTAGTATTTGGTTGAAGGTTTTCATCTATTATCTTCATCAGAGTATTTAGCCTATAGTTTGCTTTTTTTGTTGTGTCCTTGTCTGGTTTTGGAATCATAATAATAATCACATAATCATAATCATAATCATAATTACCATAATAGTGGCCTCATACAAGGAATTTAGAAGAATTCCCTCCTCTTCAATTTTCGGGAAGATTTTCAGAAGAATAGGTATTAGTTTTTTTAGTGTTTGGTAGAATTCCCCACTGAAGCCATTGGATTACTGTAGAATTGGCATTTTGATAGGAATGTCATTGGTATTTCAACAGGAATTTCTTTGGGCTTTCCTTTGATGGGAGACTTTTTGTTACAGATTCAATCTCAATGCTCATGACTGGTTTGTGCAGGCTTTCTATTTCTTCTGGGTTCAGTCTTGGTAGGTTGTATTGTCCAGAAATATACCTGTTTCTGCTAGGTTTTCTAATCTGTTGGTGTATGGTCTCTAATTATCCTTTGTGTTTCTGTGATATGAGTTGTAATGTTTCTGTTTTCATTTCTGATTTCATTCTTTTGGGTCTTTTTTGTTTAGTCTAGCTAATTATTTGTCATTTTTGTTTATCTTTTGAAAAATTCAATTTTTCATTTTGTTGATCTTTTTTTTTTTTAGTCTGAATTTCATTTATTTCTGCTCTGATCTTTATTATTTCTTTCTTTCTACTAATTTTGGGTTTGGTTTATTCTTGATTTCCTAGTTCCTTGACATGCATTTTCAAGGATGAGATTTATTTGAAATCTCTCTGCTTTTTTGATGTAGGTATTTATTGCCATAAACTTCCATCTTAATGCTGCTTTTTGCTATATCTTATAAATTCTAGTACGTTGCATTTCTATTTTCATTTTCTTTGTTGACATTCTAAAATTCCCTTCTTAATTCCTATTGGTCACTCAGGAGTACATTATTTAATTTCCCATGTCTTTGTACAGTCTTAAAAGTTCCTCTTATTGATTTCGAGTTTTATTGTGGTCATAAATGATATTTGATATAATTTTAATTCTTTCAAATTTGTTGAGACTTGTTTTGTGACTTACTGTATGGTTTATCCTGGAGAATATTCCATGTGCTGATGAAAAGAATGTGTATTTCACAGCTGTTGGATGAAATGTTGTGTAAATATCTGTTAGATGCATTTGGTCTAAAGTGCTTTTTAAATTGAATGCTTCTTTGTTGACTTTCTGTCTGGATTATCTGTCCAGTGCTGAGAGTGGTGTTGAAGTTATCAACTATTATTGTATTGGGATCTATCTCTTCCTTTCTTCTGCTTCATCATATCTGCTGTTGAAGCTCATTACTGTATTTTTTAATTTTATTCATTGAATTCTTCACCTGCAGAATTTTAGTTTGCTTCTTTTTTATTTCTATCTCTGTTGAAATTTTCATTCATACTGTAAATTACTTTCCTGAATTCATTGAATTGTTTATCTGTTTTCTTGTATCTTATTGAGTTATCTTAAGATCATTATTTTGAATTCCTTTTCCAGCAATACATTGATTTCTTTTTCCATTGAGGTCTATTAATGAGAGTTATGTTCCTTTGGTGGTGTCATATTTCCTTGCTTTCTCATGTTTATTGTGTTCCTGCATTGATGTCTGTGCATCTGGCGAAATAGTCACCTCTTCCAAACTTTCAAGAGTGGGTTTTTTAGAGAAACAATTTCACCTGCAGTTGGGTTTAGTGTTTTGGTTGGGAAAGTGTGATGACTCTGTTTCTGAATAGGTGCAGTGGCATAGCTTCCATGCGTCTTCTTCAACTGCATTCAACCTCAGCAATAACTGTGGGCACCTCAGTGGACTAGGCTGTAGAAGTTTGTGGATGTAGTGGTGGCACAGGTTAATGTACTCAGTGTCAAGGGCTTTTGTAGTCCTCCTCTTCTTGTTTCCCCACAATGAGGAGATTTAGTCAAGGGGCTCTCTCTTGGTAGCAGGTCTAATGTGGCCAACGTGCAGCTGCAATGGTGCTGGATTCCAGGTGCAGAAAATTAGAGTAGCTGTGCAACTGGAGTCCTAGTCTCCTGGTTTCAAGAATCTACTGTGGCATCTGGGTCTTGGGGTGTAGGTTCAGTTTCTGTGGCAGGTTTGGATTAGGTGGCTCACAGTGCTAGGATCTGTGACTCTGAGGTACCCTTTAACAGGTTTTGCTCAAGGGGCCAGGTTGTAGCTGTGAGTCTATTCCTGGGGGGTGCAGCATTTGTCCAACTCTGGGGAAGAAGGGGTGTTCTGGAGGTGTGGACCTGGGGAGTATGGTATGGCTGCAATTTGGGAAGCTGAGCCAATAGGGCACAATGGAAACTTTGGTCCCAGGGGATGAGGCACTGTATGGTATTGACTCTAGACCCTAGGATGGTAGGGCTCAGCAGGATCCCAGACTATGTGAGACCAGGTACAGTGTCAGCAAGTATCCCAAGATGGCAGAGCATAGCTGTAATTTGGGCCTTGGTGGGGAGTAGGCAGGGAACAGCACAGTGCTGATTCTACTTCCCAGGGAGAGGGTGCCTCAGCAGCTCAGACCCTAGGGGCCTAGGCAAGCTCCAGGGAAGCAGGGCACTACAGTTGTTTGGCCTGTAGGCTGAGATGTCTCAGCTTAGCCACTGCTCTGTTTTCCTGGGGCATAGGGTACTATATCAGCTCAGCCTTGGGATGTGCTGCTGCTCAGCTTAAGCCAGGGCACTGATTCCCTAGAAGGTGATGTGTTGCTTCAGCTCAGGCCTTCTCTGCTGTAAGGAAAGTCCTGCATTTATGTATCAGAGGGTGTGATTGTTCTGAGTGGCCCAGGCACCATTTCTGTAGGATACAGGTTGCTGCTTCAGCCTAAGCACTGCAGTGTGTGACCTTCTGGGTGGCCAAGGCATTAGTTCCTGGAATGCAGGGTGCTGCTTCAACGTAGACACTAGAAAGGCATGGCCAAAGTCCTGTTTTGCTAGGAGGCAAGAAACTGCTTTAGCTTGGACTCAAAGGGTCAGGGGGAGGAGTGGGTAGAGCTGATCCACTTGGCTCTGTGGGGAAGGGTTTAATAGATGCCCATAGCTTGACTTGGGGACGTGGGACCACTAGTCTGGGTTGTTCAGTGGCAGCTTAGCCTCAGAGATGAAGGGGAGCTGTGACTACTCACTCCTTGGGTAAGACACACTCCAGCCATAGTTCCTATTCCAGTGTGGTGAAGCACTAGCCATGTGGGAGTGGGGTACGGTGTCAGCACCTTTTTTGGAGAGCACAGCTATGTGGCCTCCAGGCAACTCCCTCCAGTGCAAACTGCAGGGGACCCCAGTGGCGAGGTCTGCAGGTGTCCGAGGTGTTAGTGGGTGCCACTGGGATCCTCTTGCTTACCTCCTCATGTCAGAAATTCCTCCTGATTCCCAGATAATCCTGGTTGGGGGATGGAGTGGTGGAGGCCGTGTGTTTCCTTCTGTTTTCTATGTGGCCAGCCCACATTTCTGTGCTTATCAGGGTTTCTGTTACTCCTCTGATGCACTCAGTGCTCTCCCTCAGTTATTTTCGTTAAAATATAGTTGTCTATTGACTTTTCTGGCTTTCTTTATGAGGATGATGAGCACTAGGGGCTTCTAGTTGGCCCTTTATTAGATTTAAGTCTCAAGATTCATCCTCCTCGGTTAATGCTCCATCTTCCAGGCCCACTGGGGTGGCCCCACACTCTGGGCCCAAGGTGGCAACAGCAGCCCCAACAGCCTCCTCACCTGTGGCTCTGATCTCAAAGTCATTCTTCCTTCATTTTATCTGGTCTCATGTATTTATTTATTTATTTATTTATTTATTTGCATGATAGGCTTTACTTTTAAATGATTAGTAGTACACCGAGTAATAACATGTAACAAGTTCTTGAATTCTATCATCTAGTTATTTTGATTAAGAAGCTGAAACAATTATACTAGTAATATTCACTGTTCTAATTATTAGCAGCAATGGACTACTTTAAGGCTGGCTGATGCTTCACACAGGTTACAGAAACTACTACTTTTTCATAGATAAAGCCCCTGACCTTCAAAAAAGCATTAAGGAAAAAATGATTTAATTCCTTCCTTTTTTCAAAGGATTGTTTTGCTTTTTCTTTTAAACTTGATACAAGAAAGAAAACATCAACAGTGATATATATATATGTATATATATTGCTTGAGCCAAAAGGCATAATAAAATAGACAATATTTACCCATTATATTCCTAAGAAACATGAGGTAAAAAGATGAAATCTTTAAGTTTTTTTTTTTTGAGACAGGGTCTCACTCTAGCACCCAGGCTGGAGTGCAGTGGCACAATCTTGGCTCACTATAACCTCTGCCTTCCGGGCCCAAGTGATCCTCCTGCCTCACTCTTCCAAGTAGGTAGGACTATAAGCATGTACCACCATATCTGGCTAATTTTTATATTTCCTTGTAGAGACACAGTCTCACTGTGTTGTTCAGGCAGGTCTCAAACTCCTGAGCTCAAGCCATCTGCCCGCCTTGGCCCCCGAAAATGCTGGGATTACAGGCGTGAACCACCATGCCCAGCCTAGATAAATTCTAAGTCTGTACAAAGAAACTGGATTTGCTTCTCTCCGAAAAGTGAATGGGCCTACTCTATAATATACAGAGATAAGTTAATGTCTTCTTATAAGAATATAACTAGAGCTTCTTATTCCATGAGGGCATCTAAAGTGCCAGTCCATTTAACAGGTGCTTCTCTCTTTTAATATCTACTTATGCGATAGTTTTCAGGGATTTCTGGCTGGATGCTGCAGACAAAGGCCAAAAGGTTATCTAAGACTTCTTCCCTGTTCTGCTGGAAGTAGGTCTGGAGGATGGTTATCCTGGGTCTGCGAGATCCTAGTGCTGCAGCTTCCTTGGCCTTGAACTCTTTCTCCTTCTGCAGGCAGTGCTGTTCAATTTCAGCCTAAGCTGCTCCTTTGGGCTGCTTCAGCCTCTGGTTCTTTTGCTTGTGGGCCCCAGACACCTTCTTGGCATCCTGCTTCTCGGCCTGCAGCAGCTGCTGGATCACCTGTGACTGACCGGCCATGGCCGTGGTGATTCTGAGACCAAGGTGAGCAGCCTAAATCAGCTTGAAGGGCCCTTGGGTCAGCTGACCCAGCCACCTCAGCACTTCCCTCTTCAGCTGATCTCTCTCTTCTCATATTTTACTGTAAGCAGCAAGGAGAAATCAAGAATGCCTTCAACAATTTTCTTAGGAACTTCGTCAGCTAAACATCCAAGTTCATCATGTATAATTTCTACTTTCCACAAAACGGAACACAGTTCAGCCAAGTGCTTTGCCACTGTATGACAAGGGTCACCTTCGTTTTCAATAACACCTTCCTTATTTCTGTCTGGAGCCTCAGCAGAGGCATCTTTAACATTCACGTTTCTAGCAACATTCTGTTCGTGACAATTTATGTATTCTCCAAGATGACAGGAGTTTTCTCTATAGCTCTCCTCTTTCTTTCTGAGCCCCCACCAGGATCACCTTTAATGTCCAAATTTCTAACATAGTCTTCAAGGAAACCTAGGCTTTTTCTAACACACACCTCAAAACTCTTCCAGCCTCTACCCCTTACTGAATTCCACATTTTGCTACTTATGACCCCTGGGCTCACTGAAAACTTACTGCCCACTTCTGATCCTTCAGTTTCTCCTTTGGCAACATGCACAAAGTGGCCTGATCTTGTTCAACCCAGTTCTAGGTCTGCTACCTTCTAATACCGGGCAGACTCAGCCAAGTCCTGGGCTGAGCTGGTGTGATTGGGCCTCCCAGCCCTGTACCCTGAGGGTGCTTGGGCTTCACTGGGAGAACCTGACCAAGTATCGTTCAGTACCATGCATGTCACTCAATATCACCCCTAGAGATTTGGGGGTTAGCAGTACCATGGAGTTCCTGATATGATTTAGATGTTTGTCCCCTCCAAATTTCACATTGAAATATGATCCCCAGTGTTGGAGGTGAGACCTGGTGGGAGGTATTGGGGTCATAAGGCCAGATCTCTCATGAATGGTTTGGTGCCATCCCCTTGGTGATGGGTGATTTCTCACTCTATTAGTTCACACAAGAGCTGGTTGTTTAAAAAAACCTGACACTTCCTTCTTATCTCTCTTTCTCCCTCTCACCATTCTCACCATGTGACATGCTGGCTCCTTTTTTTTTTTTTTTTTGAGATGGAGTTTCACTCTTGTTGCCCAGGCTGGAGTGCAATGGTGTGATCTCGGCTCACTCACTGCAACCTCTGTCTCCTGGGTTCAAGCAATTCTCCTGCCTCAGCCTCCCTAGTAGCTGGGACTACAGGTGTGCACCACCATACCCGGATAATTTTGTATTTTTAGTAGAGATGGGGTTTCACCATGTTGGTCAGGCTGGTCTCGAACTCCTGACCTCAAGTGATCCACCTGCCTTGGCCTCCCAAAGTGCTGGGATTACAGGCATGAGCCACCATGCCTGTCCTATGCTGGCTCCTTTTTTGCCTTCTGCCTTGATTGTAAACTTCCAGAGGCCTCACCAGAAGCAGATACTGGCATTATGCTTCTTGTACAGCTTGTAGTGAGCCAAATAAACTTCCTTTTCTTTACAAATTATCCAGCCTCAGGTATTCTTTTATAGCAATGCAAAATGGATGAAAACAGAAAATTGGTAGCAAGGAGTGCGGTGTTGCTATAAAGATACCTGAAAATGTGGAAGTGGCTTTGGAACTGGGTAATGGGCAGAGGTTGGAAGAGTTTGGAGGGCCCAGGAAGAAGACAGGAAGATGAGGGGAAATTTGGAACTTTTTAGAGACTGGTTACATAGTTGTGATCAAAGTGCTGATAGAAATATGGACAGTAAAGGCCAGGCCGATGAGGTCTCAGGTAGAAATGAGGAATTTATTAGGAACTGGAGTAAAGGTGATGCTTGTTATGCCCCCAGCAAGGAGCTTGGCTGTATTGTGTCCATGTTCCAGGGCTTTCTGAAAGGCTGAGATTGACAGTGATGACCTAAGGTATCTGGTGGAAGAAATTTCAAAGCAGCAGAGCATCCAAGAAGTAACCTGGCTGCTTTGAATGGCCTAAATCAAATATGGGAGCAAAAAAAATGACTTAAAATTAGAATTTATAATTAAAAGGTAAGCAGAACATAAACATTTGGAAAATTTGCAGGCTGGCCATGAGGTTGAGAAGAAAAGAGCCTTTTCAGGCAAGGAACCCAAATGCCTTATGGAGCAACCACTTGCTAGAGAGATTAGCATAACTAAAAGGCAACTAAATGCTAATAGCAAAGACAATGAGAAAAAGGTCTTAAAGGCATTTCAGAAGTCTTTGGGACAGTCTCTCCCATCACAGGCCCAGAGGCCTAGGAGGATGAAATTGTTATGGGGGTCAGGGCTGGGGCCTTGCTTCCCTGTGGTATCTTGGGAGGTTGCTGCTCCAGGTTCAGCCAAGGCTCAAAGAGTCCCAGGTGCAGCTCAGGCTGCCACTCCAGAAGGTGCAAGCTGGAAGCCTTGGTAGCTTCCACATGGTGCTAAGCCCACAGGTGGGCAGAATACAAGAGTGAAGGAGGCATGGCAGCTCCTACCTACATTTCAGAGGGTGTATAGGAAAGTCTGGGTGCCCATCCAAATCAGTAAAAAGGAAGTCAGACTGTTGCTGTTCACTGATGATATGATCACATACCTAGAAAACCCTAAAGCTCATCCAAAAAGCTTCTAGATCTGTTAAATTAATTCAGTAAAATTTCAGGATACAAAATCAATGTACATAAATTATCAGCACTGCTATACACCAACAATGACCAAGCTGAGAAACAAATCAAGAACTCAATCCCTTTTACAACACCTGCAAAAAATAAAATACTTAGGAACATACCTAACCAAGGAGGTAAAAGATCTGTACAAGAAAAACTACAAAACACTGCTGAAAGCAATCATCAATGACGCAAACAAATGGAGACACATCCCATGCTCTTGGATGGGTAGAATCAATATTGTGAAAATGACCATACTGCCAAAAACAATCTACAGATTTAATGCAATTCCCATCAAAGTGCCACCATCATTCTTCACAGAAATATAAAAAACAATTCTAAAATTCATTTGGAACCAAAAAAGACCCCACATAGCCAAAGCAAGACTAAGCAAGGTGAACAAATCTGGAGGCATTACATTACCCAAATTCATACTATACTACAAGGCTATAGTTACCAAAATAGCACGGTACTTGTATAAAAATAGGCATTAGACCAATGGAACAGAACAGAGAATCCAGAAATGAAGTCAAATACTTATATCCAACTGATCTTTGACAAAGCAAACAAAAATGTAAAGTGGGGAAAAGATGTCCTATTCAACAAATGGTGCTGGGATAATTGGCAAGCCACATGTAGAAGAATGAAGCTGGATCCTCATCTCTCACTTTATACAAAAATCAACTCAAGATGGATGAAAGGCTTAAATCTAAGACCTGAAACCATGAAAATTCTAGAAGATAACATTGGTAAAACTCTTCTAGACATTGGCTTAGGCAAAGAGTTCATGATCAAGAACCCAAAAGCAAGTGCAACAAAACCAAAAATAAATAAATAAATAAATAAATGTGACCTAATTAGACAAAAAAAACTTCTGCACAGCAAAAGAAATAATCAGAGAGTAAACAGACAGCCCACAGAATAAGAGAAAATATTTGCAAACTATGCATCTGATAAAGGACTAATATCCAGAATCTACAAGGAATTCAAACAAATCATCAATAAAAAAAATACCATCAAAAAGTGGGCGAACGACATGAATAGACAATTCTCAAAAGAAGATATACAAATGGCCAACAAACATATAAAGAAATGCTCAATATCACTAATTTTTGGGGAAATGCAAATTAAAACTGCAATGAGATACCACCTCACTTCTGTAAGAATGACCATAATTAAAAATTAAAAACTAACAGATGTTGTCATGGATATGGTGAAAAGGGAACAGTTTTACACTCCTGGTTGGGAATGTAAACTAGTACAACCACTTTGGAAAACAGTATGGAGATTCCTTAAATAACTAAAAGTAGAATCACCATTTGATCCAGCAGTCCCACTATTCGATATCCAGAAAAAAATAAGTCATTATATGAAAAAGACACTTGCACACACATATTTAGAGCAGTGCAATTGCAACTCCTTGTAATTGCAAAAATATGGAGCCAGCCTAAATGCCCATTGACCAATGAGTGGATAAAAAATGTGGTATATATACACCATGGGATACTACTCAGCCATAAAAAGGAATAAAATAGTGGCATTTGCAGCAAACTGGATGGAGTTGGAGGCCATTATTCTAAGTGAAATAACTCAGGAATGGAAAAACAAACATCATATGTTCTCACTTATAAGTGGGAGCTAAACTATAAGGATGCAAAGGCATAAGAATGATATAATGGACTCTGGATACTTGAGGGCAAGTGGGGGATGGAGGTGAGGGATAAAAGATTACATATTGGGTACAGCGTACACTGCTTGGGTGACAAGTGTGCCAAGATCTCAGAAATTACCATGAAAGAACTTATCTATGTAACCAAAAACCTAAAACTATTGAAATAAAAATAAAAAAAGAGAGAGACAAAAAAGAAAGCCTGGGAGCCCAGACAGAAACCTGCCGCAGGGGTGGAGTTCTCCCACAGAGCCTCCAGTAGGGCAGTGTGGAGGGAAAATGTAGGGTTGGAGCCCCTTCACAGAGTCCCCAGTGGGGTACTGCCTAGTGGAGCTCTGGGAATGGGGCTGCTGCCCTCCATACCCAAGAATGGTAGAGCCACCAGCAGCTTGCGCCCAGAGCCTGGAAAAGATTCAGGCACTCAACTACAACCCATGAGAGCAGCCATGTGGGCTGCACTCTGCAAAGCCATGGGGGCAGACCAGCCCAAGGCCTTGGGAACCCGCTCCTCACACCAGTGTGCCCTGGATGCAGGACATGGAGTCAAGGATTATTTTGGAGCTTTAAAGTTTAATGTCTTTCTCTCAGAATTGTGTGGGGCCTGTTGCTTCTTCCCCCTCCTTCTTTTGGCCAATTTATTCCTTTTGGAAGGAAGGGAAATGTTTACCCAATGCCTGTACCATCACTGTATCTTGGAAGTAGCAACTTGTTTTGGATCTTACAGCCTCATAGGTGGAAGGGGCATGCCTTGAGTCTCAGATGAAACTTCGGAGTTTTGATTGAGTAGATCCTAGAACAAGTTGAGATTTTTTGGGCACTATTGGGAAGGGATGATTATATTTTGCAATGTGAGAGGGACATGAGATTTGGGGGGACAGTGTGGAGTGACATGGTTTGGATATTTGTCCCCTCCAAATCTCCTGTTGAAATGTGATCCCCAATGTTGGAGGTGGGGCCTAGTGGAAATGTTTGGGTCATGCCATGGATCCCTATGAATGGCCTTGCTGCCATCCTCTTGGTGATGAGTGAGTTTTGCTCTACTGGTTCACACAAGAGCTGGTTGTTTAAAAGAGCTTGGCACCTCCTCTTTCCCTCTCTTGCTCTCTCTCTCACCATGTTACATGCTCTCTCCCCCTTCAACTTCTGCCATGGTTGTAAGCTCCTTGATGCCCTCACCAGAAGCAGATGCTGGCACCAGGGTTCTTTTATGGCCTGCAAAACCCTGAGCCAAATAAACCTCTTTTCTTTATAAGTTACTGAGCCTCAGGTATTCCTCTACAGCAATGCAAAATGAACTAACAAAGCCAGTTGTACTTTACCATCCAACCATCATGGAAGCTACAAGAGGAATTGTTTCTATCTGATTCTACACTCCTCTTCAGCATCAGAATGTTCTGGGAGCACCAAAAGAGTTCAGGTGGAGATGAGAATGGTCTCTCCTCTGGGTGCCCACCCCTGATAGCTGGGGTGAGCTGTTTTGCGGATGGGAAGACTTGGTAGTCTGCTCAGGTTGACAGCCTGACAGCCTACAGTGTCTGACAATGAGCCCTGTCATCACAACTCATCTGTTATCAGCCTGGCCCTCAGGGTCTCTCTCAAGCTGGATCCCCGAGGCTGTGGGTGCCATGACCCACCTGGCTCTGCTAACATCCTCCAGGCTGGCTCCCCACCTGCCCCACAGCCTCTGCCCTTGGAGTGGACTCTGGCCTGCCTCACTCCTTGGGTGCTGGATGGGTCAGCTCTTTGGGTGGGCTGGCTGCCTGCAGGAGATCAGAGGAAGGGGATGCTGATGCTAAGTGGTGACCCTGGCTCTCTCCTTGCAGGGTTGCCTGGACCTTATTGCCTTCCTCAACAGACAGCCCAAGGAGCCTCTGTTCCTGCAGATCTCGGAGCGGCTCTCTCTCCTCCTCCAGTGTGTGGGGAGGTGCTTGCTCTTGTAGGGGAAGAAACATTTTTCCCCCTTCTACCCATCTTAGGTTCATTAGCTGGGGTCTTGTCAATTAGATTAACAAGATACTAACATGAGAAAAACAAACAAAAGTTTACTAACATGTGCATTATGCCTCTATGTGGGAGCCGTCAGAGATGAGGAATTCAAAGGGGCGGTTGGAACGTGAGCTTACGGAGCATCTTAGCAAATGGGCAATCATTTTTACAGAATTGGCAAGACAAAGGAAAGGGGCTTTCAACCTGTAGGGCAGCAAATTCTGGGAAGTAAATATATAGGGGAAGCTAACAGAAGATAGCTTGCTAGTTTGTTGTGTAGATTCCTCTAGTGCCTTCTCTGGGCTGATAAGCATCTAGAGTTGTCTCCAAGGACTAAGAATCCTCTGCTTTTCCTGGTAGAAAGGGAGTGGGCAGGGATTTTTTTCTTGGGTATGCTTCTTTTTAATTGTCTTCGGCTCAAAATTATTCTTGTTTGAAAGTGGCATATTCTGCTACTCTTCACTCTGCCGGAGCCAGCTCTGGAGTCCTCAGTGTCCCAGGGGCTCTTGCACTGAGCCCAGATCTGTGTCAGCAAGGTGTCCTTCCATTAAATCCTGCCTAAATGACTTAGTTGGAGGTGCAAACCCACAGAGCATTGCTGGAGGCATGTGGGAGAGTGGCTGTCAGGTGTTGTCTTTGTCCATTAAGTTGCTATAAGGGAATTCCTGAAGCTGGGTAATTTATAAAGAAAAGAGGTTTATTTGGCTCATGGTTCTGCAGGCTGTACAAGAACCATGGTATGTGCAGAGATCACATGGGGAGAGAGGAAGCAAGAAAGAGGGGAGATGCCAGGCTCCTTTCACCAGCCAGCTCTAGCAGGAATAAGAGTGAGAACTCACCCTCAAAGGAGAGCATTTTGGGATCTGCACCCAAAATCCAAACACCTTCTACCAGGCTCCACCTCCAACACTGGGGGTCGAATTTCAACATGAAGTCTTGGGGGACAAACATCCAACTATAGCAAGGGTCCTGCAGGGACTCTCTCCCTCCCACTTAACTTCAAGCTTGAGTGGGTGATAGAATTTGGTGTTTGGTCCTGACAGGATTTGCACTGCCCAAGTCTGCAGCTACAGCTTTAGAATTGGAAGGCCCCCTTCACCTCCAGGGTGTCTTGTGACCAGAGCACCACCGGTGCCCACTAAGGCCTGCCCCTGCAGCCTGGTCACATGGGGTGGAGGTAGAGTCAGGATCTTGATTGGCAGGCAGCTCCACCCAGAGGAGCAACCTCCTGACTCCCACTGCCCCCCACCTCCCACAATGGCATACCAGCACCCATGGCAGAGGCCACGAAGACACCTAGGGACACTTCTGGGTCAGAAGGGGTGCCACTGACGGGGTGAGCTCCGTGTCTGTAGCAGGTAGAGGCACTGAGATTTATAACAGAATGAACTGAGTTTTTGGCAAGTGCGGGAAGACTGTCCACATAAGTCCTTGAGAACTTGGGAAGCAGAATGAGCAGATAAAAAGAGGAAGCTCAGGTGTTTATGCTCTTGGTCCGCTGAATTAAATAAGCTATGATGAAGCTGCTGCTGCTTCCAGGGCTGAAGTACATGCCACGGGCAGTGACCCCATAGCAGGGCCACTGTGCACTTCACATGCCCTGAGGACAGGCTCTCCCGTCACACTGCTACTGTTACTGGGTGGGGCAAAGGATCATCCCATCCTGCCCACCACAGCCAGCACCTATGTGAGCCACTGGAGCCTGGGGAAATTCATCACCACTATATTGGCCTTACAAGAAATGCTTAAGGGAGTTCTATACTTGGAAGCAAAAGGATGATCTCTACCATCGTGAAAACACATAAATGTATAAAACTTACAGCCGCACGGCAAATACAAAAAAAGAGGAAGAGAAAAGACACAAATGTTACCACTACAGGAACCACCAAGCCACAATGATAAACAATAAGAGAGAAAGAAAGGAACACAGGATAGACAAAACAACAAGAAAACAACCAACAAAATGGCAGAAATAAGTCCCCACGTATCAATAATAACCTTGAATGTAAACAGATAGAATTTTCCACTTAAAAGATATATACTGGCTGAAAGGAAAAAACCCAAAGACTCCACCAAAAACTCTTAGGTCTGATAAATAAATTTAGTAAAGTTGCAAGATACAAATCAATATATGAAAGTCAGTAGTATTTCTATACCCTGATAATGAACTAGCTGAAAAAGAAACCAAGAAGGCAATCCCATGTACAATAGCTACAAAAATCCATATAAATAAATTTCACCAAGGAGGTGAAAGACTTCTGCAAGGAAAACTACAAGGCACTGATGAAAGAAATTGAAGAGGACACAAACAAATGGAAAGACCTTCCATGCTCATGAATTGGGAGAATTAATATTGTTAAAATGACCATACTATCCAAAGCAATCTACAGATTCAATGTAATCGCTATTAAAATATCAATGTCATTTTTTCAAAGAAATGGAAAAACAATCCCAAAATTATTATGAAACCAAAAAAGAGCTTGTATAGCCAAAGCAACCCTTAGGAAAAAGAATAAAGCTGGAAGCATCATACTACCTGACTTCAAAATATATCATGAGGATATAGGAAACAAAACAGCATGACATTGGTATAAAAATAGACACAGACCAATGGAACAGAATTGAGAACCTAGAAACAAAACAACCACATATTTATAGCCTACTGATTTTCAATGAAAGTGCTGGGAAAGGACAGCCTCTTCAATAAATGATGCTAGGAAAACTGGATATTCATATGCAGAAGAATAAAACTAGGTCCCAATCTCTCACTGAATTAAAAAAACAACTAAAATGTATTAAAGACTTAAACATAAGACTAAAAATTATAAAACTACTAGAAGAAAACATAGGGAAAACACTACAGGACATTGTCATAAGCAAATATTTTATGGCTAACACCTCAAAATGACTGGCAACAGAAACAGAAATAGACAAATGGGACTATATTAAACTAAAAAGCTTCTGCACAGCAAGGAAACAGTCAACAGAGTGAAGAGTCAACTTTTTGATGGGATAAAATTCATCCAACAAGGGACTAATATTCAGAATATACAAGGAATTCAACTCCACAACAAGAAAAATCCCATTAAAATGGACAAAAGACATGAATATGCATATCTCAAAAGAAGACATGCAAGTGTGACCAACATGTACATGAAAAAATGCTCAACATTACTAATGATCTAGGAAATGCAAATCGAAATCACAATGAGATATTATCTTACCCCATTTAGAATAGTTATTACCAAAGACAAAAAGGAACAGATGCTGATGAGGATGTGGAGAAAGGAGAATGCTCATTCACTGCTAGTTGGAATGTAAATTAGTACAGCCATTATTGAAAACAGTGTAGAAGTTCTTCAAAAAATTAAAAATAGAACTACCATATAATTCAGCAATTTCACTGATGCATATATATCCAAAAGAAAGGAAATCAATATTTTGGAGATATATCTACACTCCCATATTTATTGCAGCACTGTTCACAATAGCTAAGATAGGGTATCAACCTAAGTGTCCATCAATGGATAAATGGATAAAGAAAATGTGGTATATATACATAATGGAATACTATTCAGCCATAAAAAAGAATGAAATCCTATAATTTCCAGCAACATGGATGGAAAGGGAGGTCATTATGTTAAAGAGAAATAAGCCAGGCACAGAAAGTCAAATATCATGTGTCCTCTTTCATATGTGGGAGCTAAAAATGTGGATCTCATAGAGGTAGAGAGGAGAATGGTGGTTACCAGAGGCTGGGAAGGATCACTGCTGTGGGGAGGAGATAAGAGAGGTTGGTATAATGGATACAAAAATACAATTGGGTAGGTTGGGTGTTGTGGCTCACGCCTGTAATCCCAGCACTTTGAGGCTGAAGTGGGTGGATCACCTGAGGTCAGGAGTTCGAGACCAATCTGGACAACATGGTGAAACCCTGTTTCTAGTAAAAGTACAAAAAATAGCAGGGCATATGGCATGTGCCTGTAATCCCACCTACTTGGGAGGCTGAGGCAGGAGAATCGCTTGAACCCGGGAGACGGAGGCTGCAGTGAGTCGAGATTGCACCATTGCACTTCAGCCTGGATGATAGAGCAAGACTCTGTCTCAAAAAAAAAAAAAACACACACACACACACACAAAACAGTTGGTTAGAAGGAATAAGTTCTAGTGTTTAACAGCACAGTGTGGTGACTATAGTTAACAATAATTTATTGTATATTTCAAAATAGCTAGAAGAGAAGATTTGAAATGTTTCCAACACAAAGAAATGATAAATTTTGAGGTGATAGATATTTTAACTACCCCGATTTGATCATTACACATTCTAGGCATGTATCAAAATATCATGTGTACCCCATAAATACATTAATATATAATTATTATGTATCCACAAAAATAATAAATTAAAAATTAGATTATCTGTGAAAGAGGCCATGGATGGGAAGGCCACACTGCAAATCACACCTTGGCCATCCTCATCATCTAAAACCTTTCTTGGTGTCCTGTCTTGTTTGGGTTCTAGAAGAAGCCAGCTTTTCCACTCCCTCCTTGTAAGTTTTGGATTTTCTCTATTCTTTTAAAATTTTTGCTTACAAAGCCACCAATTCTCTGACCTAACCTCTTTTCTCTAGTTAATTAATGAAGGGAGCTAATAGTAGCCAACAAACTCTTAATACTTGATTTTGCAATCTCTTACCCTAGAGCTGCAGGCTGAATAGGCAGGGACTCTGCCTTCCAAATGTTAACAACTGATTTATTAAGGCATGACAAGGATCTGCAGTCCTCCAGCCTGACACCAGCTTCCTTGCTAACTGCTTCTCATATTCTAAGGCAAGTTTTTTATTTTATTTTTTTGAGATAGAGTCTCACTTTGTCACCTATGCTGGGGTGCAGTGGTATGATCTCAGCTCACTGCACCCTCTGCTTCTGCAGGCTCAGGTGATCCTTCCACCTCAGCCTCCCTGGTGGCTGGGACTACAGGCATGTGCCTCCATGCTTGGCTAATTTTTAATTTTTTTTCTAGAGATGGAGTATTGCTATGTTGCCCAGGCTGATCTTGAATTACTCAGTTCAAATCATCCTCTTGCCTCAGCTTCCCGAAGTGCTGGGATTACAGGCATGAGCCACATAATATTATTTTTTGTTACAGCATCACAACTCTTCAAAGTACTGTCTGACTTATTCACATTACTCATTGAACAGAACTGGTAACAGGTCTCCATCCACATGTGATGGCACTGGGAAACACAGTCTAGCAGGAGTCAAAGGAAGGAGAAAAACAGCTATGGGTGAGTTCTAGTAGTCTTTTTCAAAGATTGCTTACCTTCAATATCGACAGTGTAAAATCTAATGTTAATGAAATACTAGCAAATGAAATCCAACCATGTATAAAAAATAATATACCCATTGAGATTTATCCCAGGTATGCAAATATGATGGCTGATTTTACTTGTCAACTTGGCTAGGTCTTGGAACCCAATATTTGGTCAAACATCAGTCTGGATGTTGTGAAGGTATTTTTTTAGACAGGATTAACATTTAAGTTGTTAGACTTTAAGTAAAGCAGATCATCCTCCAAAATGTGGGTGGGCCTCATCCAATCAGTTGAAGACTATTAAAAAAGACAGATTGAGGTCCCCTGAGGAAGATGGAATTTTGCCTCCAGAAGATCTTTGGACTCAAGCTGGAACATCATCTCTTCCCTAGGTCAGGTTCCACACTACCGATTTGATGATTTTGGACCTGCAGGCCTCCACACCCATGTGAGCCAATTCCTTAAAATTCTCTCTCTCTCTCTGTCTCTGTCTCTCTCTCTCTCTCTCTCTCACACACACACACACACACACACACACCCTATTCTATTGGTTCTGTTAATCTGGAGAACTCTCAGTAATAGAAACAAGGCTGATTGGACATTCAAAATCAATTAATATAAGCTTTCCACCTAAAAGTCAATTAATATAATCCATCTCTTCAAAAGATTAAGAAAACTCATGTGGTCATATCAATAGATAACAAAAAAGTGTCTGACAAAATACAACTCAATTTATCATAAAAACTCTCAGCAAACTTTGAATAAAGGGGAATACTCTCAAATTTATAAAGGACATCTACAAAAAACCTACTGCTAACATTGTACTTCGTGGTGAGAAGCAACAGGTGAGTAGGTCCCCTTACCAGTCCCAATTAACACCATGCTGGAAGTCTTAGCTAATGCATTAAAACATGAAAAGCAAGTATAAGATATACAGATTGGAGGAGAAGAAATGAAGCTGCGTTTGTCATCAGATGACATGATATCTCTGCAGAAAATCCCAAATAATCGACAAAAAACCTCCTGGAACTAATAAGTGATTATAGCAATGATATAGTTTGGGTATTTGTTCCTACCCAAATCTCATGTTGAAATGTAATCCCCAATGCTGGAGGTGGGGCCTGCTGGGAGGTGTTTAAATCATGGGGGCAGATCCTCATGAATGGTTTGTGCCAGCCCTTTGGTGATGAGTGAGCTCTCGCTCAGAGTTCAGACGAGATCTAGTCGTTAGAAGTGTGTGCCACCTCCCCCTCCACAGAGTCTCTTTCTTGCTTCTGCTTCGGCCATGTGATATGGCTTCTCTCCCTTTGCTGTTTGCCATGATTGGAAGCTTCCTGAGGCCTCCCCAGAAGCAGAGGCTGCCATGCTTTCTGTACAGCCTGTAGAACCGTGAGCCAATTAAACCTCTTTTAAAAAAAAAAAAAATTACCCAACCTCAAGTATTTCTTTATAGCAACGCAAGAATGGCCTAAAAGCAAATTTGAAGGACGTTAAGTTTAATGGGCAAAAGCCATTTTTTCCCTATATACCAGCAATGAACAATTGGGATTTAAAGTGGAAAACCGAATACCATTTAAATTAGCACCAGAAACTGAAATACTTGGGTATAAATCTAATAAAACATATACAAGATATATACTAGGAAAACTATAAAACTGTGATAAAAGAAATGAAAGAAGATCTAAATCAGTCGAGAGATATTCCACGTTCATGAAAAGAAAAACAATATTCTTAAGATGTCAGTTCTTCCCAACTTTATATATAGATTTAACACAATCCTAATCAAATTCCCACCACATTATTTTATGGATGTTGGCAAACTGATTCTACAGTTTATATGGGAAGGGAAAGTACTCAGAAGAGACAACACAATATTGAAGAAGAACAAAGTTAGAGGACTGACTCTTCCCAACTTTTATGCAAGACTTACTGTGAAGCCACAATAATCAGGAGTGTGGAATTGGTGAAAGGATAGACAAATAAATCCATAGAACAAAACTTTCTGATAATAGACGCCCATAAACATAGTCAACTGATCTTCAACAAAGGAGCAAAGGCAGTTCAATGGAGAAAGCGTCATCTTTTCACTACATGGCACCAAAGCAAAAAAAAAAAAAAAAAAAAAAAAAAAAAGAATCTAGACACAGGCCTTATGCTTTTCACAAAAATCAACTCAAAGTGGATCATAGGCCCAAATGTAAAGCCTAAAACTATGAAATTTTAGAAGATAACAGGAGAAAATCCAGATGATCTTGGGCTTGGCAATGAGTTTTTAGATATAACACAAAAATCACAATTTGTATAAAAAGAAAAATTAGTTAACTGAGCTTTATTAAAATGAAAAAATGTCTACATGTGAAAGACATTGTCAAGAGAATGAAAAAGGCAGGCCACAGACTGGGAGGAGAAAATATATATCTGATAAAAGACTTGTATCTAAAACACTTAAAGAACCATTATTAAATTTAAACAATAAGAAAACAAGCAACCCAATTAAAACATGGGCAAAAGATCTGAACAGACACCTCACCAAAGAAGGCTTGCGGATGGCAAATAAGCACATGAAAATATGCTCCACGTGGTGTGCCATTGGGATGGCAAATGAAAACAACAATGAGCTACCACGACCAGCTACTAGAATGGAGAAAATCCCAAAGAAAACAAATGAAACAAAAAGCTCTCAACGCCAAATGCTGTGGAGGATGTGAGGCATAAAGAACTCTCTTTCATTGCTGGTGGGAATACAAATGGTGCAGCCACTTTGGAAGACAGTTTGACAGTTTTAAAAGCTAAATCTTATCTTACCATACAATCACACTCCTAGGTATTTATTCAAATGAGTTGAAAACTTATGTCCACACAAAAATCTGCACGTGAGCTTTTATAGCAGCTTTCCTCGCAATTGCCAAACTTGGAAGTAACTAAGATACCATTCACAGGTGAATGGTTCAGTTAACCGTGGTACATCCGGACAGTGGAATATTATTCAGCAATAAAAAGTGAGCTATCAAGGGCAGGCATGGTGGCTCACACTGTGATCCCAGCACTTTGGGAGGTTGAGACAGGAGGATCACTTGAGCCCAAGAGTTCTAGATCAGCCTGGGCAATATAGCCAGATACCATCTCTATGAAAAATTAAAAAATGAGCATGATGGTGGTGCCTGTAATCCCAGCTGTGTTGGAGGCTAAGGCAAGAGGATCGCTTGAGCCTGGGAGGCTGAAGCTATAGTGAAATATGATTGCACCACTGCACTCCAGCCTGGGTGACAGAGGAAGACCCTATCAAAAACAAAAAACAAAAACAAAAAACTATTAAACCACAGAACGCATGGAGGAATCTTAAATACATATTGCTAAGTGAAAGCAGCCAGTTGGAGAAGGCTAAATAATGTACGTTTCCAAACTATATATTTGGAAAGGCAAAACTACAGAGAGAGTAGAAAGATCAGCAGTTGCCAGGGTTTGGGGTGAGGGGTGAGGAATGAATAGTGAAATATAGGGGATACTATTCTGCATAACACTGCCATGGTGGATACGTGACATTGCACATTTGTCAAAACTCATGAACTATACAACACAAGTAGTGAACCCTAAGGTAAACTACGGATTTCAGTTAATGATAATGTATCAATATCGACTCATCATTTGTAACAAATGTGCCATACAGATGCACAATGACAGTAGGTGACACTGTATATGTATAGAGAGGCGCTGGGTATGTAAAAAGTCTATGGACTTTTTGTTCAATTTGTTTGCAAACCTAGCGCTGTTCTAAAAAGAGAAAATCAATTAATTAAACAAAGAAATAAACAAAAAAATCATTATGCTACACAGAAAAATGAAAGCAGAACCACGGACAGCAGCTTGGACACCACGTGTCTGACCAAGGCAGCACCATGGACAGCAGCCGACAGTCCTGGGGCGTTCCTAAAAGACAAATGTGGAACAGTGGTTGACTTATGTTGTCAAGGTGGCATCAGGGACAGGAAAATAGCCCTACTTAGGGGAGTTTGGTTTTTGTTTTTGTTTTGAGACGGAGTCTCGCTCTGTCGCCCAGGCTGGAGTGCAGTGGTGTGATCTCGGCTCACTGCAACCTCTGCTTCCTGGGTTCAAGCAGTTCTCCTGCCTCAGTCTCCTGAGTAGCTGGGAATACAGGCACGCGCCACCATGCCCAGCTAATTTTTGTATTTTTAGTAGAGACGGGGTTTCGCCATGTTTGCCAGGATGGTCTCCATCTCTTGACCTCGTGATCCACCCGCCTTGGCCTCCCAAAGTGCTGGGATTACAGGCGTGAGCCACTGCGCCTGGCTACTTAGGGGAGTTTTTAGATTAAGAAAGCATTCTGGGCCCGGTGGGGTGGCTTACGCCTGTAATCCCAGCACTTTGGGAGGCCAAGATGGGCGGATTGCTTGAGCACAGGAGTTCGAGACTAGCCTGGGCAACATGGCAAAACCCAGTCTCTACAAATAAATGAAAAAAACAAAAAAGAAAAAAAATTAGCTGGGCATGTTGGCATGCACCTGTAGTCCCAGTTACTTGGGGGGCTGAGGTCGGAGGATCATTCGTACTTGGAGGCTGTGAATCTATGTCTTAATGATTATGGTTCAACTTCTTAATTTTTGCCAACATCATTTTGCTAACATGATTTCTTGAATATTCTTCTCTTGATTTGACTTTTTTTCTGATTGCTAGTGAAGCTGACACCTTCTAAACTGTTTATTGGCCTTATGTATTTTTTTTATTCTCTGAAATACCTGTTCGTGTCTTTTGGTCTTTATTTTACTTGATTGATTGGTTGATTGATTGAGACAGGGTCTGACTCTGTCTCCCAGGCTGGAGTGCAGTGGCACAATCATGGCTGACTGCAGCCTCGACCTCCTGGGGTCAAGCGATCCTCCCACCTCAGCTTCCCAAGTAGCTAGGACTATAGGTGTGTGCCACCATGCCCAGCTAATTTTTGTATTTTTTGTAGAGATGGGGTTTTGCCATGTTGCCTAAGCTGTTGGCCTTTATTTTCTATTGGGATATTTATCCTTTTCTTCTTTATTTGTAGGAGTTTACACATTTTTGATAATATTCCTTTGTTAAGTTTAGGTGTTGCATATGTATTTTCCCGGGTTGTGACTTGTCTTTCACTTTCTTTATCTTTTGATGGACATGACTTTTTAATTTTTGTATAGTTAAATTTACCAATAAGTCTTTTACAGTTTGTGTCTTGTCTAAAACACCTTGAGATTTGGTTTTGTGGGCAGCAACAGCCCTCCTGTTACCTAACCTGGCTTACTGCACTATCCCTAGTGGTTCTCTTACATCTCACTTGCACTTTTGTAAATAACCCTTTGTAAATAACTTCTCCTGGCATTATGATAATGGGACATAGATAGAAAGTGTTACAGTGTTGGGGGATGTGCTCCTTATGTAATTTCTCTGGCCTTTGAGAAAGACAGGATCATAAGAATGGTGGAATAGTTTGGTTGTTGTTTAGTGAAATTGAATCACTGAAGAAATATAACAACAGGCTCAGTTGAACCCCTTTCAACTCAGGAAATGGTGCAAATTTCAGAAAACCTTCATCACAGCATTAGAAAAAACTCCATCTCCTGCAGCTGGAGAAGAAACTACTGAAAATTGGGCCCAGAACCTGATTGTAAGAGTAGTGGGATTACAAAGAAGGCTGAATCCAGGAGCTCAAAGTTCTCTTCCACTAAGGAAAGCACCCCAATAATGAAGGAGTGGGACCTCAAGACCTGGAATAAGGACATTTTTGTTGGGGTCTGTAATTCTGCAGAAAATGGAGGTTTGGATCATCCCACCAGGCATAGAGCATAGCCCAGCAGAAGTTCTTGCCATGGTCAAGGGAAACCCTTAGAAACCTATCTCCAAAAGGGAGATGACAAAGGCCAATGAAGGCCTCGGGATCAGTTGCAACAGCAGAATCTGTAGTTGTTCCATGAACCCAGATAATGAATTGAGGGACCAGAATACCATAGAAGCCTCCCTATTCTCTTCACTCCTCACCTGTTAGAGTGAGTGTTTACAGGGATCAGTGGGTAAGGGTAATTCTGGCCCAAGCCCATCTCAAAATGGGTTCATTTTCAGAGGAAATAATAGGAAGTGGTGACATCACTGTGGGGTGCAAGTGCACCTTAGACATGCGAGGGGTGACTGTAGTGGATGCTGTTTGTGCCTTCTGTGTTCCTTTTTTTTTCTTTTTTCTTTTCTTTTCTTTTCTTTTTTTTTTTTTTTTTTACAGAGTCTCGCTCTGTTGCCCAAGCTGGAGTGTGGTGGCATGACCTTGGCTCACTGCAACCTCCGCCTTCTGGGTTCAATGATTCCCCTACTCCAGCCTCCCAAATAGCTGGGACTACAGGCATGCACCACCATGCTTGGCTAATTTTTGTATTTTTAGTAGAGGTGGGGTTTCACCACGTTGGCCAGGCTGGTCTTGAACTCCTGACCTCAGGGATCTGCCCGCCTTGGCCTCCCAAAGTGCTGGGATTATTAGGCATGAGCCACTGCACCCAGCCATATATATATATATATATATATATATATATATATATATATATATATATAGAGAGAGAGAGAGAGAGAGAGAGAGAGAGAGAGAGAGAGAGAGAGAGAGAGAGTCTTGCTCTGTCACCTAGGCTGGAATGCACACAGTGGTGAGACCACGGCTCACTGCAACCTCAACTTCCTGGGCTCAGGCGATCCTTCTGCCTTAGCCTACTGAGTAACAGGGACTATAGGCATGCATCACCACACTCAGCTAATTTTTAAATTTTTTGTAGAAATGTGGTCTCACTATATTGCCCAGGCTGGTTCTGAACTCCTGGGCTGAAGTGATCCTCCTGCTTCAGCCTCCCAAAGTGCTGGTATTACAAGCATAAGCCACTATGCCCAGCCACGACACCTGAAACTTTTTGTCTGATTGCTTCCTGTGGCTTCCAGAGCCTAAATGAATACAGAACAGAAGTGCCAGGAATTAGTACTCATTGGAGCAGCTCTTAACCCATGGCTGATGGGAGCTTGTGTGTGTAAATGCCTGAGGTCACTTGTCCCTGGTGATAATTCTAAGGCATATATTCTACAACGATAATCAAAATTCCCCAGAGGTGTTAGACTCTAGTTAATTGTCATGGTAACATGCTTGATAAAACACTTTCCAGAAAACTAAATAGGGATAATATTCTATACCTCAGTACTTCCACTCCTGTGCATATTTCATAGAGAAACTCTCCCACTAGTATCCATCTTAGTGTGGGCTGTCCTGACAAAAATACCATAGACTGGGTGGCTTAAACAACAAAAATTTAGTTTTCTTTGTTCTGGAGGTTGGAAGTCCAGAATCTGGGTGCCAGCGTGGCTGGGTTCTGATGAGGGCTGTCTTCCTGGCTTGAAGATGGCCACCTTCTCATGGTGCATTCACATGGCAGAGAGAGTGAGGCTCTTCCGTTTCTTCCTCTTCCTATGAGGACCACCCTCATGACCACCACCACCGTGGGGGCCCACCCTCCTGACTTCATCAAAAACTAATCACTTCCCAAAGGCCCCATCTCCAAATCCATCACATTGAGGATTAGGGCTTCCATATATGAATTTGGGGAGAGGTGAGGACATATTCAGCCTATAACAGGATCTCAACAGACAGGAACAAGAATGCAATAGTAAGGCAGCTAATAATAGAAAAATTTTGAAACAATTATCCAAGGAAAATAAATTCTGGAAACCTATACAGCAGTAAAAGTGAATAAATTACAACTCCCCACAACAACATAGATGAATCTTGGAAACAAGATGTAAAAAAATTGGTAAAAAATGCCAATGCAGACAACTGCATATAGTATGATATAATTTTACATAGCTCAAGGGCAAACAGAATCAGACAAGTTCAGATATACATACATATTTGATAATTTTTTTTTTTTGAGACAGTCTGCCTCTGTCATCCAGGCTGGAGTGCAGTGGTGCCATCTTGGCTTACTGCAACCTCCACATCCAAGGTTCAAGAGATTGTCCTGCATCAGCCTCCTGAGTAGCTGGGACTACAGGTGTGTGCCATGACACCCAGCTAATTTTTGTATTTTTAGTAGAGACGGGGTTTCTCCATGTTGGCCAGGCTGGTCTTGAACTCCTGACCTCTGGTGATCTGCCTGCCTCGGCCTCCCAACGTGCTGGGATTACAGATGGGAGCCACTGCGCCCGGCCATATTTGATAAATTTTTTTTATGGAAAGGGAGGGAATGATGCATACAAAATAAAGAGTGTGGCTAACTCTGATCAAGAGACAAAAGGATACATAAAAGAAGGAAACACAGATGCAAATAAATGATGATCTAGTTTCAGGTCAGGATATTGGTATTGGATAAGGTCTCAGATTTGCTGATGGGAATGTGAATTGGTGCCATGACTTTGGAGGATGACATGGCATTTTCTTGTTAATTTGAACATTTGTACACCTGTGGCAATAGTTTTTGGTGCACTCCAGGTGCCTTGGGCCTTTACACTTTAGTGTATACTGGTGTAACCTCAAACTGCTAGCATCTGCATCTTCTTGCCTGAGGGTTTTCTCTGGTAGTCAGGGTTTCTGTGCACAACAGGCCTGAAGTTGCACAGGATTTTGCTCTGCACAAACTGCCATCAACCAATGACTAATAAGTTAGCATATAAATACCCCAAACTCCCTTGCTGCTGGTGTGTGTTGGGGGGACGTACTGAGAAGGTGTTTGTTTGACACTGGCTTCCTGAGGGCCCTGGTGAATTTCAGTTACAGTTATTTCCATGGTAACATGCTTATTAGTGCACTTTTTATTGGCTTCCTTTCATCCCCAACTCTTCCACCAGTGTTTCCTGGCATCACCTCTCAAACAAACTGTCCACTTAAAATATTCTCTCAAGATCAGCTTCTGGGGATCCCTGACACCAACAAAAGTGGTCCTAGGAGGCAGATTCTTGGAACACTATTCTGAAATTGGATACATGTCCAACAAGAATGCAGTTAGAGCCTCCTGTTTAGTGTTATGTGGGATGATGATAAAACTTTGCATGTTGTAGCCCCACAATTTCTAAGACTTTCATCTGTAGTGAATTGGTTGGGTATCAGCTCTATCTGACCCATGACCAGGAGGTAAGGGACTCCTTCAAGCGTCCATGGCTCTCTGTATATGTTCTTTTTGCTATGTTCATAGCTTTCACTGTTTCTTTTCCCCTGTGTACACTCTCTATGGTCATGAGAAAAAGTTGGTGACTCCATAATCTTTAGCAGCCCTCTTGTTGCCATGACAACAAAGTGCTACTGCATCTTGACCTGCCCATGCCTTTTTCTCTCCTTGTACTTTGGATGCACTCCTGTCAGTGACAGTCTGAGACATCATGGTGCCACCACATGTCATGTATGGCTGCCCCATTTCCTGCGGGCAATGAATTATGCCTGTGGTCCTCAAATATGTGAGACAACTTCCCAGAAGCCCGTTCTGAAGGCCAGTTTCCTGAGGTCATTTCTGTGATGAATTACTTTATCGGTTGCAGTCCCAACGGAACTCAGATTACACTGGCTTCATACAGTAGCTTACAGGGCATGGACTCTTCTTCAGATCCCTGGAAGAGTTTGTCTAAGAGTGTTGATATTTCCCTAAATATTGATCAGAAATCCCCTATGAAATCATGTCTGGTTCACAGTTTTCTCTGGGGTAAGGTTATAAATTGTAGATTAAACTTTTTTAATACTTACATTTATCCAGTTAGATTTCATCCAATTGTTCACACTTAGTAGCTTAAAGCTTTCCCAAATATTCTTTTTTACATTTTAAACATCCGCAGGATGTGTGTGTCGTCCCTTTTTATTTCTGACATTAGTTATTTGCATTTTCTCTTTTCTTCCCCAACAAGTGTTATCAGAGATTTATCAATTTTGTTAATTCACTTGGTTGATCATTTCTTTGCTTTATTATCCTCAGTTCAATCATTTTCTTATATTATTTTAATGATCTCTTTCCTTCTATTTTCAGTTGGTTTTACATTCTTTTTTAACTTCTTCAGGTGAATTTTTAGTTCATCAACTTTCAGGATTTTATCTTTCATAATACATGCTTCTAAGGCTATAAGTTTTCCTCTAAGCACTGTTTAGGCTGCATCTCACCATGTTTTGATATGTAGTATTTCCCTTATTATTCAGTTAAAAATATTTTAAACTTTTTAAAATTTTAATGTTTCCATTATGATTTCTTCTTTAGCTTCAGGGTTATTTAGCAGTTTTTATCTTATTTTCCAAGCATATGTGTATTTTAACTTACCTCTTTGTTATTTATTTCTGACTTAGCACTGTGATCACATCATAACTAAATACTTTTAGCCTTTCAAAATGTGTTAAATCTTCCTTTGTGGTCATAAATGGTATAATGTGTGAATATTCCACCTGGCTCAAAATGAAGGTGCATTCTGTAGCTGCTCTTTCTAAGGTCTGTATATGCCTAGTAGATCAAATTTATTGATCATATTGTTCAAATTAAGCTCATTTTCCTTATCTTTTTTCTGCTCTTTAGTTGGGAGAATTTTAATTGGCCTACCTTCAAGTTCACTGATTCTTCTACCTGCTCAAGTTTCCTCTTGAACCTGTAGTGAGTTTTTCACTTTAGTTACAGTACTTTGCATTTCAAGAATTCTATTTGGCGCTATTTTATAATTTCTATCTCTTTACTGATAATCACTAGTTCTGAGGCATTGTTCTCCTGGTTTCCTTTAGCTCTTTGAGAATATTTAAGACAGTTGATTTAAGGCCTTTTTCTAGTAAGTTCACAGCCTGGGCTTCCTCAGGGGAAGTTTCCGTTAATTTACCTTTTCCTGTGAAAGGGTCATATTTCTTGTTTTTCTGCATGTCTCATACTTCTTTGTTAAAAACTGGAAAATTTGAATAAATATTATAATATGGGAAACTAGATTCTTTCTTCTCCCTAGGGTTTGTTATTGCTGCTTGTTTTGTGTTATAGTTGTTTAGTGACTTGTCTAAACTACTTTTGTGAAGACTTTTGTCATATGTGGCCACTGAAATCTTTGTTATGTTAGTTTAGTGGTCAGCTAGTGTTTTCACAGATCTTCTTAAATTTCTTAAGCCAAAAGAAGAAAGAAAGAAAGAAAGAGGAAGAAGACCCTCCTGTTCTTTGCAGGCTGGCTCTGGGTTAGAGCACTGCTGCAACACTTAACCAGGTCATTTACAACTCTGCCTTAGCCTTTACTTCCTGCTCATGTGAAGCCTAATGACCAGCCAGAGGTAAAAGCTTAGGGTCTTCTCAGGTCTTATCTGAGCATACATCTAGAAATACATGTGGCTGTTTGAATTCCTTAGTATATGTGGGAGTTTTTTAAAGTTCTAATTTCCCCACGTTTCCTTCCTTAGCCTTTTTCTTCCTAGGCGTTTTAGCCTGTCTACTGTTTTCCCTTTCTATTATCTGTTGACCTAGATGGTTGTGACAAGTATATACCTTTAAATACTTTCCATGTATGCTGCCCAGGAGGCTGTTCCATCCTGTAGAGAATTCTGTGTGTGTTTGTTGGGGGTAGGACACAGGGGAGGAAGGGCAGGAGCAGGGTGAGCAAAACAAAGGCAAGATCCTGAGCTGATCCCTCAGAGAGCTGTCAGATAGGTTGAGATTCGCAAGCACAATTCTTTGATGACAACGGCTTTTTTACTCCCTCTGGCACCAGCAAACCACACCGGGAAGATGGGCTGCTGTTGCCCTGGCTACTTCTGAGCTGGAAAATGAGGGCTTTATAGGCAGGTAAGAAAATTCCACAATTCTCTCTTACCCAAATTTAGCAGTTTCTTTCTTCATTAAGCACCCTTTGTTTTAAGTTTTTGGTTATATTCTAGAGTTATGAAAAAATGAATTCTGTCAGTTTTTTGCCAGCTTAATTGTTGCTTTCGTGAAGGGACACATTTTTGGAGCTGCCATTTTCAGTGACATTACTCCCAGCCCATTTACATTTAATGTAAATACTGATATATTTGAGCCTAAATCTCCTATCTAGCAATGTGGTTTTAAAATTAATATAATTTCTAATTGACAAATCATAATTAGATACATTTATGGAGTTCAATGCAATGTTTTTTGTTTGTTTGTTTGTTTCTTCGAGACAGAGTCTGGCTCTGTCACCCAAGCTGGAGTGCAGTGGCATGATCTCAGCTCACTACAACCTCTGTCTCCTGGGTTCAAGTGATTCTCATGCCTCAGCCTCCCAAGTAGCTAGGATTACAGGCATGTGCCACCACGCCCAGCTGATTTTTGTATTTTTAGTGGAGACTAGGTTTCACCATGTTGGCCAGGCTGGTCTCAAATTCCTGACATCAAGTGATCCACCCGCCTTGGCCTCCCAAAGTGCTGGGATTACAGGTGTGAGCCACTGTGCCCAGCCACAATATTTTCATACATGTAAACAACGTGGAATGATTGAATCAAGCTAATTAATATATCTGTTACCTCATTTACTTATTTTTTTGTGGAGAGACCCTTTCAATTTACTCTCTTAGTTATCTCAAAATATACATTATTACTGAATATAGTCACTCTGTCATGCAATAGATCTCAGAACTTATTCCTCCTGTCTACCTGAGACTTTGTACCCTTTGACCAACCACGCTCCATTCTCTCCCTCTCTGCCTCTAGCCTCTGGTAACCACCATTCTAATATCTACTTTTATGAGCTCAACTCTTTTAAGATTCCACAAATAAGTGAGATAATGCTGTCCTTGTTGGTCTTCTTTTATCCCTTTTTCCTTGCTTCCCTTTGGATGGACTTTCTTACAGTTGCATTTTTTTCTATTAGTTAAATTTATCAAGAAATTTGTCACTAATTCTTTGATCTTCTTTTCAGATATGATGATGCAGTGTTATTAGCCCTTCATTACTTATATGTTATTGCTATGCATCTGAATTGTTTTAATTTTCTATCCTCACTATCCATCACATCATCATTGTTATTAGTTAATAACTCTTAAAATGTACTCACCTGTGTACTTTACACTCTTAAATTCTTTTTTTCATCTCTGAGGCTTCCTCTGGGATCATTTTCCTTCTTTCTTAAACCTATCTTTAAGCAGTTCCTTTAATGTGTGTCTTCTGGCAACAAATATTCTGTTTTGTCTGAAAATATTTCTTTAGCTTCAGCCAAAAATTGGAAGTTGCAAGAAAAGTACAAACAATTTTTATCTGAATCATTCAAGAGAGTATTTTTTTGACCTGACACCTCCTCCTTCATGAATATTTTAGTGTGTTTTCTACAAATCAGGACAACTCCTATATAATGGCTATTTATGTTAGAAACCATGAATTCAAACTTACGGATCAAATTCCAATCCAGTACCATAGGATTCATTCCAGTTTCTCCCTGTAGTCTGTTCTTGAACTGCTATAAAGAAATACCTGAGGCTGGGTAATTTATAAGGAAAAGAGGTTTAATTGACTCACGGTTCTGCAGGCTGTCCGGGAAGCATAGTGGCTTCTGCTTGGCTTCTGGGGAGGCCTCAGGAACTTAAAATCATGGTGGAAGGTGAAGGTGAAGGGAAGCAGGCATGTCTTACATTCCCAGAGCAGGAGAAAAGGAGACCAGGGAGGTGCCACGTGCTTTTAAACAGCCAGATCTCGGGAGGACTCTATAAGGAAAACAGCACTAGGGGGATGGTGCTAAACCATTCATGAGAACCCACCCCCGTGATCCAACCACCTCCCACCAGGCCCCACCTCCAACACCGGGGATTACAATTCGACATGAGATTTGGGTGGGGACACAGATCCAAACCCAATTCGACATGAGATTTGGGTGGGGACACAGATTGAAACCCAATTCGACATGAGATTTGGGTGGGGACACAGATCCAAACCATATCACTCCCTTTTGGTATTTGGAACTGCCTTCTCTCTTTTCTATTCTTTTCGGTGTATTTACTTACTTGACCAATCCCCTTGTGTGACCAACCTGCCCTCTCTGCCAGTACTCCCTTCCCCTCTGCCATTCTGGCTCCCCCTCCATTCTAGTGTGCACTCCTCCCCATCTGGAACCCTTCTCACCCCACTTAAGATCTGACTTTCTATATCAGGCTGCCCACCTCTGCTCATGTGGGTGCTCCGAGCCTGGACTCCACACTGGCTTCCCGCTCTGGGCCCCTGCATCTCTCCTCCTACCCCCACCATGCAGACACCCCCCAACCCTTGATCTGCCCACCGAACAGCTTTGAGTCCAAACTGCTCTTCTCAGGAAGAGAAAGTATACTGGGTTGAATAGAGTCACCCCCAAATTTATGTCCACCAAGAACTTGAGAATGTGGCCTTATTTGGAAAGAGGGACTTGGCAGATATAATCACGATAACATGAGGCCACTCTACAGTAGAGTGGGTCCTAGATCCACTATGGCCAGTGCCATTATAAGAAGAGAAACATTTAGACACAGATACAGGGAGAACACTGCATGAAGACAGAGGCAGAGGCTGGAGCGATGCGTCTGCAGGCCCGGGAACACCCAGGGCAGTCGGCAACCACAGGAGCTGGAAGAGTCACATCTGGTGCTGCACTAAGTCCTTTGCATATGTTATCTCATATAATTTCCAGAAAAACATGGTGAGCTAGATATTATCAAGATTCTAATGATAAAAACATTGATGATCACGGGACACAAAAGATAAGGGAGCAATTAGTAGAATTGGGATTAGAATCCAGATATGCTTGACCACAAAATAAATACTATTTTTCTGTAATACGCTGATATCTATGAGTGTATATTGGGTACTGGCTTTAAAGTTGATGGATCCTTTTATATACACCATTTAAAGTGATCTTCCTAATGATGTTGGCATAAACACAGTATTATTATTATTGTTTACTGATGAAAAAACTGATGCTGGAGAAAAACAAGTTTGTCTAAGCTCAAAACTCAAATCATGTGTTTCAGAGACGAGACTGTCAACCACGTATCTCAGTGTCCAGTCATCCAGTGGTCTTCCCACCACATCAGGTATGAAGAAGCCTCTGTCTCTTTGAATATTATCTGTAACGCTGCTCTTGTGTTTATTTATTGAGTATGAGCACCTTAAATTTCCCTTGAGAATATGCACATATCTTACCTGAATTGTGTAATGTTCCCAAAGACAACAGATTTTCCTCTCTTAGGTCACATGGAGCCAAACTACTCCACAGTGCCTTGTTTGGCACGTTCCAGAGCTTCTCGAAGCCGGTCGTTTGTGAATCACAGATGACCTAAAACTTCGTACAGGGCGTGGTGGCTCACGCCTGTAATCCCAGCACTTTGGGAGGCCGAGGCGGGTGGATCACCTGAGATTGGGAGTTGGAGACCAGCCTGACCATCATGGTGAAACCCCATCTCTACTAAAAATACAAAATTAGCTGGGCGTGGTGGCGCATGCCTGTAATCCCAGCTACTCAGGAGGCTGAGGCAGGAGAATTGCTTGAACCCAGGAGACGGAGGTTGCAGTGAACCGAGATCGAACCATTGCACTCCAGCCTAGGCAACAAGAGCAAAATTCCATCTCAAAAAAAAAAAAAAAAAAAGATCCTCTATGTCTCTCCACCTGCACGCATTGCTGGTTGTATGTCCAAACCCCACTGTCAGAAGGAGGAATTAACTGCTGACTGTATCAGCATGCCTATGTCCTATTTGTAAATTATTAGATCCACCAAGATGAATACAAAACAAGCAACATTGTACTTTTAAATCTGTAAGCTACGCATAAGAGGCAAATAAGAAAAATGCATATAGGATTATTTAGACATTTTTAGAAGCACAAAGAACATTTTTTAAAAAACCTTTTATTTTGAGTTCAGGGGTACACGTGCAGGTTTGTTACGCAGGTAAACGTGTGCCATGGGGATCTGTCGTACAGATGATTTCATCACCCAGGTATTAAGCCTAGTGCCCCTTAGTTATTTTTCCTGACCCTCTCCCTCCTCCCGGCCTCCACCCTCCAATAGGCCCCAGTGTGTGTCATTCCCCTCTATGTGTCCATTTGTTCTCAAAAGGAACATATTTTATATCAGTAACTGAAAAATCTATTTTAAGTAATAATCATGGTTCTTAGCAATAAAGTCGTTTTAGAAATAAAAAAAAAAAAAGAAGCTAGAAGGGGCAAGAAGCATCCTACCCTAGAGGCTTTAGAGAGAGCCCAGCCCTCCTGACACCTTGAGTTTAGACTTCCAGCTTCCAGAGCTGTGCAAGAATACACTTCTGTTCTTTACGGTCCTTGTTAGGATAGCCCTAGGGAATGAAAATTGAAAAGAAGAGAAAAAGAAAAGTCATCTTTATTTTCCAAAGATAGTTTCCCTGGCTTAGCAGGTATTTCTTTTAGCACTGTAAAGACAGCATCTCATTCTGTTCTTGTTTCTGTTACGACATTAGCTGCCAGCCTAAGACAGCATCTCATTCTGTTCTTGTTTCTGTTACGACATTAGCTGCCAGCCTCACTGGTCCTCCTTTAAAGGTATTGTGAGCTTCCCCGACCTTGGCTACTCTTAAGATAGCCTCTTTTTTTTTTTAGTCTTCAGGAGTTTTATAATGTTATGGATAGATGTGGTTTTATTTTATTTTATTTTCTTCAGAGTCTTGCTCTGTCACCCAGGCTGGAGTGCAGTGGTGCAATCTTGGCTCACTGCAACCTCCACCTCCCGGGTTCAAGAGATTCTCCTGCCTCAGCTTCCCAAGCAGCTGGAATTACAGATGAGTACTACCACACCCAGCTAATTTTTGTATTTTTACTAGAGACAGGGTTTCACCATGTTGGCCAGGTTGGTCTGAAGCTCCTGGCCTCAAGTGATCTGCCTGCCTCAGCCTCCCAAAGTTGCTGAGATTGCAGGCATGAGCCACCACGCCTGGCATAGATGAGATTTTCTACGTATTTTATTCCATATGAATGATGGGGTAGGATATTTCCTTAAGTTTGGGAAGATTTCTGCAATTGCCTCTTTAAAAATGTTTCTTCTCTTCCTTCTCACTTCTCCTTCTGGGACTCTAACTACCTATATGTTAGACCTTATCGGTGGATACTCTCTTCTTTTAACCCTCCAGTTCCATGCTGTGTTTTTGTCTATCCTTCATTCTAGATATTTTCTTCTGATCCAACTTCTGATTCACTAATTCTTTCTTCAGCTGTGTTAAGTCTGCTCTTAAACCCATCATTTGAGCTCTTCATTGTATACTTCTGTTCTAAAATTCTGAATTAAAAAAGATCTGCTATGTGTGTTTTATAGTTTTCAATTTATGATGAAATTTTCAGATTGTGTTTAAACTCTTCAAACCTAGTAGCACTGTTATTTTATCAGTTTTAAAATTTTACTTATTTTTATTTTTTTTCAGAGATGGGGCCTCACTCTGTCACCCAAGCTGGAGTGCAGTGATTCAATCACAGCTCCCTGTAGCCCCAAACTTCTGGCTCAAGTGATTATCCCACCTAACCTCTCAGATAGTGGGGGCTACAGACAAGTACCACTATGCCCAGGTAATTATTAAACATTTTTTGTAGAGATAGGGTCTTGCCATGTTGCCCAGGCTGGTCCCAAACCTCCTGGCATCTCAAAGCACTGGGATTACAAGTGGGTGGGGGAGGTGAGGGATAAAAAACTACATATTGGGTACAGTGTACACTACTTGGATGATGGGTGCCCTAAAATCTCAGAATTAACCACTATAGAATTCATCCGTGTAACCAAAAACTACTTGTATCCCAAAAGCTATTGAAATAAAAAGTATTAAGAAAGTCTTCATGTGCTAATTCCCATAGCTGAGGTCTGGAGTCCCTGTTGATCTTCCGTTTTTGCTGTTCTTACTCATGTTGCTTCGTCTACTTGTATGTGTGGTTCTTTGTGATTGTGTGCTGGATACTGTATTCAGAAGTATTGGGTTGAGCAACTGAACCTAAAATGACGTTATAATTTTCCAGAGACGGTTTTCATATGCTTCTGGCTGGTTCCTGGTGGAATTCAAAATCTGAGATCAACTTAACCCAGTGGTAGAGGTTGAGCTTTTCTAAGGACCTGAATAAAGTGCATCTGGTTGCAGTTCCTGTGAGGGATGATTTCCTTCACCTTTGCTCCTATAAGGAAAGTCCATGGGTTTCTAATCCAAAGTGCATGTACTTCCCAAGCGCCTTTCTCCTGGTGAGTCCTGGCCTCTGAGTTTTTCTCCCTAGCTCTAAGATTGTCAGGATTTCTGCTCAGCTTCTCACTGACTATCCCAGAATCAGCAAATGCTTTTGGGGAGGGGCTCAGGGGGAAGTGACTGCAAATGGCAGCTACTTTGGTGGCTATTATTCACCACTCTGGTATCTCTCCATTACCTTCAAACAGATTTTTAAAATACTTCTTTCAGATTTGCTAACTGGTCCGAGTTCCCTGTATGCCCTTAATAGAAGCAGACATCTGGCATCTTTATAAGAATCACATTTTCCGTTTGTTGCTGGTCTATAGAAATAAAACGGATTTCTGTACATTGGTATTAAAGCCAGTAATCTATTATTTTTAATAATATATTTTTATTATTTATAATACTATTTTAAGTAATACCATTTAAATTATTGAATATTTTGGATTTTTGCTATTTTGAATTACTTTTGAATACTTTTGTATCTTCTCCTGGATTTTTTCTGCTCTTCCACTGGGACTCCTGCGCAGACACTGGTGGGTCCTGTGACTTCCTTCCTCAGCCCAGTGTCACTCACTTTTCTGTGGCTCCCAGGAAAACACACAACCCCTCCCCAAGTCCCTCTGAGGGTCTCCTATCACCACAGAGTGAAGTCCAAGGCTGGAATCAGGGCCAGTCTGGCCCCATGCAGTCTGGCCTCTGGCCTGTCCTTCCAGCCCACTCCTTCCCAAGCCCACTGGCCTTCCCACCGCTCTTGAACTTGGCAAGCATGTTTCTGGCCTGGACCCTTCCCCTCCTGCTCCTTTTGCCTGGGATGCACCTCCCAGTGGTCCATGTCCCCAAGGACATATTCTGGATGCCTGGCATTGATGGCCACACCCTCAGCTGGCGCTGTTGTCCTTTATGGAGCATTTATTTGTTTTTAATTGCTTTTTTTCCTCTTCTGGTTTCTTTGTGATTTGTTTTTAATTGTATTATCCATTCCCCACCAGGACCTTAGTGCCGCAGTGCAGACACACTGCACGTGTCCACCTTAGCCCTTGGCCTGGCACACAGTAGATGTTCAATGAACATCACATTGTAAGTTGCTTTCCATTGACGATTTGTGACTTCTAACACTCTCCATGTGTTCTATTGGCTATTTGTGTCTGCAGCTGGCTAAAGAGAACTCCTCTTCCCCACGTTCCACTGAAAACTTCTTCAAGGTCGAGCTTGTCTCATTCATCATGTTTTTGTTTGTTTGTTTGTTTGTTTTTTACATTCACTTACTTGGACTCTGATAGTTAATTTTAGGTGTTAACTTGGGCAGGCCATACTACCCAGATATTTGGCCAAACACCAGTCTAGATAGTGCAGGTGATTTTTAGATGTTATTAACATTTCAACCTGTGGACTTTGAGTAAGGCAGATCATCATCCATAATGTGGGTGGGCCTCATCCAGGCAGTTGGAGGCCTTAAGAGAAAACAGACGGCAGTCCCCAAGGAGGACAGAATTCTGCCAGCAGGCTGAACTTTGGACGGGAGCAGCAGCCTCAGCTCTTCTCTGGGTCACCAGCCTGCTGGTTTGCCCTGCAGATTTTGGACATTCGTCTCCACAACTGTGTGAGCCAATTCCTTAAAATCTCTCTCTCGCATCTCTCCCTCTATCCATACCTGTGGCCATAGCCTGTGTCTATGTTGATACCTATTTCTGTCGATATCCACATCCACATCTATGGGTTCTGTTTCTCGGGAGCTCATGCGAATACAGGCTCTCTTTCATGTTAGATACTTTGGTCACTTTCTTTCCTGGGGTGCTTACTTTGTTTTTGGTGGCTTTGTCCTTATAGAGACTTTATTTTTTTCCTTGTGGGCAAATTTATCAGTCTTACTTTTCACTGTTCCTGGCCTTAGCCTCATTCTGAGAGAACACTTATTCACCTTAAGAGAATATAGATATTTTGCCATATTTTTTTCTGGTGTGATTATTGATCTGTATCAGTGCTGGTCTTCAATTTGCTTTTTGTCCTTACAATGAGAGCAGAAATCCTTTCTCTTTTCTCTTTCATTTTCCCAATTCCGTTTTGAGGTCTTGTCCAAACCAATGTTTTCTAGAATAAACTTGGCAGGTATAGAGCCGGCTATGGCCACAGCCGCAGACATCAGGGCCTCGGCTGGAGAGGAGAGGTGCAGGCCTCTGGAAGTCTCTTTGGGGCTGGAGACTATGGCCTGATTTCTGTCCAGGTCTTGGGGGGCCTCTGTCCACAAGTCTAGGGGGGCAGAAAGGGCTCAGACCCTTCCCTCAAAATACCAAGGGAGAGGAGGTCGGCTGGGCCCAGGCAGGTGGCTGGTGGTGAGCGCCCCGAGATCAGGCCAGGCTTGTCAAGCATTGATTTAGGTGTGGGAGGCAGACATGTCCTGTTTGTTACCAGCTGGAAACAGATGTTTCTGCCCCGAGTGCCACCTTAGAGGGTGGCGTCCAGGCCCAGCAGGCTGTGGCGACACGGGTGAGCTGCAGAGCGTGCGGAGGCGAGGGCCCTGGCCCATGTCAGGAGGCTGAGTTACGACTGTGGCTTCAGTGCCGGGAAAGCTGTAAACACATTCCTGTGCGGGGCCCTGGGCCACCTGGGGCATCACATGCCCCCAGAAGACAGATTTCTGTAGTCAGTCAGGACTCAACGGACATTTACGTAACATGGAAAGGGGAAGTGGTGCTGGAGGGCAGCCCCCTGAATCACTCTGTTGGAGCAATTCTGTTGGGTGAAGGTGCATGAAAACAACACAGTGTGGCTGAGGGCCAGGGCTGTAGACATTCGGTCAAGTGCACAGGCTGTGCTGGAGCAGCCCCGGCACTAGAAACAGGCGCAGGGTGGGGAGTTTGCTGGGGTCAATGTGCATTGCGTCGTGCATTTTAGGGTATTTCCTAGGTATAATTGCTAGAGAGAAACAAAGCTCAAATACAGATCATCTGCCCCACACCAGGTTCCCACCATCCTCAGGGGAATCACAGGTTACTGGCTTTGGAGACCGAGATGTCTTCCCGCCTCCCAGGGGCCTGTGGATGGGACTCCCTGCGAATTCGACTCCCAGGGGAAAAGCCAAGAGCTGCCTCCTTGGGACAGCTGGGCGGCAGCTGTGATCGCACATGGCTCAGGCAGAGGCCTGAGCGGCTGCCTCCGTTGGCCAGCAGGCTCTGAGAGCACTCGCCCGGCCTGACTGTTCATCCATCCTTTCACCCGGAGGCCAGCTGTGGCTGTCTGTGCTCTCAGAGGGGAGGCGATGGCAAGGCGCCTGCCATGCAGATGGGTGGTGGGAGTGAGCCTGTTACACTCTGAGGCCAGGACCGGGTCTGGGGGCACTGGGGCTCCAGGGTGGCCGAGGGCAGTGGGTCAGGCCTGAGAGTTCTGACTTTGTTCTTGGTGCAGTGGGAACCTCTCTGTGGGTTTGAATGGGCCGTCCTGATAGATTCATGTTTTAAAAAGACCACATGGTCCGTGGGGTGGGGGTGGGGCCGGAGGATCAGCAGGAGCCTCTGGCTTCGGAGTCATGGCACCTTCTCCTTCTCACGTCTCCCTCTGCCTCCCTCCTGTGACACCTGTGCCCACATTCGGAGCCACCCAAGTAATCCAGGCCCCTCTCCTCATCTCAAGATCATTGGCTTAATCTCATCTGCAAAGTCCCTTTTGCCATGTAAGATCTCAGAGTCACAGTTCTGGGAATCTGGATGAAGACACTTTTGGGGCCTGACTTAGCCGACTACCCACCTGCAGTTTCAGATGCCTTGAGTAGGAGGCACATAGCTGACTGCCAGTGCCAACGCGTGGAATAAAAGTCCACACTTAGGGACAGATATGAGTTGAAACTATGAACAGAAGCTATTGGAAACCATAATATTGATAAGCTCACCAAGAGCATGAGCAGGGGTTGAGGGGAGACTGAGCGGGACAGCTGCAAGAAGATGACCTACAGGACGCATCCTAGGAGCAAATGAGGCACCGGGGTTGGGGCACATGGCTGACACCGGGGCTCACCCTCGTCCTGTCTCTGGTCCGTGGGTGGGGAGGGCAAATGGCCGGAGGAGCTGTTTGGGGACCAAGCTCCCGCCACACCTCACTATTTGTTCCTCATCTGGTGGAGTGAGAGAAGCCCGTGTCCAACTGACCAGGGTCAAATCCGGGCCCCCAGTCTACTGCTGGAAGATTCCGGGCAATGTCTTGGCCTGTTTTGGCTGCTGTACCAAATACCTGTCGAGCTAAATAATGAACAGAGAGAGGCTCTAACAGAAAATATTTATTTGGGAACAGTGAGGTGTGGAGGGAGCTTGGTCCCCAAGCACTGCAGTGGGAGCACACATACCATCATAAACTATGTGCATATTCAGGGAGGTAAAAGACGACAAAGGTTTTTAAAGGAAAAATGAGGACGATTACATGATCGTTTTGAAATAATCTTTGGCTACAAGGATCAATAACAAGGGTGATGCCAGTATGAGGCGCACAGGCAGTTGCTGGGCAGCTGTCCTCGCAGAAGTATTTTTTTGTGTAAGGTTGCAATGGCCTTTGTGCGAGGCTGTGTTTTTTATAGTCTTTTGTGATAGTTTTTGCTAGTAGGTGTTTATGCATGAGAATGCTTCTCAGCCTTCTCTGGCTTTATATGTCAGAGTTTCGTTTGTTTGTTTGTTTTTTAACACAAGGGACTCCATTTTGATTCTGACGACTTTCATCATATTTTCTCCCTTTGGTCAAGGTCTTTCTCTGGAAGCCTCACTGATGGACCATGCTGTGGTAGGTTCTGATGTCCCTCAGTATTTGGATGGGCCTGTCCCAGGTGTCTGGTCTGGTCACATGTTTGAAGGAGTGATTGATGTCTAGGAGTCAGTGTCAAAATCCTTTTAGCCACATTTGAGTAACAAAGGAGGTTTGAAGACAGTGGCTTTCAGGCTAAGTCTACCTGGAGTAAATGATTAAGTTCAATTTTGTCTGTGGTGTGGTCTTTTGCTATTATCTCAAAGTGCTGGGCTAGCAATATTCTGTTAGAAGTTGTACTTCTGAAAAAATTCAGCAAGTAACAGATACAAAGTTTAAAAAGGGAAAATAAAAAGTAAAATTAGTAATAACATGACAATCCTAGTTTGCATAATAGGATTATGCAATGTCTAGGATTAAAGGCAATTAATTGAATAAATAATGAATCCAGGATTCAAGGCAATTAATTGAATAAATAAAATAGGAAGCCAAGTAAAAACTGTAGGCCCTAGGACAGGTAAGAGTCCCATTATGATATGGAGTCTTGTTCCCATGACTTGGGAGAAGCTGTCTACAGAGTGAAAATGTGAAATTCCTCATCTTGCTTTGCAGTTTGAATGTCTCTAGTCGTGGCATTGGGCAGTCTGGTGAACTTTCTGTCTGGCTCGGACATCAAGCATGAGACTTGTTTCTTAGCATTTATCTAGCTTCAGCTTATAGGGCTTCAGGAACAGAGCAGTTCTCATTTTTCTCCATGGAAGAAAGTTGGATTGGAAGAATCTAGAAGAATTCAGGATCTAGTCTATAGGTAGAAAACAAGAACTTGAAAATAATGCACAGAGCTACAATCTAAAAGCAGGTGTGTTACAGCTTTTCTTTGGAAGCATAAGTTTTCCTCTGTACATTGATCACATAGGAATCTCGTACTTCAATACCTCTTTATGCTGGTAAGCCAAACCAAGACAGGCTTTAGCTTTTACTTACAGTTTTAAGGTTTCTGGGCTTGCCAGGAAATGATGATTTTTACTCATTATAAGGAACCCTGGAAACCAGGCATTCTTTTTTCTTTTTTTGAGACGGAGTCTCACTTTGTTGCCGAGGCTGGAGTGCAGTGGCGTGATCTTGGCACACTGCAACCTCTGCCTTCCATGTTCAAAAGAGTCTCCTGCCTGAGTCTCCCGAGCAGCTGGGATTATAGGTGCCCGCCACCACACCTGGCTAATTTTTGTATTTTTAGTAGAGACGGGATTGAGATGGGGTTTTGCCATGTTGGCCAGGCTGGTCTCGAACTCCTGACCTCGGGTGATCTGCTTGGCTTGGCCTTCCAAAGTGCTGCGATTACAGGGGTGAGCCACCCCGCCCGGCTGAAACTAGGCATTCTATGTATATTTTTCAAATATGGTATTTCAGCCAAAGCCTTAGTAATATACCTGATGTTTCCAATTACATCCTGCAGTGAGGAGACAACTAGTTTTTATCTGGACTTATACAAATGGCCACATCGTCATAAGAACACTTGTGAATAGTTTCTAAATTTTGGAGGAGTCACGTAGGGGGGAAAATAATTGCTTTCATCTTTGTTCACAAAAAGTATACTGTATTAAATTACTGTAAACTATAGATGACTTACGAGAGAAAATTTCCTTAAATCTGGCAAACAAAACATTTAAGAACGAACGATGCTTCAAATAAAATTCATAAAAATATTCCCCTCATCACTTCTTCAATATCATGAAGTCAGCTTTTCTGCTTGAGCTTGATTGGAGGTTTTTGAATTTCTCAGTTTCTTTATTAGAGTTCTGAAAATTTTTTATTGAGTCCATTGATCTTTTATCGGGAAACCGTATTTAAGAGTTCCTGTTTGAGTCTCTTCCATGAAAAGCAATTTTGGACAATAGCTGATTACAAATGCTTTTGGAGAAAAATCAAAACAATAACTCTGGGTCACAAAAACAAAATGGCCATGGTTAAACATCTGATAAAAATTCATTATAATCAGCAATTGATAAGGAAATTGACTTTTTAAAAATTACTATAGTGTTTTAAGGTAGCAAACAGAATCATGACTGTGACTGATAGCATCACATCAGAACCATCAGGGTTTTATAAATTTCACATAATCTTTAGAATATACTCACATCAGTAACGTCTCCATACAAATATAGCTTTAAAGAAGATGTAGCATAACCAAAATTATGGCTGATAACGTTATAGACTGATATGAATTTATATAATCTTTGAAACATCATATCAATAGCATACCCACAAATGTAACTGAAAGAAGATCTAATATCACTTATTATTTGACAATGTTTCCCATATAATTTACCAAATAAGCCTAATCATTTATTTTCTCTATAGGATGAGAGATAAATTCTTTGAGGCTTTCCAGGGGTCTAACTGTAAAATCCCTAAGTCAATTCTAGATAAAAAAAGACTTATTTTAGAATTTTGATCCTGAGGAAGCCTGCCAAAGATGTCAAAGGTTCAACATGGCTAATCAAAGCAGAATCTCAGGTCACTATTAAATATAGCCATGTATTCAACCAGTGATCATCAAAAGACTTGAAGAGTAATACGGAAAGTTACATGGATTAAAAGGACCTAACTTCTTCAAAGCTCAAGTTACCTAAGTAACCAAAAACCTCATAAAGACAACACAAAAAATTATCCTAATAAAATACAAAATCTTTGTTTTTTTTAGGCTACTTACCCAAAAGTTAAAGAAATGCCTCCTGCAGTGTGATTGTGTCTCCTCATGGGAAGCCCATGTAGATAAACTGGAAGTCAAATCTGATGAAAAAGACACTGAGTTTAATTAGGCAGAGAAAGAGTATGTCCAAGGCTATAAGTGTAAACCATTAGTAGAGAAATGTAAACAAGATAACTAGTACCTGAGCAGGGGAACACATAGAAAAAGCAACAGCATGAGAAACTTCCTGGTTACAAGGGAAAATTCAATTATACTGGAATTATACTGGAGAGAACATTTGTTTTCTAGACTTTCAGGATAAACATTTCAGCATTGAGCCATAACAACAGAGTTATAATGGGAGAAAAAATGTTATAGGAGTTGATAAAAAAAAAGTTGAAAGAGAGAGCTATCACCCCAGGCCATCTCATGGGGAGGAAGAGCTGAAGGCACTGATGGATAAGTCTGTATTTATATACATGATCTATAAATCCATATTTATATACATGATCTATAAATCATGTGCTGTGAAATACAACAGAAGTTGAAGTTCTGAAATCTAAAACTGAGAAGCTTTAGGGGGAAAAGACTATGTCAAGAAATGAAATTCTCGTTTTACATGAAGAGGACTTCCAACCTGAAACTAGGGAAAGTAAATGGATCCCAGGAAGCAATAGAAATGGTCTGTTAAAGAAACAGATTTTAGAATTAAAAATAAAAACTTCTTGTAGTTTTAAGAACAGATCAATACTTCAAGATAACTTTGTTGTTCTAACACAGGAAACTAAATCTTTAGTTTTATATTAGCATATTTTTAATAGCAAACCTCAGTCTTTAGAAAGACTTATAAATAATTCCCTTCTAATTATAGCCATCTTGATCACACGCAAAATTCCTTTCGTAAATTCATTATTTGCAAACCTTATTATGACTTACTCAGATGTTTTATGACATGTTGAGGCGTTCTGCTTTGTTTGATACCTCTTTTTTTATTTTATCCTTGTCTTCTTGTCTCTGTTTATCTCTCTCATATAGTTTTATAGTTTTCTCATATAGTTTTATAATGAATTTAGACAATGATTTGATTATTTTTCTAGTGTTTATCATTCTCTTATTTGCTGATGACTTACTATGCTTAAGACTGATGAATTGTCTTGTTCAGGGATCTGAAATCCTTTCCAGTTAAAAAGGGACTTGGCCACATTTGTTCCCATGACCCCTAGGGATGCAACCCTCTTGGGATGTTATGTCATCTTCTTCAACCCAAACCTTTTAATTCTACCCCTGGTCAAATATGGATGGGTACATTCTTGTACCTCATGTTTGGTATATTTTGAAAGCAAAGAACCAAGCATTATTTGTAGTCTTTGAAAAAGAGACCCAGCGTACATAAGCAGTGTTTAGTGTTGTAATGAAATAATTCCCAAACAAAAGGAATCTGATACATGTTATTCATATGCACAGTTGTAATCATGCCATATTAACCTAGCAAAAAGCAATCTGCCTGAGTGTTTTCTAGTTAGTGTAGTTGGTAGAGCTTGACTGAAAATTAAAAAAAAATTTTTTTTGAATCTTCAACGTCATAATTGACCCATACTCCCTCTCATTACAGGCTAACGATCCCCTGTCTGAAATGCTTGGGACCAGAAGTGTTTCAGATTTTATATTTTTTGGATTTTGGGATATTTGCATATATATAATGAGATATCTTGGATAGACCCAAGTCTAAACACAAAATTCATTTGTATTTCATGTACACCTTATACAGACAGCCTGAAGGTGATTTTGTACAATATTTTAAATAACTTTGTACATGAAACAAAGTTTTAACTGTGTTTTGTCTGTAGCCTGTCACATGGCTTCAGGTGTGGAATTTTCTTTATATATATATATATTTATTATACTCTAAGTTCTAGGGTACATGTGCACAACGTGCAGGTTTGTTACATATGTATACATGTGCCATGTTGGTGTGCTGCACCCATTAACTCGTCATTTACATTACGTATATCTCCTAATCCTATCCCTCCCCCCTCTCCCCACCCCACAACAGGCCCTGGTGTGTGTGATACCTCTTTTTTTAAAGTAAGCAGTCATTTTACTTTATGACAAAAATTTATCACGCAAGATTCTTCCTTTTTTAAAAAAATTCTCTTTTCTTTTTAACCTTCCGTACCAAAAATACATCTTCATACCCATAACTTTCTTCACATACCTCTCTTCTACTTACTGTTTTTTAAATTTTTTAATTCTTTCAGTCTTCTTAATTTTTTTAATGTTTATTTTTCCATAGGTTATTGGAATACAGGTGGTGTTTGGTTACATGAATAAGTTCTTTAGTGGTGATTTGTGAGATTTTGGTGCACCCATCACCCGAGCAGCATATGCTGCACCATATTTGTAGTCTTTTATCCCTCTTTCCTCTCTCACCCTTACCCCCAAGTTCCCAAAGTCTATTGTGTCATTCTTATGCCTTTGCATCCTCATATCTTAGCTCTCACATGTCAGTGAGAACATACGATGTTTGGTTTTCCATTCCTGAGTTACTTCACTTAGAATAATAGCCTCCAGCCTCATCCAGGTCGCTGTGAATGCCATTAATTCATTCCTTTTTGTGGCTGAGTAGTATTCCATCACATATACATACTACAGTTCCTTTATCCACTTGTTGATTGATGGGCATTTGGGTTGGTTCCACAAGTTTGCAGTTGAAAATTGTACTGCTACAAACATGAGTGTGCAAGTATCTTTTTCGTAGAATGACGTCTTTTCCTCTGGGTAGATACCCAGTAGTGGGATCGCAGGATCAAATAGTAGTTCTACTTTTAGTCCTTTAAGGAATCTCTGCACTGTTTTCCATAGCGGCTGTACTAGTTTACATTCCCACCAGCAGTGTAGAAGTGTCCCCTGATCACTGCATCCACACCAACATCTAATGTTTTTTGATTTTTTGATTATGGCCATTCTTGCAGGGGTAAGGTGGTATCGCATTGTGGTTTTGATTTGCATTTCCCTAATCATTAGTGATGTTGAGCATTTTTTCATATATTTGTTGGCCATTTGCATATCTTCTTTTGAGAATTGTCTATTCATGTCCTTACCCCACTTTTTGATGGGATTGTCTGTTTTTTTCTTGCTGATTTGTTTGAGTTTGTTGTAGATTCTGGATATTAGTCCTTTGTCAGATGTACACATTGTGAAGATTTTCTCTCACTCTGTGGGTTGTCTGTTTACTCTGCTGACTGTTCCTTTTGCTGTGCAGAAGCTCTTTAGCTTAATTATGTCCCAGCTATTTATCTTTGTTTTTATTGCATTTGCTTTTGGGTTCTGGTCATGAAGTCCTCGCCTAAGCCAATGCCTGGAAGGGTTTTTCCAATGTTATTGGAAATTTTTATAGTTTCTAGAATTTTTACAGTTTCAGGTCTTAGATTTAAGTCTTTGATCCATCTTGAGTTGATTTTTGTATAAGATGAGAGATGAAGATCCAGTTTCATTCTCCTACACGTGGCTTGCCAGTTATCCCAGCACCATTTGTTGAATAGGGTGTCCTTTCCCCACTTTACGTTTTTGTTTGCTTTGTCAAAGATCAGTTGGCTGTAAGTACTTGGGTTTATTTCTGGGTTCTCTATTCTGTTACATTGGTCTATGTGCCTATTTTTATACCAGTACCATGCTGTTTTGGTGACTATGGCCTTATAGTAGAGTTTGGAATCAGGCCGTGTGTTGCCTCCAGATTTGTTCTTTTTGCTTAGTCTTGCCTTGGCTATGTAGGCTCTTTTTTGGTTTCATATGAATTTTTTTTTGTGACAGATTCTCATTCTTTTGCCCAGGCTGGAGTACAATGGCACAATCTGGGCTCACTGCAAACCTTCCAGGTTCAAGTGATTCTCCTGCCTCAGCCTCCTGAGTAGTAGCTGGAATTACAGGCACATGCCACCACACCCGGCTAGTTTTTGTATTTTTAGTAGAGATGGGGTTTCACCATGTTGGCCAGGCTGGTCTTGAACTCCTGACCTCAAGTGATCCTACTGCCTTGGCCTCCCAAAGTGCTAGGATTACAGGCATGAGCCACCGTGCCTGGCCTCCATATGAATTTTAGAATTGTTTTTTCTAATTCTGTGAAGAATGATGATGGTATTTTGATGGGGATTGCATTGAATTTGTAGATTGCTTTTGGCAGTGTGGTAATTTTCACAATATTGATTCTACCCATCCATGAGCGTGGTATGTGTTTCCATTTGTTTGTGTCATCTATGATTTCTTTCAGCAGCGTTTTGTAGTTTTCCTTGTAGAGGTCTTTCCCTTCCTTGGTAAGGTATATTTCTAAGTATTTTATTTTATTTTTTGCAGCTATTGTAAAAGGGGTTGAGTTCTTGATTTGATTCTCTGCTTAATTACTGTTGGTGTATAGAGTAGCTACTGATTTGTGTACATTAATCTTCTATCTGGAAACTTTGCTGAATTTTTTTTTCAGTCCTAGGAGCTTTCTGGAGGAGTCTTTAGGGTTTTCCAGGTAAACAATCATATCATCAGTAGTGACAGTTTGACTTTCTCTTTATCGATATGGATGCCCTTTATTTCTTTCCCTTGTCTGATTGCTCTGGCTAGGACTTCCAATACTGTGTTGAAGAGGAGTGGTGACAGTGGGCATCCTTGTCTTGTTTCAATTCTCAGAGGGAATGCTTTCAACTTTTCCCCATTCAGAATTATGTTGTCATGGATGGCTTTTTCTACACTGAGGTATGTCCCTTGGTATGCTGATTTGCTGAGAGTTTTAATCATAAAGCGATGCTGGATTTTGTCAAATGCTGTTTCTGCATCTATTGAGATGATCATGTGATTTTTGTTTTTAATTCTGTTTATGTGGTGTATCACATTAACTGACTTGCGTATGTTAAACCATCCCTGCATCTCTGGTATGAAACCCACTTGATTGGGGTGGATTATCTTTTTGATATGTTGTTGGACTTGGTTAGCTAGCATTTTGTTAAGGATTTCTGGCATCTATCTTCATCAGGGATATCGGTCTGTAGTTTTCTTTTTTGGTTACGTCCTTTCCCGGTTTTGGTATTAGGGTGATGCTGGCTTCATAGAATGAATTAGGGAGGCTTCCCGCTTTCTCTGTCTTGTGGAATAGTACCAATAGGACCAATTCTTCTTTGAATGTCTGGTAGAATTCTACTGTGAATCTGGTCCTGGACTTTTTTTTGTTCTTGGTAATTTTAAAATTACCATTTCAATCTCGCTGCTTGTTATTGGTCTCTTCAGGGTATATAATTCTTCCTGATTTAAGCTAGGAGGGTTGTATTTTCCTGAGAATTTATCCATCTCTTCTAGGTTTTCTAGTTAATGTGTGTAAAGGCGTTCATAGTAGCCTTGAATGATCTTTTGTATTTCTGTGGTGTCAGTTGTAATATTTCCCATTTCGTTTCCTATTGAGGTTATTGGGACTTTCTTCTTTTCTTGGTTAATCTTGCTAATGGTCTATCAATTTTATTTATCTTTTCAGAGAACCAGCTTTTTGTTTCATTTATCTTTTGTATTTTTTTGTCTCAATTTCCTTTAGTTTTGCTCTGATCTTGATTAATTCCTTTCTTCTGCTGGGTTTGGATTTGGTTTGTTCTTGTTTCTCTGGTTCCCTGAGGGGTGACCTTAGAATGTCAATTTGTGCTTTTTCAGTCTTTTCGACGTAGGCGCCTAGGGGTGTGAACTTTCCTCTTGGCACCGCCTTTGCTGTATCCCAGAGGTTTCAACAGGTTGTGTCACTGTTGTTGTTCGGCTTCTTTTGGAGTTTATTTCCTATCATATGGTCACATTCTATTCAACGGCGTATGGAACATTCTCCAAGACAGACCGTATGATAGGCCACAAAGCAAGCCTCAATAAATTTAAGAAAATTGAAATTATATCAAGCACTCTCTCAGACCACAGTGGAATAAAACTGGAAATCAACTCCAAAAGGAACCTTCAAAACCATGCAAATACATGGAAATTAAATAAACTGCTCTTGAATGATTATTGGGTCAAAAACGAAATCAAGATGGAAATTAAAAAAATTTTTGAACCGAAAGCACCAGGTAACCTATAAACGAAAACCTATCAGATTAACAGCAGATTTCTCAGCAGAAACACTACAAGCTAGAAGAGATTGGAGCCCTATCTTCATCCTCCTCCAACAGAACAATTATCAGCCAAGAATTTTGTATCCAGTGAAACTAAGCATGTGGTGCTTTTGTCTCACAGCTCTTAAGATTCTTTCCTTCATCTTAACTTTAGATAACCAGATGACAATGTGCCTAGGTTTTGTAGATTGCTTGTTTTAGTTTTAGTTTTAAAGATCTTTTTGTGATGAATTTCCCAGGTGTTCTTTGTGCTCTTGTATTTAGATGTCTATGTCTCTGGCAAGGCTGGGGAAGCTTCCCTCAATTGTTCCCCCAAACATGTTTTCCAAACTTTTAGATTTCTCTTCGTCCTCAGGGACACCAATTATCTTAGGTTTGTTCATTTAACATAATCCTAGACTTCTTGGAGGCTTTGCTCATATTTTCTTATTCTTTTTTCTTTGTCTTTGTTGGATTGGGTTAATTCAAAGACCTTGTCTTCGAGCTCTGAATTTCTTTCTTCTACTTATTCAGTTCTGTTGCTGAGACTTTCCAGAGCATTTTGCATTTCTATAAGTGTGTCCAATGTTTCCTGAAGTTTTTATTGTTTTTCTTTATGCTATCTATTTCCTTGAACATTTCTCCCTTCACTTCTTGTATCTTTTTTTGGATTTCCTTGCATCGGGCTTTGCCTTTCTCTGGTGCCTCCATGATTAGCTTAATAACCAACCTCCTGAATTCTTTTTCAGGTAAATCAGGGATTTCTTCTTGGTTTGGATCCATTGCTGGTGAGCTAGTGCGATTTTTTGGGGGTGTTAAAGAGCTTTGTTTTGTCATATTACCAGAGCTGGTTTTCTGGTTCCTTCTCATTTGAGTAGGCTCTGTCTGAGGGAAGGTCTGGGGCTGAAGGCTGTTGCTCAGATTCCTTTGTCCCACGGGGTGTTCCCTTGATGTAGCACTCTCCCCCTTTTCCTGTGGATGTGGCTTCCTGAGAGCCGAGCTGTGGTGATTGTTATTTCTCTTCTGGATCTAGCCACCCAGCAAGTCTACCAGGCTCCAGGCTTGTACTGGGGGTTGTCTGCACAGAGTCCTGTGATGTGAACTGTCTGTGGGTTTCTCCGCCGTGCATACCAGCAACTGTCCCAGTGGAGGTGGCGGGGCGGTGAAATGGACTCCATGAAGGTTCTTAGCTTTGGTGGTTTAATGCTCTGTTTTTGTGCTGGTTGGCCTCCTGCCAGGAGATGGCGTTTTCCAGAGAGCATCAGTGGTGGTAGTATGGAGAGGAACCAGCAGTGGGTAGGGCCCTAGAACTCCCAAGAGTATATGCCCTCTGTCTTCAACTACAAGGGTGGGTAGGGAAGGACCATCAGATGCGGGCAGGGCTAGGTGTGTCTGAGCTCACAGAGTCTCCTTGGACAGTTCTTGCTGCAGCTGCTGGGGGGGATGGCTGTGAGGTTCCTAGGTCAATGGAGTTGTGAACCTAGGAGGATTATGACTGCCTCTGCTGAGTCATGCAGGTTGTCAGGGAAGTGGGGAAAGCCGGCAGTCACAGGTGTCACCCAGCTCCCATGCAAACTGAAGGTGGGTCTCACTCACACCATGCCCCTCGCCAACAGCACTGAGTCTGTTTCCAGGCATTGGGCAAGCAGAGAACTTGCCCCAGGCTACCTACTTCCCAGCTATGAAGAAGGGCTTTGGTTGTTCCTCTACCAGTGGGGTCTGCAGGATTCGTGCCCTCCCCTGCGTTCAGCTGGAGACTTCCTTCTCCCTGTGACATTTTCCCTGTGCCTCTGGCCACCCTCCCAAAGTATTCATATGGTGCCATGCAGGAATGGCCTGCCTGGGGACCCAGGAAGCTCCCAGGGCCTTTCCCGCTGCTCCCTGTACCCCTGTATTTCGCTCAGCTTTCTAAATTGACTCAGCTCCAGGTAAGGTTGGAACCTTTTCCCACCAACTAGACCTTTGGTTTCTCTAGTGAGGGTGTGTGTGCAGGATGGACGATCTCCCATTCCCACTTCCACAGTTTGGGCACTCACAGTATTTGGGGTGTCTCTGGGTCCTGCAGGAGCAGGCTGCTTCCTTCACATGGTCTGTGGATCCTCTTGGGATTCCTGATTTATTCCTGCAGTTGTTCTGGAGCTAAAATTCACGGTGCCAGCCTCCACATGTGCTCTGTCCATCCCAGTCGGACTGCAATCTAGTCCTGACTCCTGTCCACCATGATGATCTCTCCCCCTTCATTCTTTTGAATGGCTGTGGAGTTTTCCACGGAATGTTCTGTGGTTTATTGAAACAATTTCCCACTGATGGGCATTTAGTTTGTTTTCAGGTCTTTATGCTGCAAAGCATATTATTGTCCATATACCTTAAAGTTACTTGATCAACTCTATTTGTAGATTAAATTCAGTTCCACATGGCTGGAGAGGCCTTGGGAAACACAGTCGTGGTGGAAGGGGAGCAGGTACGTCTTACGTGGGGGCAGATGAGAGTGGTTCTTTTCCATCTTGTTTTTACTTTTTTCCTAAATCTGTGCTTTGAAACAACCTTTAAACAAACTCCAAATTAGATAAATTTTTTTTTGCAGTAAAATAAATTATAAATGCCTGTCTTATAGTTTTTAAAAATGAAAAACACATCTTATTTTTTGTGGTATACTTTGTAGACAGAATTATATATATTAATTAGAATTTTAACTCTTAGTAACCTTATTTTCTAGCAAGCAAATTTTAACCATTTGTCACATATCACTATTTTATAGATGAGAAAAATTTTATAATTTTTGAAAACATATTTCTATGACATAATTTTTACATATATTAATAGACCCAAATAAATTTAGTCTTTCTACAAAATTTCTATAAAATTTAAGAAGCCAAGAACAAACATTTATGTTCAGTAATTTGTGTTAGTTTTAAAAATCTTATTTGGAAATGACCCAGACATTTAATGAGTATCTATTATTTAACTGAAGATAACATAATTTTAAGATCTTAAATTACATAAGAAGCTTATTTATAAACATTTATTTTCTTGACATTTATCTTATTTATTTATTTATTTTAGTGATGGGGGTCTTGTTGCATCGCTCAGGGTGGTCTGAACTTCCGGGCTCAAGCAATCCTCCCACCTCAGCCTCCTGAGTAGCTAGGACTATAGGCGTGTGCCATGACACCAGGCTTAATTAATTTATTTTTAATAATTTACCTAGATTACTTATGAAAATTGAGATATTAGACAAAGCTAGCCATTACTTAAAGTTATTTCCCTTTTAACCATTTTTATAGCCTGTGATTATTAGATGTTCACTTAGTAAGAAACTTAGTGAAGTGTATGGGTATTTTGTCGATAGCTCATAAGATACAGCTGTTTTTATTAAGCCTGCAATATTAAATTAGCCTTTTTTTTTTTTTTTGAGATGGAGTCTCGCTGTTGCCTAGGCTGGAGTGCAGTGGCGCTCTCTTGGCTCATTGCAACCTCTGCCTCCCGGGTTCCAGTGACTTTCCTGCCTCAGGCTCCCAAGTAGCTGGGATTATGCCCACCACCACACCTGGCTAATTTTGTACTTTTAGTAGGGATGGGGTTTTGCTGTGTTGGCCAGGCTGGTCTCAAAGTCCTGACCTCTAGTCATCTGCCCACCTTGGCCTCCCAAAGTGCTGGAATTACAGGCATGAACCACCGCACTCAGCCAAATTAGTCTTATTTATCAAAGATCATACAAAGATTATTCTGTTTTAGGATGGGTTTATAGTTTTATCATCTTTGTGTCAAACCCTGACATCTTAAAACATCTATCAGAGACAAATATAAAGCTGTCTGACGAGTAAACTCAGGGAAAAATATATGCTGACAATTCTGAGAACATTTGTATTTTTATTTTACCAACAATTTTAAAACTGATTTGTTTATTAAAGATATACTTAAGTCACATGAACTAAAAGGCATTTGGGTTAATTAGTACATATTTTTTATGAATGCTTATTTATCTAAGCCAATCTAAATAGAATCCCTTAATAGATTTTTTGTTGATGATGCCAGATTTTACCATGTAGATAACAACATACAACATAATACACATACATATGCATAAACACAATTAACCACATACGCACACAAATAAAGACACTGTAGCTTTCATTTTAGAATTTTGGTCATGAGATAATAACACAAATGTGTCAGTTTCTAAAAGACACTTCAATCCAAATTATATTTTTGACAAAACTGGGACTTGTTCACAAGCTAAACTTTATTTGTCCTGATGGGTCGTCTAATGAGGGCCATGGATCAGAATTTTGGGTAAAGCAGTTTCTGCATTAGTTTGATTTCAAAAGACCTTTTTCAGTTTTAAATGAATTTAAGGTTAAATTTCCAGTGATTGCGTTTTAGCTAGGACTGGCTGAATTGTATATGAAAAACAAAATCTTCAACTCGTCTATACTAGTAACAAATCTATTTTTTGGTTGCTGGTCTGATTTTCTGGACTAGACAATGCATGCAGGGAAGCATTTAGCAGTGTTTTTCCTTTTTCTGGCACCTGTGGCAAAGCAAAATTTTTATGGCAGACAGAGATACCTTATATTACTGCTCTAAGCTCAAGATTTTGGCCTGTTCGATCTGAAAGCCCAATTTCTGTAAATATTTACCTAGTTCTGTTCTTTGAGACCATCAGTCCTTCAGTTAGCTATTCCATCAGCCTAAGCAGTTGTTAGCCAAGCAAAGCTAATCTACATTTTCAAAAGAAATGACTCTTACATCTAGGTCATTGGTTACCATAGAGCTGTTGTAATTTGTAAAGCCACTAATTTAAAACCTTTAGGAAACTTTAAAAAATCTTGGGCCAGGCACGGTGGCACACGCCTATAGTTTTAGCACTTTGGGAGGCCAAGGCAGGTGGATCACTTGAGGTCAGGAGTTCAAGACGAGCTTGGCCAACACAGTGAAAGCCTGTCTCTACTAAAATACAAAAATTAGCTGGGCATGGTGGCGGGCACCTGTAATCAGCTACTCAGGAGGCTGAGGCAGGAGAATCACTTGAACCCGAGAGGCAGAGGTTGCAGCGACCCAAGATAGCGCCACTGCATTCCAGCCTGGGTGACAGAGTGAGACTCCATCTAAAAAAACAAAAAACAAAAAACAAACAAACAAAAAACCAAAAATATCTTGGCTGGAATGCTGTAACCAGTGAGTTTTATTGCAACATGAGTAAAAAAGTCAGCAGATTTAAAGTAGGCAGAAAAACAAAATAGAGAGATAGAGGACTTAGGAGGCACTGCATGATGACTACTGTTGCAGGGTTTTTGTTAGAGTTCGAAAAATAACCATTGGAACTCTAAATTTTCCTTGACGTAATTTGCCCATTAGTTTAAAAATGTGCACAAAGACGTAGCCAGCGGGAGTTCCAGAAAACTTACTGTGCCTTAATATTTAAAAACCATTCCCCTTCTTATTAATCTTTTTACAGTAAAGAACATTCTACAGATACTATGAGGCCACGCCGGCAGTTTGGACTGGTGCTTTAGACGGTGGTGACTGCTGTAGCAGCTTCTAATGAGACAGCCTGTGCCCACCATTTAGAATGTTTATTTTGCTCTCCAAAGATTTTTAGAAGCAAGCAGAGGAAAAGAGCCAGGTCATTTACAGATACACATAACCACAGCAAAAGAAGGCAAGATAAGGGTGCTCACAAATATGTTCACCCAGGCATGCATATCCAACAAAGTATTAAAGGAGGCACCTCACCAGAGAAGACATCCCTCAGAGACAGAATGCAAACTCTGTGGAAACCAGAGTACTCAGGCTGGAATGTCTTTATGCTAAACAGGACTTGCCAGAAAGCACGAAAAGCCTTTTATCATCCCAGGAGGGACATAAGGTCCTTTATTAAGGCAGTCTAATAAACAAACCCCACATAATATTAAAAAAGCATCTTCCAAAAAGAGGGAGGGTTGGCCTGAGAGAAGACGGAGTAGCTCAGAAAAAGCTGAGAGCTCAAAGGGCTCAAGTGAATACTGCACACCGGCCCAAGAATTACTGACTCCTTCCAGCAGTGATCCTTCTCCACATCCCACTTCTGACTCCATGTATCTCAATCTAAATAACAAGAGAAATGCCGTCTAAAAGAAAAAGATATCTATTTGGAGGTAGAGCACTGCAGTGGGATACACCTGCCATGATCAGCTATGTGCGTATTCAGGGAGGCAAAGGGAGACCAAGGCTTTCAAAGGAAAAATGAGGAGGATTACATGATTGCTTTGAGATAATTACCCTCTCTACAAGGACCAATAACAAAGGCAATGCCAGTCTGAGGTTGGACAGCCCGTTGCTGGGAAGATGTCCTCACAGAAGTACTTTCTGTGTAAGGTTGTGATGGTCTTTGTGCCAGTTGCAGTTTTTGTAGAGTCCTTGGTGATAGTTTTTGTTATCAAGTGTTTATGGATGAGAACCCTCTTCTCTTCTTGGCCTTCCTAGGCTCTATTTGTCAGGGATTTAGAAAAAAAAAAAACCACAGGTGACTCAATTTTGATTCTGATGACTTCCACATACTACAGACGTGGTGGCTGAGAAACAACAGAAACTTATTTCCCACCATTCTGGAGGCTGAATGTCCCAGACCAAGGCTCCAGCCGATGGGTGTCTGGTGAGGCCTGCATCCCAGCTCATAGACGGCATCTCCTCACAGGGGAGAAAGGGTGAGGGAGCTCTCTGGGGCCCCTCTCATAAGGGTGCTAATCCTCTTCATGAGGGCCCCCCTTTTATGACCTCAGCACCCCCAAAAGCCCCATCTTCTAATACCATTACATTGGAGGTTAGGATTTCAGGGGGAAAGGTATGAATATACGAATGTATGAATTTCAGGAGGACACAAATGTTCAGCCCACAGCAGATGATAACAGGAGGTCCGACCAATACCTGGGTCCTTGCTGAGCCCCTTTCAGATAGGATTTTACTCACTTCTCACCTCACTCTACTTGACAGGTGTATTTTCACCCCATTCTGATGAGGAAATGGAGGTACGGAGTTCAGGCTCTTGCCCACAGTCATGCAGACAGTAAGAGGTGCAGGCTCTCGATACACACAGAACAGGCTCCATGTGCAAGGTTGTTCCCGTGCCATCCTGTCATGGCGTGTGCATGCATAAGTGTGCATGTCTGTGTGTATGCGCGTGCACGAGCATGTGTGTCTTTGATGCCTATGTGCACTTGTGTGTGTGCAGGTGCACGTCCGTGTATGTGCATGCAGATGTGTGTGTCTGCAGACCTGCACATGCATGCCTTGTGCATGTGTGCCCATGCCTGTGCATCTGCCTGTTTGCATGTGAGTGTACTGCATGTGTGTGCATATATGTTTATTCGTGAGCTGTGCACATGTGCATGTGTGCATAGATGCTTGTGTGCATGTGTGTGCATGTACGAGTGAGCGTGAAATGTTTGTGTTTGGTGTGGGGAGGGGCGTTTCTTAACCCATTAACTTCAGAGCAAGGTCTCCGCTCAGTTCTTGCTGTGACAGCTTTGGCTATTGCGTTCCCTGTTGCTGCTGACACCCCAAACTCCCTTCCCATTGCCGTTAGCTCCCTGTGTCCTTTAACTTGAGGTGAATCCAGACCACTGGGACAAAGAACAGGAGGCAGGTGAAATGAACCAAAGTGTGTTTATGGGGAGGCCAGCGGGCTGCAGGTGGGACTAGCTGGCTCTGGGGGAAGCACAGGAAGGAGGCATGGGGGTTAGGGCCGGGGCAGGGGTGTAGCTGGCTCTCGGGGAAGCATGGGAAGGAGGCACAGGGGTTAGGGCCGGGGCAGGGGGGCTCTGATTCGCCTGCGGAGTGATGGGTGCCCGTCCCCCTGGTCTAGAAGACTGGGTTCTGTGGCGGACAGAGGGGAGCCGGGGGCAGGGGCTGGCGCATCTTCCTGCACACAGAAGAGTCCAGGGTGGGTCCTTTCTGCTCTCTGGTAGCCACAGATGAGGTACAGAGGCTGCTTCCCTTCTCTGCAGGTACAGGGCGTCCTGCTCTTCTGGGGCTACTTCACCTGAAAGACAGCCCCTGGGGTCAGACAGGGGGCTAGAAGCCTGAGGGGTGGAGGGGCAGGGGAGACAGAGGAGCAGGGGAGGGGGTGTTGTCCTTTATCCACAGGGTCAAGAGGGCCTTCGACAGTGTCCACAGGCCACAGAGGGCCTGCATGTCCTCCAGGCTCCCTCAGCCCTGCCTCTGCCTGGTCCAGGATCCCTGGACCAACTCTGGCATGTCCCCTGGAAGGGCACCTTGCCCCACACCCACCCCGAGGGTCACTGAGAGCCTGGCCGCTCCCCTGACCTTGATGAAAGTGACAATGCCGCTGTAGAGGAGGGTGAGGATGAAGAGGGCCACAAACGTGGACAGGGTGGTCCACAGGCTGCCCACATCATCAAAGGTCGTGTAGTCATCGCTGTTCTCATCCTTGCTCTGAGGGATCAGGGGGGTCATGGCCAGGTCTGGGGAGGAACGGGGGCTGAGTGAGAAGCTCCCTGGTCATGAGGGCCAGGCTACCCCTCCACCCACCCCCGCACAGCGTGGAGCTGAAATGACGGCGAGTCTTCCCAGGAGGCGTGGTTATCTCCAGGGAGCTCCCAGCCTCACCCTCTTGCTCATATGTCCCCTCGACAAATCTCTGCCTACTGTGTCCTCCCCGCCTGGACTTGTCGCTGCCCTGAGTGGGGCAGACAGACAGAACCATAGACTCTCATGGATTGGGCTCCCGTGACAAAGGTGACGGGAGGCTGGGGCACTTCTGCACACCTGCACACAGGGAGGCCTTCCTTAGGAAGTGGCCACTGTGACAAGGTGTGGAAGGCAAGACACAGCCGGGCAGCAAGGAGAGAGTGGCTTCTCCGCAGCGGGGAAAGCAGGTGCCCTGAACTGGGGGTGCTGACTAAGGAGGGTGGAAAGGGGCCCAGGAGGGGATATCCAGGCAAGGTGATTTTATCCCAGCAGCAGGAGGGAGCCATGGAAGGGGGCTAAGCAAGGGTCTGTCATGAGCAAATGTGTGTATAGAAGGTCATCTCCAGCTGGAGACGGCAGTGGGGCCCAAGGCAAGCCTAGGCCGGGAAAAACGCTTCCATGGCAAGCACAGCCCCATCCACGAGGAAGAGCCTGTGGGCAGGCAGGAAGCATTGACAAGAACCAGCCACGTCACAGACTTCCTAGAGTTCATTCAACAAGAGTTTATTGTGGTTGTACTGTGAGCTCGGCCAGAGCTGCTGAGTGGCGGGTGTGGACGGATCTGGTCCGGGATCATTTCATGGGGCCATGGTCTGTTACATCTAATAACAAAAAATCGGCGTGTCTTTCTGTTCATATCATTTTTCTAGTATTTCTTATTGCATTTTACAAAGGCATTGCTTTGTGAAGAACTGGAAATTGAGAAAGAAGCCGGATCCTCTGCCACAGATAATGTGAGACACGTGGACACAGCGTGTGTAGTCTGGGTGGGTCAGGGAGCTCCTGCCCTGCTCTCTCAAGTGGAGACCGGGGTGCTCAGATACCTGCACCCCTCCCGCCCATGCACACACAGGAGCCCCTCCTAGCACCAACTCACTTCCTCCTCACAGCAGCCCAGGACGTGGCCCCTGCTGGCTCAGCAGACAAGAGGGGAAATCGAGGCAAGAAAGGCATAGGGGCTTCCTTGACCAAGGCGCCAGGGTTCTCTGTGGGATAAGCCTCAGCTCTAACCACTGCACCATCTGGGCCTCACTGCCTGGGAGGGAGACTTGTGCTTGGGGGCACAAGGGTACACTCGGATATCCTAGGTACACACGGGTGTGCACACACACCCTCACCCCATAGTACTGCAACCTGGGGCCCTGGAGCATGGTGGCAGGGCAGCTTCCAGCCTCTCCCAGGTCTGGCCAGGTGGATGGTCCAGGCTAACCTGTGAGATCCCAGACTGTCTGTGCCTGGGGATGGCCGGCCAGCTGGGCGTGGGAGCCTGGGGGAGGGTCAGCATGGAGCCGGTGGTTGGGGGTGGATAGGCAAGGTCAGGAGGCCATGGCAATGATGGGAATCTGTAGGCCGAACCTGGGCCCCAGCACAGATGGGGCCCCGAAGGGGAGGGGGCAGTGGACAGGGAGTCCCGGTTCCAGGTGGGCAGCCATGGGTTGGGGCTGCAGCTTCGGGGAAGACCCTCTGGCGGGGACAGGGAGGTTGGGGGACTGAGAAGCAGCTGCTGCTGCAGGGGGCAGTCCCTGCAGGGTCAGGTTGGGCTGCTGCCCCCCAGGTTGCCCACTGCTGTGGGGCCCATCTGTGTGAGGCAGGCAGGGTCAGACACTGTCCTCAGAGGGGGTTCTCTGTGAGGCCACCTCACAGGGTCGCTTCTGGGGAAGGCCCATGCCGGGTCAGGGCTGCTGGCAGCCCCTCGGGCCAAAAGAGCCTGGGACAGCCCTCAGCCCTGCCCCTTGTTGACTTGGGTGTCTTCCTTTCCTTGGCTCTGCAGGGTGGCCGGGGGCCTGGGTGCCTGGCTCCAGCTTACACCAGGGGCCCTTCCATGCCTCCCTTGGCTGGACAGCTGGGGCATAGGCAGCAGGCCCTGAGCAGGGCGGACAGCCTCCTGCTGTGTGTACAGCCCCTCGTGGCCACCACATCCCACTGGGGCCATGCTCGGGCAGTGGGCGCACTGGTCTGTGTGCCATGCCTCAAGGGGGCGGAAAAGGGTGGGCCTGGCAGGAGGCTGGGGGCTGTCACTCTGGGTGGGCGCCCATTATGGGCATGTGTGGGGCTGACCTTTCGCTGGGCACTGAGCCCAAGCCTGACATCTGGGGGTCTCTGGAGACCCCTCTGGCTCCCAGAGGTGCTGACTGTGGTCTTGGACAGTCAGATGTCCCCAGAGAGGGCAGCTGTTCAGGGTGACCACATTCACGGTCACACCAGGGAAGGCCTGTGCCCAGCACCCAGCCGTGGGGAATGTCTTGGGAGGAAACCGCCACTCCTCAGGGCACGGCGAGGGGTTGTATCCACCTCTTACACTGTGCCAGCCAGCCTGGGCCAGCACGTGGTGTGGACAGCAAGGATGGACGCTGGGACATCCATGGCCCAGGAGTACTGGGAAGTCTGTGCTCCTGCCGGACACCGAGAAGGGGCCTGTGTGCCCAGGACAGCCTAGCCCCGCCCCTGCCCAGTGCCCACCCCTGCCTAGTATGGATTCCAGCTCCTTATGGCCCCCCTCAGAGTCCCCGTCCCAACCCTGGGCCTGGGGGTGACTCACAGCTGACTTCTAGGCTCCGGCTGGCGTTGAGCAGAGTCCGGGAGTCCTCGTGGCTGACCACACACGTGTAGGTGGCTGGCTGAGGGCTGGGCGGGGCTGGGACACGCAGCACACTCCAGGCCCAGAACGTGGTGCTCCTGGGCTGTGGAGGGGGGCGTGCGGGGGCAAACCCAGAAGTGTTCACCTCACGCTGGTCCTCCAGCCACATCAGGAGGATGTTGGGGGGCGAGAAGCCAGACACCTCACACAGGAGCCACGAGGCCGCCTCGGGAGGGTCAGACGAGGCCAGCAGGTTCAGGGAAAGCTTGACGGGTGCCTGCGCAGCTGCGGGGAGGTGGGGGAGGCTGTCAGGCTCTGGCCACGGGGGCACTGGGAGAGAAGTGGGGCCGGCCAGGGTGCTGGTGCCTCCCTTCTCCTTTCCTGTGGAGGATGACCGGTGCTGCTGGGGCCCAGCTGGGGTCATGGCCCTGGGGCAGGCGTAGGGGTCAGCAGGCTGTGGGCACCCTCGTCTCCCCACCTGGGAGCCAGGCTCACCGGGTTCTCTCAGCGCCATCAACCTCTGGGGTGGGAGGCTGGGATGGTTCAGTGTGCAGGTGACGGAGGTCCCCGCGTTCCACAAGGACCTGGGCAGGGTCAGACGGCTGTGCTGGCTCTGGGAGCCGTTGCTGTGCCGCTCCAGCAGCCCTTCCTCCACGCCCCCTGTGGGGACCTTCCCAGCCACCTCCCAGGTCAGGTGAGCATCCTTCAGGTCACTGCCCACCACGAAGCAGGTGAAGGTGGCTTTGTCCCGGAGCCACAGGTCCTGCACTGCAGGGGTTAGCAGGTAGACGCCAAGAGGCTGGGTGTGGCTCGGACACTCTGCAGGGGAGAGCAAACGAGAGCAGCTGTGGCCGGACCTTCGGGAGCAGTAGGCTCCCGCCCGGGGCTCTGCACAGAGCTCCACAGTGGCCTCCCCCTGAGTGTGGTGCCTGCCTGCACGGCCAGGCACACAGACCCTGTCTCCAGGGGCTGGGGGATCTGTGGGCAAAGACCCGTTGAGCCATGGGCGGTGCCACTCTTGGTCACTGTCCGGCCCTGGGGCTGCTGCCCGCTCTTCCCTGAGCAGACTCGGGCCTTCGTTGCTTCCAGAGCTCTCTGCTCTGTGGCTGCCAGGCCGGGACTCATCCACAGGCCAGGTTTTTCTGGTGCCGTCTCCCTGCAGGGACTGACTTAACCACTGTGCTCTCCTCTCCCCAGCTTCTGGCCAGGTGTGGCCAGTGGAGGGCACTGGGGAGGAGGCGGTGTGGGGGACACCCTGGTCAGAGGCACAGAGGCTGGGCATGGAGCCTGGGACTCCCCCTCAGCCTGCCCCTGACCCATGTGGCAGAGCCCTCTGAGGGGCCTGAGGGGCCCCACGCCTCTAAGAGCTCCTTCCTCAGTGCTCCCTGAGTTCGGGGGGACCCTGACTGTCCTCGTGGGGGTCCTCAGGGGTCACGAGTTTCTAAGTGTCCGGGGCCCATCCACATAACAGCAATCGCTTCAATAGTTTAGGGCACCAACGGCCAACTAGTTATTGGGCAATAGGTGTTTTGATAGCCCAGGGGTCAGAAAAAACCTGGTGTCTTTGTCTCTCTCTCTTCTTGTTCCTCTTTCTCCTTCTCCTTCTTCTTCTCTTCTCCTCCTCTTCCTAAAAATTTTTAATTGACAAAAATTATACATGTTTATCATATACAACACAATGTTTGAAATATGTGTACATTGTGGAATGGCTAAATCCAGCTAATGACCATGCAGTATCTCACATACGTGTCACTTTTTGTGTCAAGAACACTTAAAAACTATTTTCTTAGCGGTTTTCAAGGATACAATCCGTTGTTACTAACCACTGTCCCCATGTACAAGGGATGTCCTGAACTAATTCCTCCCAACTGCAGTTTTGTGCCCTTTGACCAACATCTCCCCAGCCACCAGTGCCCGCTCCCTGGCACCACCTCTCTACTGTCTGCCTCTAAGAGTTTGCCTTTTTAACCTGCCAGATGTAAGTGCAATCATGCAGTATTGCTCCTTCTGTGCCTGGCTTATTTCACTTAGCATAAGTGTCCTTCAGGTTCATCTACATTGTTGCCAATGACAGAATTTCACTGTTTTTAAAGGCTGAATCGTATTCCATTGTGCCCCATACGTACCACATTTTCTTTACCTGTGCATCTGCTGAGGGGTGCTTAGGTTGGTTCTGTATCTTGGCTTTTGTGACTAGTGCTGCCTGAGCTTTTGGGATCATATCCAAAAATCGTTGCTCAGACTAATGTCATGGAGTTTTCCCCCTATGTTTTCTTCTAGTAGCTTTATCTGTTCAGTTAAACCTTTAGACTGTTTTCTTTTCTTTTTTTTTTTTTTTTTTTTGAGACAGTCTCGCTCCATTGCCCAGGCTGGAATGCAGTGGCGCAATCTTGGCTCCCTGCAACCTTCACCTCCCGGATTCAAGCGATTCTCCTGCCTCAGCCTCCTGAAAAGCTGGGATAACAGACGTAGGCCACCATGTGCTAATTTTTGTATTTTTAGTGGAGACCGGGTTTCGCCATGTTGGCCAAGCTGGTCTCGAACTCCTGACCTCAGGTGATCCGCCTGTCTCGGCCTCCCAAAGTGCTGGGATTACCGGCATGAGCCACCGCGCCTGGCCTAGACTGTTTTCAATTGATTTTTGTGTAGTTTCATTAGTCTGCACATGGATATCCAGTTTCCCCAGCACTATTTATTGAGGAAACTGTCCTCTCCCCATTGTGTTTTCCTGGTGCCTTTGTTGAAAATCAATGGACTGCAAGCATGTAGATTTATTTCTGGGCTCGCTTTTCTGTTCCATGGGTCTGTGTGTCTGTTTTTATGATCCTGTTTTGATTACAACTGCTTTATAGTATGTTTTGAAGTCAGGTACTGGGATGTTTCCTGCCTTGTTCTTTCAGCTCAAAACTGTTCTGGCTTTTGGGGTTGCATTGAACTCCTCTTTTTCCCCTTCCCTGCTTTCCTCTCCCCTCCTCTCTTCCTCTTCCTCCTCCATCCCACTACAACTGTAAAGACATTTCTAGGCCACACAAAACAGCCCCCGGCTGCATCTGGCCTGTGGGTCACCGTCCACGGGGTCATGCCATAACCCTGGCTGTGTCTGGGTCAGTTGGGTCCTCCAGGTGGGGCAGTGCAGACCAGACCTGAGGGCTTAGCTGCTGAGGTCAGCACACCTCAGGCACCGCCCGTGAAGGGTCATCTTTAACTGGATGCCGTCCAGGCCCCAGGGCAGGGGGCCCTAGCCTGTCTGCACCCCATGTTGTTGTGGGAAATCGAGGTGCCAGGAAGCAGCGCCGTGGTCTGAGTAAGAGCACTTGGCTGTCTTCTTGGAGGCTGCCCAGGGGAAGGCCCCTCCACCAGCAGCCAAGGCCGTGGGGTGAGTGACTTGGCTCCAGAGCTGGCTGCTAATGCACTCAACTTGTTTTGTTGCTGAGTCTCCACTGCCCATGAGGAGGGTGGAGAGGGACAAGTGCAGATGCCCGGGTCAGGGAGCAGCTGCCCTCACCTTTCTCATGGGAAGCTCTGGCCCTTGTGCTGTGTCCATCTCCCTGCATTTGATAGGCCCACCCCAAGCCTAGGAGCTAGGTGTGTTTAGAGACGGGAATGTCGTGTTTCTGCACCTGCAGAGTGGAGGCAGATTCTGGCCCAGGGTGAGGGCACCGTGGCCACTCATCCAAGCAGGGGCCACCATGGCTGTGCCATGCCTTTGTCAGAGCTTGACCCACATCCCAGAGGGTGGCTGAGGGACAGTCATTCTGCCTGTTGGTCCAGCCCACCTCACTGCTGCTTCTCCTAACAGCTTCCTGCCCTACTCAGAGAAAGTCAGGCACGTACCCGAGTTCTCCCGAACACTGAACCCGTCCCCCCGGCCACATGGACATCTCAGGCAGGTCAGAGTCACAAGCCTCAGACTTCTCAGATAAAGTTCTTGGTGAGGGCCCTCTTTCCCCTGCCATTCTGAGGTGGCAGGCAGGGTGAGGGTGAGAAGCAGGCTGGCCACCAAGATCCAACACTTGGAGAGAGCCAGGCTGGGGCGGGCGGGAGGCGAGGGTCACGGGGAGGGGCTGCTGCGGCCCAAGTGACCTGTGAGTCTGCAAGCCGGACTGCCTCGGCAGGGTGGCTCTATGTGAGGCTGCGCTGAGAGCCCATGCCTCAGCTCAGCGAGGCAGAGCTGGGTCCATGGGCCAGGGAGCCGGCCCAGGTCTGCTCTGGGAGTCTGCTGGTTGTTTGGCATCTGCTGGCCCCCAGACTGGGGCTGGCTGGCAGTAGGTGTTTGTTAGAGGTCCGTTCAGTGTCCCTCTCCTTACCAAAGTGTGACTTGGAGACTCAGACAAGGAGTTATGAAGGGCTGCCTGGAGGAGGCGGCTGAGGAATGAGCAGGTGGGTGGGGGTGGAGTGTGCAGGGAAGGGGCTTCTCACCTGTGTTACGGGTGGTGGCTGGGGCTGTGGTTGCCTTGGCGAGGCTGCCCTCTGCTTGGGGTTGTGCAGTGGGCACTGAGGAGGCCTGTGCCTTTGGAGACTCTGAAATCCAAGGAAAAGTGCAGGTGAGGCTGAGGGCAGAGGGCATGGATGTACCAGAGGCTGGGTTGTGGACAGGCAGGTGGGGGGCACAGGCAGCCAAGCAGGAAGAAGGGAGGGGCCGCAGCATGGGGTGGGAGCTTGGCTGTGGGAAGCCCACTAGACAGTCACCTTTGCTGGGCAAGCTGCCTCCGTGCACACTGAGGGAAGGGTCTGGAAGGAAAGTGATCTGGGTATTGGGAGATGGGCCTCAGAGAGAGGGAGCGGAGGGACTGAGATGGGGAGGGTCCGGAGGGGTGGATACAGGGTGAAGGGGGAGGAACGTGCTCTGAGGGGGAGGTGGGGGTTGCCTCACAGCCCAGCCCTTGCTTCTGTCTTTGTGGTCAGGCCCTGAGTGGAAGGTGCTGGGGGTCCTGGGGGGCCCTTCTGGGTGATCTCCGGTGCGACCTACCTGGCCAGCGGAAGATCTCCTTCTTACTCTTGCTGGCGGTGTGCTGGACCACGCATTTGTACTCGCCTTGGCGCCACTGCTGGAGGGGGGTGGAGAGCTGGCTGCTTGTCATGTAGTAGCTGTCCCGTCTTTGTATCTCAGGGAAGGTTCTCTGGGGCTGGCTCTGTGTCCCCATGTACCAGGTGACAGTCACGGACGTTGGGTGGTACCCAGTTATCAAGCATGCCAGGACCACAGGGCTGTTATCCTTTGGGTGTCTGCACCCTGATATGATGGGGAACACATCCGGAGCCTTGGTGGGTGCTGGAAGACAGACACAGTGGGAGTCTGAGGCTGGAGGCTCTGAGGACAAGGGGCAGGGCAGGGCAGAGGACCCTGGCAGCAGGGTGACAGGGAAGGCAGGGAAAAGGGGCCCAGGAGGAGTGCCCAGGGTGAGCGGGGCTGACCAAGTGGCCCGTGAACACGAATGCCCCTGCTGCCGCTCCTGTGTTGTGAGTCAGAATAACCGAGTGGGACCTGTGGCTTTGTGGACCCTGGGCTCTTGTTGCCGAGAGCTCCTGGAAGGGAGGGGTCTTCCCTCCAGAGGCTTTGGTGCCCCTCTGGGCATTCCTGGGACCTCCACCTTCCCTGCTGCCCCCAACCTCTCTGGAACCCACTTCCCTTGGGCCCCTGAGGGGAGGAGGGGCACTCAAGCCTGGGAGCAACGGGCCTAGGGCTGTATGACCCTCCTGCCCAGGCTCCCAGCCACGGGTCCTCAGCTGCCCTGCAGGGGCCATGGGGTCCCTGTGGAGGGCCATGCGTCTGGCCCTCTGAGTGGCTCCGGAGGAGCTGGTGGGATTGGATGCTCCTCTCCCTGATTCCTGGCCCCAGGGGCTCTGCTGCCTGGGATAAACCCATGAGCTGACCTGGCCCCTTGTAAGGGGTGTTACTCATGGACAGCAGGCTGTAGGGTGGCAGGTCCCAGAATGTGTGGCTGCCTGCTGGGCTTGGCTCTCAGCCTCACTTTCCTGGAGACCTGGGTACCCAGGGCAGCTGAGCAAGTGCAGGGTTCTTGCCTGGGTCCCTGGAGGCCCCAGGTGCTCCGTCTTAGTCTAACCTTCTACTCACCCCCTGCCTCCACCCATGTCTGCCCACCACCACACTGACTATTGCTGCTCAGGTGGGGCCAGGTGTTCCCGTTCTTTGGCCTGGTACGCAAGGTCATCTGGTGTGGCGGTGGCCCCATCCTCCTTCCCTTCTCCCTTGGGGCAGAAACTGTCGCCCTGCTTTCCCAAATTCTGGATGACCCTCCTCTTCTCCCCATTTACATCCTTTATCCTGGGATTTTCTGAGCAGGATTGTCAACCCATTGTCAACCCTCCACATCCTAGGCAGTATTCACGGCCCATCTCAGAATCTTCCACCTGAACAGTGTGTTCCTAATTCCCTTCCTCGAGCCACCTCTTGGACCCCTCTGGGCTGTTTTCATTTTTCCCTGAGGTTCTGGGATGTCAGCCCTGCCAGGCCTCCCTCTACAGCACCACTGGTGAGACACTAGGGATGGGTCTTGTTATGGGTTGAGTTGTGTCTCCAAATAAATGGACGTGTTGAAGCTCTGACCCGTAGGGCCTCAGAATGTGCCCTTCTTTGGAAGCAGAGTTTTGCAGATGCAATCAAGTTAAGATGAGGTCACGCTGGAGGCAGGTGAGCCTCTGACCCAATATGGCTGGTGTCCTTATGCAAAGTGGAAATTTAGACACAGACATGCACGCAGGCAGAATGCCATGTGAAGGTAAAGATGGAGGCGGAGGAGCTGTTTCCAAAAGCCAAGGAACACCAAAGCTTTCCAGCAAACCAACAAAAGCCAGGACAGACACCTGGAACAGATTCTCCCTGCCAACCCAGGGGAGCCAACCCTGCCCACAGCTTGATCTCAGACACCTGGCCTCCAGAAATGAGACAGAATACACTTCTGTTGTTTCAGCCATGCAGTTGTGGTACTTTGTTACAATAGCTCATAAGAAACTAAAACAGATTTTGGCTTTAGAAGTGGTGGCTTAAGAGAAGCAATTAAGACCAATTCGCCTTCTAGTGGAAATAAGACATCAAATACAAAGTTTTAAGAGAAGTGAATGCAGCAGCGGCGGCTGCCTGTCTCTTACCATGTCGGGTGCCTGGTCACTGCGAACCTTGCAAAAGCTTTGGCATGGAATCATTCCTCCAAGTCCATTAACAAGGGCTGGGGCCTGAGCAGCCAGTCGGCCCGGCGGCAGAAGCCACGCATCCCAGCTCCGGGTAGTCCGGGGAGACCCAAAGCCCAGGCCGGGCCTGGCAGCCACCCTCCCAGAGCCTCCACTAGGCCAGTCCTGCTGACGCCGCATCAGTGATTCTGAACAGAATCTGTCCTTCTAAGGTGTCTCCACAGTCCTGTCTTCAGCACTATCTGACTGAGTTTTCTCTTATGCCACCAACTAACATGCTTAACTGAAATAATTCAGGGTAATGATTTATTTATCTGATTTAATTGATACCTAAAACTGTGGAAATGAATTTGGGATAGGGTAATGTGTAGAGGTGAGAAGAGTTTTCAGGTGCATGTTAGAAAAAGCCTAGATTTCCTTGAAGACTATGGTAGAAATTTGGACATTGAAGGTGATCCTGGTGGGGGCTCAGAAAGAAAGAGGAGAGCTATAGAGAAAACTCCTGTCATCTTAGAGAATACATAAATTGTCACAAACAGAATGTTGCTAGAAATGTGAATGTTAAAGATGCCTCTGGTGAGGCCCCAGACAGAAATGAGGAAGATGTTATTGAAAATTGGAGGAAAGGTGACCTTTGTTAGAAAGTGGCAAAGCACTTGGCTGAATTGCATTCTATTTATGGTAAGTAGGACTTACAAGTGATGAACCTGGATTTTAGCTGAGGATATTTCTAAGAAAAGTGTTGAAGGCACAACCTGATTTCTCCTGACTGCTTATAGTAAAAAGTGAGAGAAAGTGTTCAGTAAACAGGACCCACAACTTGAACAGCTGGAAAATTCTCAGCCTGTCCAATAGCATGCTCTGGAAACAAGGCCAAGGATGTGTCTGGGCAACCATTTGTTAAAGAGATTGGAATCATGACTTATGGATCCAATCAACCATCTCAGCAGAAACCAGGAGTAGAGATAAGGTTATTGAGGATATAACTGTGCAGGGCTCTCTTGTCTGATGACTCAAACCCCCAGGAATTTCATGGGAAGCTGACAAGGATTTTGTGAATTGTAAAACAGAAGAAACAATGCCAATTGGATGGAAGGGAAAGAAGACCAGAAAAAATGAAGGAAGGGTGACTTTGAGATCAGAGCCAAAGATGAGGAGGCTGTGGGGGCTCTGGCCACCATGGGCGAAGAGCATGGGGTCACCCCAGTGGGCCTGGAAGATGGAGCACGGACCCAGGAGGATGAGCCTTGAGCCTTAAATCTAATGCAGCTTTCCCTGCTGGGTTTGGGCTTGCTTGGGACCCATGGCTCCTCTCTCCCTTTCTATGTATCCCTTTTAGAATAGGAATGTCCATCCTATGCCTGCCCCATCATTGTACTTTGGAAGCAGATAACTTCTTGTCAAGTTACAAAGGTCCACAGATGGAGAGGAATTTCACCCAGAATGAATCTCACCCTGGGTTTCTCCCACACTTGATGCAGGTGATATTTCGCTGAGATTGTGGACTAAGAGTTGGTGCTGGAAGGGGTCAGCCGTTCTGGAGATGTTGCTATGGGATGCAGGGATTTTGCCTGTGAGAAGGACATGATTATGGGGGGAACGGAGGGCAAACTGTCATGGGTTAAAATGTGTCCCCTGTAAATTAATGTGTCGAAGTCCTAACCCCCAGGACCACAGAATGTGACCTTGTCTGGAAACAGTCTTTGCAGCTGCAATCAAGTTCAGATGAGGTCACCCTGGAGTAGGGCAAGCCTCTGATCCAATATGACTGCTGTCCTCATGAAAAGGGGGAATCTGGGCACAGACAGCACGTGTGGAGAACGCCCTGTGAAGATGGTGCTGCTTCCATAAGCCAAGAGCACCAGAGACGGCCGGCAAAGCCCAGCAGCAGGGAGAGAGCCTGGAACAGAGTCTCCCGTGACACAGAGGAGCCAGCCCCGCCAAGGCCTCCATCCCAGATGCCCGGCCTCCAGAACCAGGACGGAATAAACGTCTGTTGTTTAAGCCACGCAGTCTGGGGTGCAGTGTTGCCAGGGCCACAGTTAACGGATACGAGTGTTGTCCTGAGCTGCCAGCCCCACAGGCTGCACGAGGCCTCCCTGCCCCAGCCCAGTGCAGACTCCCCAGCCCCCTGGGTGTGCCCTGGGCAGTGTGGGGCTCCTCACTCCATCCTCCCCCAGGCTGGGAGGTTGAGCCTGTGATGAGCTACATGGGGTGAAGCTGGAGCGAGAGGCTGGGAGGCGACTCGGAGCCCACGGTTGGAGGATGGATTTCCCCAGGGACCCACACGTGCACCTCCACCTGTCTCCTGGACATTGTCTCTGAGGGCAGGGCTGGTGCCAGCTCAGGGATCCAGCAGGGACAGAAGGGCGGGCCGGGTCCATGTGGAGAGCACATTTAGTGGGAGGGACACAACTTGTACCCAGCAGCCCCCAGATACCCATGACAGCTGGCTCAGAGCAAGTGCCAGGCTGCTCCTCAGAACCTGAAATGTCCTCCTTCTGGGCCCCCAGCTTATGAGCCCTCCCAAGACGCCATCCTGGATGCTTCCTCTAGGACACTTCTATGGCCTTGGGGTCTGCCCAGTCCTTCCAGCCTGGTCCTCTCCCCCCAGCCACCTGCCTCCACCCTGGTCTCACAGCCACTGCTGTCCTTGACTTTGCCATGGACTGTGGGTCACCCCTGGGTGACTGCACCATGGCCAAGTGAGCCTCCTGGCATGAGCCCCCAACTTTGGCTTGGCTGCCATCTCTGAAAAAATCCCCTGCTCTTTGATCCTGCTCCCACCTACCTGGGGAGTCATTTTTCGGCACTGCCCCAAGCCTGGCCACCACCTGCCCATCTTCAGGGTGATGGCAGAGACTTGTCCTCCCCACTATGCATTCCCTAACGGCTTCTAAGGACGACATGGTCACGCCCCCCATCCTCATCCACAAGGGGATGGCACTGGGAGCCCTAGCATCTGGGCAATGATGAGGACCTCGTGACGGGCTTAGTGCCTGTATGAGAGAGACCCTCGTGACGGGCTTAGTGCCTGTATGAGAGAGACCCTCGTGACGGGCTTAGTGCCTGTATGAGAGAGACCCTCGTGACGGGCTTAGTGCCTGTATGAGAGAGACCCTCGTGACGGGCTTAGTGCCTGTATGAGAGAGACCCTCGTGACGGGCTTAGTGCCTGTATGAGAGAGACCCTCGTGACGGGCTTAGTGCCTGTATGAGAGAGACCCTCGTGACGGGCTTAGTGCCTGTATGAGAGAGACCCTCGTGACGGGCTTAGTGCCTGTATGAGAGAGACCCTCGTGACGGGCTTAGTGCCTGTATGACAGAGACCCTGAGAGCTCCTTCACCATCTTCGGCTGCGCGAGGATGCAGTGAGGAGGCGCGTCTCTGAGCTGGGAATTGGCCCTCGCCAGACGTTGAAGTTGCCGGCGCCTTGATCTTAGACTTTCAGCCTCCAGCGCTGTGGGAGGCAAATGTCTGTTGCTCAAGCTTTGCAGCCGATAGTGTTTTGTGATAGCTGCCCAATTAGACTAAGACACTCGTTCACCTGAAACTTTTGCTCCAACTTCCACTCCCCTGCCACGGGCGCGACTGCTACCCCACCCCTGTGCTCCTGTGGAGTGCAAGGCCCCCACACTGTGCAGACAGGCCCACATGCTCTCGAGGGCTCAGCCTGCACCTCCTGGATCCCGGTGAGGCCCACATGCTCTCGAGGGCTCAGCCTGCACCTCCTGGATCCCGGTGGCGTGCACCACACATCATGAAGGTTTGGGGCAAGGCCAAGAACTGTCTGGGCTTGCTGGGAAGGGTGGCAAGGTGACCCGGGCAGTTGTAGGCATGTGGAGCACACACAGAGGCCCCCGAGGCCTGAGCCCCAGTCTCTCAATTCAGGCTGTGCTTGGAGGACCAGGCCTGGAACCCTCTCCTGCTCAGTCCCCTTCCTTCCATCAGGCTGGGCATGCCCCGAGTCTGAGTCTGGCCCACCTGCTTCTGCGGCCCCTTTCCTGGGCACGTGGCTTTCCTCGAAACCCCCTGCGCTGGCTGACCCAGCGCTCTTTTCCACAGCTCCCTTTGGAACTGGGGTCCCCCTTGAGATGCCCATGTAGCAGGAAAGTTTTGAAAAAGAAACAAAAACCCTCACCAGAAAGCAGTTTCATGGATAAAATGTGCATATTTATTTCAGGGCAACAAGCGTATACACAGCAAAGCAGTGTGGGGTAGAGCCCACCTCGTGGCCTGCAAGCCAGCCAGCCCCTGCCGGTCGAGAAGGAAGCCTGTGTGAGAGCACACAACTGGAGGCCGGGCGGGGAAGAGAAACACGTGCCAACAGGCCACGCAGGCCAGGACCCCAGACCCGGAGGCAGCGCCCCTTTGAGTTCCTCTCTCTGGTCTCCGATGTTCTTCTGTTGGGATCATTTCACCTACAGGCAACAGAGACAGTGTGAAATGCTTTCCCCGTGGTCGGGAAGGGAGCCGGGGCAGAGATGACCCAGTGGGGTGGTGTGGGGGCCTCCGGGCTAGACGTCCAGCCCAGGCTGCTCCCTGGGCCCCACACTCGCCCTGCACCCTCCTCCCTGTGCCACAGCCGTGCTACCTTGAACAAGGTGACGGTGGTACTGTAGAAGAGGCTCAGGAGGAAGAGGACGATGAAGGTGGAGGCGGTGGCCCACAGGTTCTCAAAGCCCTCCTCGTCGGCGCTCACCTCCCCCTCTGCAGGAGACACAGCACGGGGGAATAGGGTCAGGCTGGGGTGGCACCCAGCAAAGCCCCCCCGGGGCCCATCCTCTAGGCCCACCCTTGGCCCCTAGGCTGTGCTGCACCCAGGGGTGGGGAGAGCAAGTGCAGGGGGGCTCGGGCACTGCCCAGGGCATGGGCTGGGCCCCTGAAAGCCTGATGCAGCGGGGGCACAGGCCGAGACTGGGCAGGGCTGGGACTCTGAGGTCTTTTCCTCAGAGTCCTGGGGTGGCAGAGAGAGCGTGGGGGATGCAGCACACAGACCAAGGTGGGGGCTGGAGGGCGGGGCCCCAGCGGAGCAGCGGCCAGCATGTCCTGACTCTCCTGGAGGGGGAAGCAGGGGGTGTGGCCCTGCCCTGTGCTGTGGGGGCTGGCAGGTGGGAGGACTGAGCTGGGGGGAACCCGATCCTGACTCCCTCACCAAGGCCCTGACTCTCCAGCTCCCTCTTGGAGCAGAGTCTGCATGGGGACATCCTGGCGGACTTGTCCTACCCTGCCAGGACCCAGGGAGCAGACAGAGACCTGAGCTCCACAGTGGGATGAGGACATTCGGGGGGTTGCATCCCCTGCACAGATGGGCCCTTGGGAGACACCTGGAGCCCAGGACTCCAAAGGGCCAAGAGTGTGGCGGGGACTCGGAGGTGGCCCCAGTTAGAGACAGCACTGTGCGTTGGGTGTGGAGACCTCACTCGGGCCCTGCCTTCCCTGCTGGGGCTCGGTCCTTCCCGGGCTGCTGCTGTCTGACCTCGCCTGCTCCCTGCTGTGGGTTGGGGAGCAGGTGGTATTTGCAGGGGCAGACTTGCTCTAGCTCATCTCCTGAGGCCTCCTGCTAAGAGGAGCAGCTGCCCAGGGCAGCCACTCTGCCCTCTGGGCCCATATGCTTAGTCACTGCCTGCTCTCAGCACATGGCACAGGCTCTGGTTCTGCTCACCGGTGGGTGTGGGGGCTATCTGCTGCCTTCATCAGGAGCCTGGCCTCAGCAGGGGTCACATGCTATCCCTGGGGCCTCCGCTCCCCAGGCAGAGCACAAGCTGGGTGCCATGGCAGCACCTCCAAGCAGAGACAGAAGGACAAGCAGAGCCTGGGCCCAAAGCCCCGGTGCCAGCACAGCGCAGGGAGCAAACTGCTGCAGGGACAGAGTATCCGGCAGGGCCCTGGGAGAATGTTGGCGGGGGCCGGCCGGCATGCGCACGTGTTGTGCCTGTGGGTGTGTGCATGTCTGTGTACGCGTGTCCATCTGTTGTGTGCCTGTGGGTAGACGTGTGTGTCCACGTGTTAGTGTATCACATGCTCCTGTGTGTCTGTGTCAGTGTGTCTCTGGGTGTGCATGTGTCCATGTACTTGTGTCTGTACATGTGTGTGTGTTTGCATGCACATGTGTGTTTGTGAATGTGTGTGTCTGTGTGTGTATGCCTCTGTGCTAGTGTGTCTGTGTGTGTGCATGTCCTGCACATGTATGTGTCCATGTGTGCACATATCCATGTGTGTGCCCGTGTGTGTGTGTGCCTGTAGTCAGTGTTCTCTTTGTGTGCCTGTGCATGTTTGTACATGTGTGTCCACATATGTTTGTGTGTGGGTCCATGTCTGTGTATGTGTGTGCCCATGGGTTAGCACGTCTCTGTGTGTCCATGTGTTTGTGTGTGTCCGTGTCTGTCCATGTGTATCCACACATGCCTGTGTGCTGCCTGTATACGTGTGGCCTTGCTTTCAGCTTTCTTTCTGGAAGCAGTAGGAGGAATGGCAAGTCTGAGGTCAGCCTGCTGTGAGCAGCTGCAGGGAATTCAGGGGTTTCTAGAAGCCACTGAGGCACGCAGGTGGGTGAGGCAGGGGTGGGGGCTGTGGAGGAAGGTGTTCTGCAGGGGAGGCGCAGGGTGGGTGCAGCACAGCCGCCGCCCCAGTAGGCCAGAGCATCGTGCACTCAGGACCAGTATCTTTTGAATGGATCTTTTTATTTCTAATTTTATAAGATGCAACATCTCACCCCGTTGACACGGTTAGTTTGCATGCACACACAGAGCGGCCAGCCGCCCCGAGCCTGTGGGCAGGCCAGCAGGGTCAGTAGCAGGTGCCAGCTGTGTCGGACATGACCAGGGACACGTTGTACAGGGTGGGTTTACCGGTGGACTTGTCCACGGTCCTCTCGGTGACCCTGTTGGGCAGGGCCTCATGGGCCACCACGCAGGTGTAGGTCTCCCCCGTGTTCCATTCCTCTTCGGACACGGTCAGGATGCTGTGGGCGAAGTACCGGCCTGGGGCCTGGGGCTCAGGCATTGGGGCGCTGGTCACATACTTCTCCGGGGACAAGGGCTGCCCCCTCTGCATCCACTGCACGAAGACGTCCGCGGGAGAGAAGCCCGTCACCAGGCACGTGATGGTGGCCGACTCCCGCAGGTTCAGCTGCTCCCGGGCTGGTGGCAGCAAGTAGACATCGGGCCTGTGCAGGGCCACCCCTGTGAACAGAGATGGTGGTGAGGGCGGGGCAGTGGGGGGACCAGCCTGTGGGCTGGGGTTGAGTCCCCTTTTCCCCAGTTGCCCAGACAACGGGGGAGTGAGGGGTGCTTTCCACCATGCCCCAGAGGCCAAGGGAGGTCCCAGGGAGTGCAGGAAGAGGGGCAAGAGTGGGGCCTACCCTTGGGCCGGGAGATGGTCTGCTTCAGTGGCGAGGGCAGGTCTGTGTGGGTCACGGTGCACGTGAACCTCTCCCCGGAATTCCAGTCATCCTCGCAGATGCTGGCCTCACCCACGGCGCTGAAAGTGGCATTGGGGTGGCTCTCGGAGATGTTGGTGTGGGTTTTCACAGCTTCGCCATTCTGGCGGGTCCAGGAGATGGTCACGCTGTCATAGGTGGTCAGGTCTGTGACCAGGCAGGTCAACTTGGTGGACTTGGTGAGGAAGATGCTGGCAAAGGATGGGGGGATGGCGAAGACCCGGATGGCTGTGTCTTGATCTGGAGTCAAGAGAAGGGAGTCAGAGGTGGGGCAGGTGTGGATGTGGGCGGAGGCATGGTTCCCACCCAAAGAGTAGCAACTGCCTCTGCCGAGCCCAGGGGTCCTGCCGCCCGAGCCCCTGCCCTTGGCCGCTCTGGGAAGCCAAGGCTCAGGGAGTAGATGGCTGCATCCGGGGTGGCGAATGCCAGACCCGAGTGGACCCCTGTGTGTCGGTGGGTGCTGCCCCTGGGGACAGGTCACTCACCGGGGACACACATGGAGGACGCATTCTGCTGGAAGGTCAGGCCCCTGTGATCCACGCGGCAGGTGAACATGCTCTGGCCGAGCCAGTCGCTCTCTTTGATGGTCAGTGTGCTGGTCACCTTGTAGGTCGTGGGCCCAGACTCTTTGGCCTCAGCCTGCACCTGGTCCGTGGTGACGCCAGACCCCACCTGCTTCCCCTCGCGCAGCCAGGACACCTGAATCTGCCGGGGACTGAAACCCGTGGCCTGGCAGATGAGCTTGGACTTGCGGGGGTTGCCGAAGAAGCCGTCGCGGGGTGGGACGAAGACGCTCACTTTGGGAGGCAGCTCAGCAATCACTGCAGTGAGGGACACGTGTCAGCCCGGTGCCCGCCACTCCCGCCCCCTTCGGCTCCCTCTCTGTCCCGGTGGCTGGGCCCGGCCCTCACCTGGAAGAGGCACGTTCTTTTCTTTGTTGCCGTTGGGGTGCTGGACTTTGCACACCACGTGTTCGTCTGTGCCCTGCATGACGTCCTTGGAAGGCAGCAGCACCTGTGAGGTGGCTGCGTACTTGCCCCCTCTCAGGACTGATGGGAAGCCCCGGGTGCTGCTGATGTCAGAGTTGTTCTTGTATTTCCAGGAGAAAGTGATGGAGTCGGGAAGGAAGTCCTGTGCGAGGCAGCCAACGGCCACGCTGCTCGTATCCGACGGGGAATTCTCACAGGAGACGAGGGGGAAAAGGGTTGGGGCGGATGCACTCCCTGAGGACCCGCAGGACAAAAGAGAAAGGGAGGGTGAGGAGCTGCCTCCTCGTGCCCTGCCTGTCGGGGCTGAGTGGCGTTCTGAGTGCCCTCACTACTTGCGTCCCGCTGTGGCTGCCCCACCAAGGCCGAGCCCACCTGCAGGCCTCCAAAGCCCAGACTGTCATGGCTATCAGGGGTGGCGGGGCCGTGGTGAGGCCTCAGGTCTTTGTCCAAGGCTGCTGGGGCTGCAGGCCTCAGCCCATCCTGCTGCAGGGCCCAGCACTGAACACCTGGACAGACCTGGGGTCTCCTGGAGCAGGCTGAGCCATCCCTGCCACCATTCAGCTGGCTGCCCTGCTGCACTCTGAGGCCTGACTGCCCCTGGCTCCCTGCTCAGAATGGCTGAGGGCTCAGGTTTGGGTGGACCAGGCCTGCTTTCCCCCGAGGCATCAGCACGTAGGTGCTGCACACACTCAGCTCCCAGCACATGCAGCTGGAGGGCCCAGGTTGCATACCTGAATGTGAAGCCTGGAGCCACACACCCCGCAGGCAGCCAATAGAGTCCCTCCAGCCCAGCTTCTGCTGCCCCCAGCTCAGTCACACTCCAGCTACCCTGAAGTCTCCCCAGGCAGACAACCCAGGCCTGGGAGTGAGTATAGGGAGGGTGAGTGTGATGGGGAACGCAGTGTAGACTCAGCTGAGGCTATCCATCTATGTCCAACAAGATCATGAAGATTGGCCCAGTGCCATGTCCTCCAGTTCATCCCAGCCCAGGCCAGCTCAATCCAGTTCATCCCAGCCCAGGCCAGCTCAATCCAGCCCAGCCCACCCCACCCCAGCTCAGCAAAGCCAAGCTCAGCTCAGCCCAACTCAGATGAGCTCAGACCAGCTCAGCCCAGCCTAGCTGAGCTCAGACCACCTAAGACCATCTCAGCTCAGCCCAGCCCAGCTAAGCCCAGTATAGCCCAGCCCAGCTAAGCCCAGTATAGCCCAGCCCAGCTAAGCCCAGTATAGCCCAGCCCAGCTAAGCCCAGTTTAGCCCAGCCCAGCTAAGCCCAGTATAGCCCAGCCCAGCTAAGCATAGTTCAGCACAGCCCAGCTCAGCTCAGCACAGTTCAACCCAGCTCAGCCCAGCTCAGTGCAGCACAGCCCAGCTTAGCCCAGCCCAGCCCAGCTCAATCCAGCCTGGCTCAGCCCAGCCCAGCCCAGTTTGGCTCAACCCAGCTTGGCTCAGCCCAGGTCAGCCTGGCTCAACTCAGCCCAGCCCAGCCCAGCTCTGCTCAACCCAGCTCTGCTCAACTCAGCCCGGCTCAGCCCAGCTCAGCCCAGTTCAGCTCAGCCCTGCTCAGCACAGCACAGCAGAGCTCAGCTCAGCCCAGCTCAGCTCAGTTCAGCTCAGCCCTGTTCAGCACAGCACAGCAGAGCCCAGCCCAGCCCAGCCCAGCTCATCCCAGCTCAGCCCAGCCCAGCCTAGCTTAGCTCAACCCAGCTCAGCACAGTTCAGCTCAGCCCTGCTCAGCACAGCACAGCAGAGCCCAGCTCAGCCCAGCTCAGCTCAGTTCAGCTCAGCCCTGTTCAGCACAGCACAGCAGAGCCCAGCCCAGCCCAGCTCAACCTAGCCTGGCTCAGCCCAGCCCAGCCCAGCCCGGATCGGCTCAACCCAGCTTAGCTCAGCCCAGGTCAGCCCAGCTTAACTCAGCCCAGGTCAGCCCAGCTTAACTCAGCCCAGCCCAGCCCAGCTCAGCCCCCAGCTCTGCTCAACCCAGCCCAGCTCAGCTCAGCTCCGCTCAGCCCAGTTCAGCCCAGCTCAGCCCAGCCCAGCCTAGCTTGGCTCAACACAGCTCAGCTCAGCCAGCCCAGACCAGCTCAGCTCAGCCCAGTCCAGCTCAGCTCAGCCCAACCCAGTCCGGCTCAGCCCAGCCCAACCCAGCCCAGCCCAACCCAGCTCGGCTTAACCCAGCTCGGCTCAGCCCAGATCAGTCTGGCTCAACTCAGCCCAGCCCAGCTCAACCCAGCCCAGTTCAGCCCAGCTCATCCAAGCTCAGCTCAGCCCAGCCCAGTTCAGCCCAGCCCAGTTCAGCTCAGCTCAGCCCAGCCCAGTTCAGCCCAGCCCAGTTCAGCTCAGCTCAGCTGAGCCCAGCCCAGCCCAGTCCGGCTCAGCTCAGCCCCGCCCCACTCAGCCCAGCTCAGCTCAGCCCAGCTCAGCCCAGCTCAGCTTAGCCCAGCTCAGTTCAGCCAGGCACAATCTGGCTCAGCCCAGCCCAGCCCAGCTCAGCCCAGCCCAGCCTAGCTCAGCACAGCCCAGTTCAGCTCAGCTCAGCTTAACTCAGCTCAGCTCAGCTCAGCCCAGCCCAGCCCAGGTCAGCTCAGCCCAGCCCAGCCCAGCCCAGATCATCCCAGCTCAGCTCAGCTCAGCTCGGCTTAGCCCAGCTCAACCTGGCCCAGCCTGGTCCAGGTCAGCCCAGCCTGGACCACCCAGCCCAGCTCAGCTCAGCCCAGCTCATCCTGGTTCAGCTCAGCTCAACCCGGCTCAGCCCAGGTCTGCTCAACCCAGCCCAAATCAGCTCAGCCCAGCCCAGGTCATCCCAGCTCAGCCCAGCACAGCCTACTTCAGCTCAGCTCAGCTCAGCCTAGGTCAGCTCAGTTGAGGTCAGCTCAACTCAGCCCAATCCAGCCTGGCTCAGCCCAGCTCACCCTAGCTCAGCTTAGCTCAGCCCAACTCAACCCAGCCCAGCCTTGCCCAACCCAGCTCAGCTCAGCCCAGCCCAGGTTAGCCCAGCCCAGCCTCGGCTTAGCTCTGCTCAGCTCGGCCCTGCTCGCCTCAGCCCGTTCAGCCCAGTTCAGCTCAGCTCAGCTCAGCCCAGCTCAGCCCAGCCCTGGTTAGCTCAGCCCAGCTAAGCTCAGCTCGGCTCGGCTCTGCTGAGCTTGGCCCAGCTTGGCTTAGCCTGATACAACCTGCTCAGCCCAGTTCAGCTCGGCTCAGCCCAGCCCAGCCCAGCGTAGCTCAGCTCAGCTGAGCCCAGCCCAGGTTAGCTCAGCCCCAGTCCAGGTCAGCTCAACTCAGCCCAAACCAGCCTGGCTCGGCCCAGCTCACCCTAGTTCAGCTTAGCTCAGCCCAGCCCAGCCCTGCCCAACCCAGCTCAGCTCAGCCCAGCCCAGGTTAGCCCAGCCCAGCCTCGGCTTAGCTCTGCTCAGCTCGGCCCAGCCCAGGTTAGCCCAGCCCAGCCTCGGCTTAGCTCTGCTCAGCTCGGCCCTGCTCGCCTCAGCCCGTTCAGCCCAGTTCAGCTCAGCTCAGCTCAGCCCAGCTCAGCCCAGCCCTGGTTAGCTCAGCCCAGCTAAGCTCAGCTCGGCTCAGCTCTGCTGAGCTCGGCCCAGCTTGGCTCAGCCCGACACAGCCTGCTCAGCCCAGTTCAGCTCGGCTCAGCCCAGCCCAGCCCAGCGTAGCTCAGCTCAGCTGAGCCCAGCCCAGGTTAGCTCAGCCCCAGCCCAGGTTAGCTCAGCCCAGCTCAGCTCTGCCCAGGTTAGCTCAGCCCCAGTCCAGGTTAGCTCAGCCCAGCTCAGCCCTGCCCAGGTTAGCTCAGCCCAGCTAAGCTCAACTTGGCTCAGCTCAGCCTAGCTTGGCTCAGCCCAGCACAGCACGCTCAACCCGGTTCAGCTTGGCTCAGCCCAGCCCAGCCCAGCCTAGCTCAGCTCAGCCCCGCTCAGCCCAGCCTAGCTCAGCTCAGCCCCGCTCAGCCCCGCTCAGCCCAGCCCAGCCCAGCCTAGCTCAGCCCAGCTCAGCCCAGCCTAGCCCAGCTCAGCCCAGCCCAGCTCAGCGCAGCCCAGCCCAGCTCAGCGCAGCCCAGCTCAGCTCAGCTCAGCCTAGCCTTGCTCAGCCCAGCTCAGCTCAGCCCAGCTCAGCCTAGCCTTGCTCAGCCCAGCTCAGCCCAGCTCAGCCCAGCTCAGCCCAGCCCAGCCTAGCTCAGCTCAGCCCCGCTCAGACCCGCTCAGCCCAGCCCAGCCCAGCCCAGCTCAGCCCAGCCCAGCTCAGCTCAGCCCAGCCCTGCCCAGCTCAGCCCAGCTCAGCCCAGCTTAGTGCAGCCAAGCCCAGCTCAGCTCAGCTCACCTGGTGCAACTTAGCCCAGCTCAGCTCAGCTCAGCTCAACCCAGTTCAACTCAGCCCAGTTCAGCTCAGCTCAGCCCAGTTCAGCCTTGTTTAGTCTAGGTCAGCTTAGGTCAGTTTTGCCCATCTGAGTCCATTTCTGAAAGCTGGATGGAGTTGTCATGGCCAGAAATGGTCAGCCCACCAGACCTGCTTGTCTCAGCTAAAGCCATCTCATTGCCGGGTTCCTGCACAGCCAGGCTGGCTTCCATCTTTTGTCTCCCTCTACTTGATACCCCAGTTCCCTGCAGTCCTGCCCCAGCGCCACCTGGGTTTTGGTTCCAAAGCATTACCAATCATTACCACCCTCCACTACCTGGGTGGAATATTTCTTTGCTGCTTTAAAGTCATTAAAACATCTTGAGAATGAGACCAAGAATTTAGGAGCCTGTGCTGTGATAAAAATGAGCAGGTCCCCTTGCTCTAGAAGTGGCAGCATATCTTCTGCACCAAGAGGAGGGTATTGAGATGCTCAGAGCCTCCACCTTCCCGGAGCATCCCCTCCCTTCTGAGTCTGCAGTAAACCCCTGCCTTTAAATTCCCTCTAGATAACAGTCATCATTGGAAACAACCAAGAAATGCATTTTATCTGAATTTGCCACTTAAAATTCTGCCATTTACCATAAATCGCTTTGGAAGGCATGGGCTACTTTCAAGGGTGCGATGATGACCTACAGTCAATGACTTAGACAAGGGCGATGCCAGTGGGGCTTGGTATGTTCTCAAGCATCATTACCCATGCCATCCCCATTCAGAGGTTGTGGAGCAGCTCGTGCGACCTCTCCTTCAAATGGGCTTTAGGGAAAGTTAAATGGGAGTGACCCAGACAATGGTCACTCAAAAGACTCACATAAATGAGTCTCCTGCTCTTCATCAAGCAATTAAGACCAGTTCCCCTTCTAGTGGAAATAAGACGTCAAATACAAAGTTTTAAGAGAAGCAAATGCAGCAGCGGCGGCTGCCTGTCTCTTACCATGTCGGGCGCCTGGTCACTGCGAGCCTTGCAAAGCTTTGGCATGGAATCATTCCTCCAAGTCCATTAACAAGGGCTGGGGCCTGAGCAGCCAGTCGGCCCGGCAGCAGAAGCCACGCATCCCAGCTCTGGGTAGTCCGGGGAGACCCAAAGCCCAGGCCGGGCCTGGCAGCCACCCTCCCAGAGCCTCCGCTAGGCCAGTCCTGCTGACGCCGCATCGGTGATTCGGAACAGAATCTGTCCTTCTAAGGTGTCTCCACAGTCCTGTCTTCAGCACTATCTGATTGAGTTTTCTCTTATGCCACCAACTAACATGCTTAACTGAAATAATTCAGGATAATGATGCACATTTTACCTAAAACTTATCCTAAAGTGAGTAGTTGAAAAGTGGTCTTGAAAAATACTAAAATGAAGGCCACTCTATCAGAATATCAAAGTGTTTCTCCTTAATCACAAAGAGAAAACGAGTTAACCTAAAAAGATTGTGAACACAGTCATTATGAAAATAATGCTCTGAGGTATCGAAAAAGTATTTGAGATTAATTATCACATGAAGGGATAACAAGCTAATTTAAAAAACTTTTTGAATACAGTCATAAACTCTCCCTAAGACTGTTTAATTTCTTAAACATCTTACTTTAAAAATGAATGCAGTTTAGAAGTTGATATGCTGTTTGCACAAACTAGCAGTTGATAAGCTAAGATTGGAAATGAAATTCAGATAGTTAAAAAAAGCCTTTTCAGTTTCGGTCAGCCTCGCCTTATTTTAGAAACGCAAATTGTCCAGGTGTTGTTTTGCTCAGTAGAGCACTTTCAGATCTGGGCCTGGGCAAAACCACCTCTTCACAACCAGAAGTGATAAATTTACCAATTGTGTTTTTTTGCTTCCTAAAATAGACTCTCGCGGTGACCTGCTTCCTGCCACCTGCTGTGGGTGCCGGAGACCCCCATGCAGCCATCTTGACTCTAATTCATCATCTGCTTCCAGCTTCGCTCAATTAATTAAAAAAATAAACTTGATTTATGATGGTCAAAACGCAGTCCCGCATCGGGGCCGACAGCACTGTGCTAGTATTTCTTAGCTGAGCTTGCTTTGGCCTCAATTCCAGACACATATCACTCATGGGTGTTAATCAAATGATAAGAATTTCAAATACTTGGACAGTTAAAAAAATTAATATACTTGAAAATCTCTCACATTTTTAAGTCATAATTTTCTTAACCATTTTTCTCAGAAGCCACTTCAAACATATCCTGTCTTTTAACAGTAAGCATGCCTCCTAAGATAAACAATCCTTTTCTCATGGAAACCAGCTTCAAGGCACTGAGGTCCTGGAGCCTCCCTAAGCCCCTGTCAGGACGGCAGCCACCGTTTCTGGGCTACCCCTGCCCCCAACCCTGCTCTCATCAAGACCGGGGCTACGCGTCCCTCCTGGCTGGATTCACCCACTCCGACAGTTCTCTTTCCAGCCAATAAAGAATTTAAGATGCAGGTTGACACACAGCGCACCTCATAATTCTAAAGAAAATATTTCACGATTCGCTGCTGTGCAGCGATCTTGCAGTCCTACAGACACCGCTCCTGAGACACATTCCTCAGCCATCACTAAGACCCCTGGTTTGTTCAGGCATCTCGTCCAAATGTGGCTCCCCAAGCCCCCAGGCTCAGTTACTCCATCAGACGCACCCAACCTGAGTCCCATTTTCCAAAGGCATCGGAAAATCCACAGAGGCTCCCAGATCCTCAAGGCACCCCAGTGCCCATCCCCTCCTGGCCAGTCCGCCCAGGTCCCCTCGGAACATGCCCCGAGGACCAACCTGCAATGCTCAGGAAACCCCACAGGCAGTAGCAGAAAACAAAGGCCCTAGAGTGGCCATTCTTACCTGAGGAGACGGTGACCGTGGTCCCTTTGCCCCAGACGTCCATGTAGTAGTAGTAGTAGTAATCACAATGGCAGAATGTCCATCCTCACCCCACAAAAACCCAGCCACCCAGAGACCTTCTGTCTCCGGGCGTCACATGGAAGCTGACTGTCCGTGGCCCTGTCCTGCCCTTCTCATGGAACCCTCTGCTGGCCTCCCACGTACCCCACATTCTGGCCTGACCCCTCAGAAGCCAGACCACTGTCGGCCTGGGAAGTCCAACTGCAAGCAGACGGCTGCTAAGTCACCCCCAGGAGTCCAAAAACCCCGGGGGGCACCCGTCCCAGAGAGCGGGTGCCTTGGAGCGGGACAGAGTCCCACCACGCAATCATCACGACAGCCCCTGAGAATGCTCCAGGTGAAGCGGAGAGAGGTCACCCCAGACCAGCCGAAGGAGCCCCCCAGCTGCCGACATCTGTGGCCGGACTTGGGGAGGACAGGCTGGGTTCCCATTCGAAGGGTCCCTCTCCCCAGCTTTCTTTCCTGACCTCCAAAATGCCTCCAAGACTCTGACCCTGAGACCCTGGCAAGCTGAGTCTCCCTAAGTGGACTCAGAGAGGGGGTGGTGAGGACTCACCTGAGGAGACGGTGACCAGGGTTCCCTGGCCCCAGGGGTCGAACCAGTTGTCACATTGTGACAACAATGCCAGGACCCCAGGCAAGAACTGGCACCCCGCTAAGTCCCTGGGACCCTCTCAGACTGAGCCCGGGGAGGGCCCGGGGGTTGTTGGACATTGGACCCCAGAGGCCCAGGGTGGCCCTGGCCACAGAGAGACCCGTGCTGCTGGGCTCAGGAGGAAGGAGCATCTGGAGCCCTTGCCCCTCGTCTGTGTGGCCGCTGTTGCCTCAGGGCATCCTCCTGAGCCCCCCAGGCTGCTCCGGGGCTCTCTTGGCAGGAGACCCAGCACGCTTATTTCCCCCCAAAAATGCAGCAAAACCCTTCAGAGTTAAAGCAGGAGAGAGGTTGTGAGGACTCACCTGAGGAGACGGTGACCAGGGTTCCCTGGCCCCAGTAGTCAAAGTAGTCACATTGTGGGAGGCCCCATTAAGGGGTGCACAAAAACCTGACTCTCCGACTGTCCCGGGCCGGCCGTGGCAGCCAGCCCCGTGTCCCAAGGTCATTTTGTCCCCAGCACAAGCATGACTCTGCCCACCCTTTGCCCCAGCAGCAGAGTCCCAGTTCCCAAAGAAAGGCCTTCTGCTGAACGTGGTCCCAAACAGCCGGAGAAGGAGCCCCGGAGGGCCCCACATGGCCCAGCGCAGACCAAGGAGCCCCCGGACATTATCTCCCAGCTCCAGGACAGAGGACGCTGGGCCCAGAGAAAGGAGGCAGAAGGAAAGCCATCTTACCTGAAGAGACGGTGACCATTGTCCCTTGGCCCCAGATATCAAAAGCATCACACAGGGACACAGTCCCTGTTCCTGCCCAGACATAAACCTGTGCCCGTGCAGGACACTCGAATGGGTCACATGGCCCAAGCACAGAGCAGAGGCAGCCGGCGTCCCTGTCCCCAGCCACACAGACCCCCGGGCTGAGACCCAGGCAGGGAGGGGTGACGTTCCCAGGGAGACGGTGGCCGGGCTGCCCTGGCCCCAGTGCTCCAAGCACTTGTAGCCACACTAAAGCGCAGGCCTGGTCCCCGGCACATGAACAGCCAGCGCCCAGCCCCAGCCCAGGCTCTGCCCACAACTTCTCCTTCCCGTCCCTGCCCTCGGCCTGCTTGCTACCTGTGGAGGGTCCCTGACGGGGCTGAAGCCCAGCGGGGTCCCTGCCTGTCCTTGGGGGCTCCAGCTGGCCCCAGGGCTAAGTGACAGCAGGGCTCTGGCATGCAGCCCATGGCGGAGACCCCAGGGATGGCAGCTGGTGTGGCCTCAGGCCAGACCCAGGCCGGCTGCAGACCCCAGATACCTGGCCTGGTGCCTGGACAGAGAAGACTGGGAGGGGGCTGCAGTGGGACTCACCTGAGGAGACAGTGACCAGGGTGCCACGGCCCCAGAGATCGAAGTACCAGTAGCACAGCCTCTGCCCTCCTGCTTCTCCCATACAAAAACACACCCTCCGCCCTCCTGCCGACCTCCTTTGCTGAGCACCTGTCCCCAAGTCTGAAGCCAAAGCCCTTGCCTGGCCCAGTACACCTGGCTCCCCGCTATCCCCAGACAGCAGACTCACCTGAGGAGACGGTGACCAGGGTGCCCTGGCCCCAGTGCTGGAAGTATTCAGCCACGGTGAGTCAGCCCTGAGCCAGGGGCTACAGAAACCCACAGCCCGGGGTCCCGGGGGAGCATGGTTTTTGTAGAGCTGCCAATCACTGTGTCCCCAGTTAGCACAGTGGTTCTCAGCTCAGCCAAAACCCTGCGGCTGGTAGGGGGCCTGTGGGGCTGGGGGCTGATGTGGCTGCGGTCTCCAGGGCGGGTCGGGTCCAGGGGCCCCCAGCACCTTTGCCAGTGCTCTCCCTTCCGCTGTTAGCCCCAAAACACGCGGGAGACCCCAGCCCTCAACCCTGCCAGTCACTCTGGAGTCTTGTGCCAATAATTTGCTGCTGTTAAGAATCATTAGAGTGCTGAAGGCTGCCAAGTGTGTTTTTCCTTTTCTTTTGTAAATTAGAGCAGATCTGAAGCTGGGTCTGTCACGCCACCTCTCATCCACTTGCTTTCTGACTTGTTTTCCCAGCAGCAGAGAGGCCCGGGTGGCGGTGGCCAGGGGAGCCTCCTCGCCTGGAGGGCCATGGCCCCCGCCAGGGCTCCTCGCTGGCCTGCAGGGGCAGGAAGCCTTTCCTGCTCTGATCCCGTCTGTGGGGCCCGGCGGGGGTTGCCTGGTTGGTTCCACCTGTTCACCGTCGTCCCACTGAACGGGAGGCCTCAGTGGGTGGCACTGGGCCTCACTCACCACGGCGCCCTGGCGTGGGCTCCCTGCGTGTCCACCAGTGCTGGGTCCCTTCTCTGAGCCTCAGCTGGTCCTCAGTGAGTCTCAGCTCTTCCCATGGTGGGTGCCAGGGAAGGTGCAAGGTGGTCTAAGGAGAGCCCCTCCCCAGGCCTGCACTGGCTGCCTTCCGCCGAGTCTGGGTGAGGGGCTTTGCACGCACCACTGGCCAGACGCGGGCTGGGTGGGGCCCTCAGGGAGGCTGAGGCCTGCGGCCAGGTGTGAGCATGGGGGTGTGCCTGGTGAGGGCCTCTGCTGGGGATGAACTGACGGGCACAGGGTGTCTGGGGGCAGGGGAGGTGCCCCTGCGGGCTTGCTGGGGAGGGTCTGTGTCGGGGCAGAGTTCCAGGGAGAGGAACAGGCAAGGCAAAGGCTGGGAGGCTGGGACCTGTCGTTGGAGGACACAGGTGGTTTCCTGAGGCTGGGTGGAAAGGGGGCCTGTGTGCCTTGAAGGGGCCGAAGGGTGCTGGGGGCTTGCTTAGGCGCTGCCCAAGAAGGCCCCCTCAGGCACCGTGCGGGCAGGGATGAGGGGTCTGGGAGGGAAGCCTGGATGTGGGGAGAGGGTTGGGGCTCCTGTAGGGGTGTGGACAGAATGGCGGCGGTTTGTGGAGTTTCCTACAGGGTTCCAGGCAGGACGGGGGACCCTGAGGTGCTGTCTGGGACAGTGGATCTCTCTAGACATGGTTGAACAGCTGCCAGCATGGGGATGGAGCCTTAGGCTGGGAATGGTGAGAGAACCCACCTCCAGCCACGAGGGGCCGAGAACCCATTTGTTTAGGGGTGGTTGGGCCCTGATGGCCTGGGAGGCACCTGTGAGGGGGTGAGGTGGGGGAGTGAGGAAGAGGGTGGTCTGGCGCTGGGGGAGTGGCTCTCTGGCCTGAGGACCCTCTGCCCCCACCTGCCACAAGCACACACCAGGGAAAGCACACGAGTGTCACAGGCGTGGCGGCTGGATCCTACAATGGGTGGCCAGGGCAGGGCCCACAGGCCAGGTCGAGTTGGTCCCCCAGCCTCTCCCAACAGCTGGCATCTCCTGGGGCACCTGTCCCCCCTGAGGGTCACTTAGCCTGGATGGTACCTCCTGGCCTGGCTGCCCTGAGCAGGGCTGGGAGCTGAGCTGGGAGCTGCGGCCCCGAGGGCAGTGGAGAGGGCGCTCCGCTCACGTGGCCCACACACTGTTTAGGACGCGGCCTTTAGAGTCTGCTCCGCTCCCGTGGCCCACGCACTGTTTAGGACGCGGCCTTTAGAGCCTGCTCCGCTCACGTGGCCCACACACTGTTTAGGACGCGGCCTTTAGAGTCTGCTCCGCTCCCGTGGCCCACGCACTGTTTAGGACGCGGCCTTTAGAGCCTGCTCCGCTCACGTGGCCCACGCACTGTTTAGGACGCGGCCTTTAGAGCCTGCTCCGCTCACGTGGCCCACGCACTGTTTAGGACGCGGCCTTTAGAGCCTGCTCCGCTCACGTGGCCCACGCACTGTTTAGGACGCGGCCTTTAGAGCCTGCTCCGCTCACGTGGCCCACGCACTGTTTAGGACGCGGCCTTTAGAGTCTGCTCCGCTCCCGTGGCCCACGCACTGTTTAGGACGCGGCCTTTAGAGCCTGCTCCGCTCACGTGGCCCACGCACTGTTTAGGACGCGGCCTTTAGAGCCTGCTCCGCTCACGTGGCCCACGCACTGTTTAGGACGCGGCCTTTAGAGCCTGCTCCGCTCACGTGGCCCACGCACTGTTTAGGACGCGGCCTTTAGAGCCTGCTCCGCTCACGTGGCCCACGCACTGTTTAGGACGCGGCCTTTAGAGCCTGCTCCGCTCACGTGGCCCACGCACTGTTTAGGACGCGGCCTTTAGAGCCTGCTCCGCTCACGTGGCCCACGCATTGTTCAGGACGCGGCCTTTCGATCCCGCGGAAGACAGTCCTTGAGCAGGAGCAGCTCCCCAGCTGAGACAGGGCCCTGGATGTCCAAGCCAGAGGGAAAGGCCCGGGGTCAGGAACAAGGGAGGGTCTGGGCCTAGAAGCAGGGGGGCAACACCTACTCCAGGCACTGAGCCTCTGGACCGTGCGGTCCTGGAGGAGAAGCCAGAGGCGACCCCTGGCAGGGATGGCAGGCCTCACGGGAGGACAGGGCACTGCCGCAGGTCTCCACGCCTTCCAGGCCTATGGTGCAGCTTGGCGAGCTGGCCAGGCTCCAGGTTGGTGAGGGGCTGGCTCTGGGCTGGCTCTGGGCTGGCTCTGTCATGGGCCAGATGGCTAGAACACAGGGTATCACTGTGAGGAATGACGCTGTCTGTCACTCCCAGGTTAGGGAGAACGCGTTGTTTCCCTTATACCCGAGGCTCCGCTTCTGATGGTCTCTGCTGTAGGAGACGTGGTTTCCACGCTTCCACCACTGCTCCTGCCGGCCTGGGTACTCTGCTCTGGGGGGATGGCCCTTCTGGGCAAAGACACAGCAGAAAGAGTCTTGCTGCTTCATTTCCCAGGTCAGAAGCAACGCAGGAGCACACCACTGCTTCAGCTGATAATCGACAGAGTCTCCCTCCTCTAACACCCAATTCCTTCCCTAAGAGGACTGGGAGAGTGAGGAGAAGGTCTGAGGAGAATCATCTTCCCTGGCATGGAGCTTGGCATTTTGTCCCAAAGGAAACAGTGGAATTTGCTTGGGGTGAATTTTGCCCAAGTTTTTTCAGCTTTTCCCATTTTGTGTGTAATACTCATATGCTATATAGAGTTGGGTTTTATCTTGTGGTCCAATTTGAAAGTCTCTTCCTTTTAATAGGCAAGTTAAGGCCATTGATGTTTGTTGTTTTCATAGATCTGTTTGGCTTCAATCTTATCTTAGTAGTTTATATTTTCTATTTTTATGCTTCCAAAAAGTTTTCCATCTTAAGTTTTCTTGTTCTTTGCTATCTTCTATGTGTAGTGGCTACCTTTATAACTTTCCAAAATATTCTTTGTTCTTCTTTGGACAATGTACTTTAGTTCTTTACTATATACGAGTATGAAATTACCTGGTTTCCTCTTCCTTTTCCCCTCCATCTCTAGCATCATGTGATTGTAATCAGTAATATTATTTTCTTAGAATTTGTTTGTACTGTCTAATATGCCCAATTTGGTTTTACTGAAGTCCTTTGGCTGAGAGTTATTTGGAGTGAGGCAGTAATTCAGAAGTGCTCTCTATCTCATATTCTGTGTTTTGATCATTGTAAAATGTCCACTTTGTCAGGCAGACACCATTTCACCTCTGTTGAGGCCACATGGTCCCCCACAGTCATTTCTATCTTAGTCTCGCAGTTAAGGACACTTAATATTTACTTTTGGTTCTTGGCCCTGGGTTCTCCAAGCACCTTTTGATGGCTGGTGGTCTTCCTCTAGTAGTTTCATCATGAGATTATGGATTATAGAATGTTTGGAACTCCTTTTCAGCAGCCTTTTTTCTTCAAGAACAGTTGGCTGTATATAGACTCTGGACTATCCACTACTTCTTTCCCCCTTAAGGACCCTACAGGTTTTGTCCTACCATTTACTGATCTTGAATGTGGCTGGTGAGAAATCTAGGACTGGTCATCATCCCCCTTATAGATGATTGTGTGTGTGTTTTTTTCTTTTTTTTTTTGGATTTAGAATTTTTTCAAATTTGTGCCCAAATTAGTTCTTTCTAAAATTAATTACCAAAAGTAATAGAACAGAAAGCATACTTAAATCTATAATTTCAAAAACTCTATCCTGAAATAAAACAAGATTGCCCACGTATTAGTAGGGTGACTGAGAGAACCAGAGAAAATTGGCTTAGAATGGTGGCTCCTGAGATGCACTGGACTCCATTCTTTCTTAGGTACTCGGATTATGTGGATGTCGTCTCTTCTTTGCCTGTCTTCCATATCTGTCACCTCTTTTTATATATTTTATTTTACAGAATTTTTATGGGTACATAGAAGATGTATATATTTATGGGGTACATTGGATGTTTTGATCTAGGCGTGCAATGTGAAATAATCACATCATGGAAAATGGGGTATCCATCCTCTTAAGCATTATCCTTTGTGTTAGAAACAATCCAATTATACACCTTTCATTATTAAAAATATACAACTAAATTACTGACTATAGCCACCTTGCTGTGCTATCAAGTAGTAAGTCTTATTCATTCTTTCTATTTTTTTGTACCCGTTAACCACTGCCACCTTTCCCTATCCCCCCACCACCGTTCTCAGCATCTGGTAACCATCCTTTTACTCTTTATGAACATGGGTGCAATTGTTTTGATTTTTAGATCTCATTAATAAGTAAGAACATTGTAATGTTTGTCTTTCTGTGCCTGGCTTATTTCACTTCACATAATGATCTCCAGTTCCATCCATGTTGTTGCAAATGACTCAATCTCATTCCTTTTTATTATTGAATAATACTCCATTGTGTATATGCACCACATTTTCTTTATACATTCAACTGCTGATGGACACTTAGGTTGCTTCCAAATCTTGGCTGTTGTGAACAGGGCTGCAACAAACATGGGAGTGCAGATACCTCTTCATATACTGACTTCCTTTCTTTTGTAGTATATACACAGCAGTGGGATTGCTGGATCCTATGGTAGCTTTCTTTCAGTTTTTTGAGGAACTTTCATGCTGCTCTCCACAGTGGTTGTACTAATTTACAATCCCAGCAACAGTGTATGGGGGCTCCCTTTTCCCCACATCCTTGCCAGCATTTGTTATTGCCTGTCTTCTGGATATCAGCCATTTTAACTGGGGTGAGATGATAGCACATTTTAGTTTTAGTTTTGATTGATTGTGTTTCTGTGATAATCCATGATGTTGAGCACCGTTCCATGTCGGTTTGCCATCTGTATGTCTTATTTTAAGAAATGTCTATTCTAACATTTTTCCCATTTTTAAATCAGATTATTAGATTTTTTTTTCTATAGCACTGTTTGAGCTCCTTATATATTCTGCATATATTCTGGTTTTTAATCCCTTGCCAGATGGGTATTTTTCAAATATTTTCTCCCATTCTGTGGGTTGTCTCTTCATTTTGTTGGTTGTTTCCCTTACTGTGCAGAAGCTTTTTAACTTGATGTGATCCCATTTGTCCATTTTTGCTTTGGTTGTCTGTGCTTGTGGGATATTACTCAAGAAATCTTTGCCTGGACTGATGTCTTGGAGAGTTTCCGCCAAGGTTGTCTTGCAGTGGTTTCATAGTATGAGGTCTTAGATTTAAGTCCTTAAACAATTTTGATTTGATTTTTGTATATAGTGAGAGAGAGAGGGGTCTAGTTTCACTGTTATGTATATGGATATCCAGTTTTCCCCACATTATTTATTGAAGAGATATCATTATCTATTCCCCAGAGTATGTTCTTGGCAACTTTGTCAAAAATGAATTTGCTGTAGGTGTGTGGATTTATTTCTGGGTTTTTAAATTTTGTTCTGTTTGTCTCTGTGTCTGTTTTTATGCTAGTACCACGCTGTTTTGGTTACTATCTATAGCTCTGTAGTAGAATTTGAAGACAGGCAATGTCATTCCTACAGTTTCGTTCTTTTTGCTTAGGAGAGCTTTGGCTATTCTGGGTCTTTGTGGTTCCACGTAAATTTTAGGATTTTTTTTTTCTATTTCTGTGAATGATGTCATTGGTATTTTGATAAGGATTGCATTGAATCTGTAGATTGCTTTGGATAGTATGGACATTATAACAACACTGATTCTTCTAATCCATGAACATGCAATTGCTTTCCATTTTTTGGTGTACTCTTCAATTTCTTTCATCAGTTTTTATAGTTTTCATTACAGAAATCTTTTACCTCTTTGGTTAATTCCTAGGTGTTTATTTGTGGTTATTGTAAATAGGGTTACTTTTTAATTTCTTTTTCACATTGGTCATTGTTGGCATATAGAAATGCTACTGATTTTTGTATGTTGATTTTGTATCCTGCAGCTTTACTGAATTTGTTCGTCAGTTCTAATAACTTTTTTTGGTGGAGTCTTTAGTTAGCTCTAAATAGAAGATCATACCATATGCAAATGAGGATAATTTGACTTATTCCTTTCCAATTTGGATGTCTTTTATATCTTTCTCTTGTCTGATCGCTCCAGCTAGGACTTCCAGTACTATGTTGAATAACAGTGATGAAAGTGGGCATCTTTGTCATGTTCCAGATCGTAGAGGAAAGGCTCTCAGTTTTTCCTCATTTAGTATCATACTGTGGGACTGTCATATATGGCTTTATTATGTTGAGGTAAGTTTCTTTTGTACCTAGTATAGAAGAGAATTTTTATTATGAAGGAATGTTGAATTTTATCAAATGCTTTTTCAGTATCAATTAAATGATCAAATGGTTTTTGTTGTTCATTCTGTTGATATGATGTATCACATTGATTGATTTGCATATGTTGAACCATCTTTGCATCCCAAGTTAGATAAATTCCACTTGGTCATGATGAGTGAACTTTCTAATGTGTAGTTGAATTTGGTTTGCTAGTATTTTGTTGAGGATTTTTGTGTCAATATTCATCAGACATATTGGCCTGTAGTTTTCTTTTTTTCATGTGTCTTTGTCTAGTTTTGGTGTCAGGTTAATACTGGCCTCGTATAATGAGTTTTGAAGTATTCCTTCCACCTCTATTTTTTGGAATAGTTTGAGTAGGATTGGTATTAGTTCTACTTTAAATGTTTGGTAGAATTCAGCAGTGAAGCCGTCGGGTCCTGGGCTTCTCTTTACTGGGAGGCTTTTTATTACGGCTTTGATCTCATTACTTGTTATCAGTCTGTTCAGGTTTTGAATTTCTTCTTGGTTTAATCTTGGGAGGTTGTATGTGTCTAGGAATTTCTGCATTTCTTCTAGATTTTCCAATTTATTGGCATATAGTTGCTTATAGTAGCCACTAATGATCCTTTGAATTTCTGTGGTGTAAGTTGTAATGTCACCTTTTTCATCTCTGATTTTATTTATTTGGATCTTCTGTCTTTTTTTCTTAGTCTGGCTAAAGGTTTGTCAATTTTGTTTAACTTTTCAAGAAAACAACCTGTTGTTTTATTGATCTTTTGTATTGTTTTCTTCATTTCAATTTTACTTATTTCTGCTCTGACCTTTACTGTTTTCTTCTACTAATTTTGGATTTGATTTCCTCTTGCTTTTCTAGTTCTTTAAGATGCATTGTTAGGTTTTTTTATTGAAGTTTTTCTTCTTTTTTAATGTAAGCATTTGTAGCTGTAAACTTCCCTCTTAGTACTGCTTTTGCTGTATCCCATAGGTTTTGGTATTTTCTGTTTCCATGATCATTCGTTCCAAGAAAAATTTCAGTTTCCTTCTTAATTGCTTCATTGACCCACTCAGCATTCATTAATTTCCATATATTTATATAGTTTCCAAAATTCCTCTTGTTATTGATTTCTAGTTTTAGTCCATTGTGGTCACAGAAGATGCTTGATATTATTTCAATGTATTTGAATATTTTAAAACTTGTTTTGTGACCCAACATATGGTCTATCCTTGAGAATGATCTATGTGCTGAGGAAAAGAATGTGTGTTCTGCAGCTGTTGGATGAAATGTTCTGTAAATATCTGTTAGATCCATTTGGTCGATAGTGCAGATTAAGTCCAATATTTCTTTGTTGATTTTCTATCTGGAGGATCTGTTCAATGTTGAAAGTGGGATGTTGAAATCTCCAGCTATTATTGCATTGGAGTCTATTTCTCTCTTTAGCTCTAGTAAATACTTGCTTTATATATCTGGGTGCTCCAGCATTGGGTGCATATATATTTACAATTGTTATATCCTCTTGCTGAATTGACCTGTTTATCATTAGTGACCTTGTCTCTTCTTATAGTTTTTGTCTTGAAATCTATTTTGCCTGATATAAGTGTAGCTACTCCTGCTCTTTCTTTGGTTTCCATTGGCGTGGAGTATCTTTTTCCATCCCTTTGTTTTCAGTCTATGTGTGTCTTTATAGATAAAGTGTGTTTCTTGTGGACAACAGATCAATGGGTCTTGTTTTTTCTTTAATTGATTCAGCCACTCTATGTCTTTTGATTGGAGAGTTTAGTCCATTTACATTCAATGGTATTATTGATAAGTAAGGACTTACTCCTGCCATATTGCTATTTGCTTTTGGTCTTCTCTCTCTTCATTCTTTTCTCCGTCTTCCTTTTAGTGAAGGTGATTTTCTCTGATGACGTAATTTAGCTTCTTGCTTTTTGTTTTTTGTGTATCTGTTGTATTGCTTTTGGTTTGACGTTACCATGAGGCTTGCAAATAGTATCTTATGACCCATTATTTTAAACTGATGACAACTTAACACTGTTTGCATAAACAGACAAGTAAAAAGAAAACTAATAAAGACTCTTTGCCTTAACTTCATCCCTCCACCTTTTAACTTTTTGTTATGATTTATATCTTATTGTACTATGTCTTGAAAAGTTGTAGTTATTATTTTTCATTGCTTCATCATTTAGTTTTTCTACTCAAGATAAGGCTAGCCTGACCAACATGGTGAAACACCGTCTCTACTAAAATACAAAATTAGCTGGACATGGTAGCACATGCCTGTAATCCCAGCTACTTGGGAGGCTGAGGCAGGAGAATTGCTTGAACCCGGGAGGTGGAAGTTGCAGTGAGCTGAGATTGTGCCATTGCACTCCAGCCTGGGCTGGAGCAAAACTCCGTCTAAAAACAAAAACAAACAAACAAACAAACAAACAAACAAACAAACAAAAGGAGTTTACACACCACAGTTACAGTGTTATAATATTCTGTGTTTTTCTGTGTACTTACTATTACCGGTGAGTTTTGTGCCTTCAGATGATTTCTTATTGTTCACTAACGTGTTTCTTTCTGATTGAAGTACTCCCTTTAGCATTTCTTAAAAGACAGGTCTGGTGTTCATGAAATCCCTCAACATTTGTCTGGAAACAAATTATTTCTCCTTCATGTTTGAAGGATAATTTCACCAGCTATACTGTTCGAGGGTAAAAGTTTTTTCCTTCAGCACTTTAAATCCATTATGACACTCTCTCCTGGCATATAAAGTCTTCACTGAAAAGTCTGCTGCCAGACATATTGGAGCTCCATAGTATTTTATTCATTTCTTTTCTTTTGCTGCTTTTAGGATCTTTTTAAAGTCCTTGTCATATGGGAGTTTGAGTATTGAATGCCTTGAGGTAGTCTTCTTTGCATTAAATCTCCTTGGTGTACTACATCCTTCTTGCATTTGGATATTGATATCTTTCTCTAGGTTTGGGAAGTTTTCTGTTATTATCCCTTTGAATAAACTCTCCATCCCTCTTTCTCTACCTCCTCTTTAAGGCTAATAATTCTTAGATTTGGCCTTTTGAGGCTATTTTCTAGATCCTGTAGATATGCTTCATTGTTATTTATTCTTTTCTCTTTTGTCTCCTTTTATCGTGCTTTTCCAAATAGCCTGTTTTCAAGCTCACTAATTCTTTCTTCTACTTGATATAAGAGGCTATGAAAATACTCTGATGCATTTTTCAGTATGCCAATTGCATTTTTCAGCTCCATAATTTCTGCTTAATTCTTTTTAATTGCTTCAATCTCTGTTAAATTTATCGGATAGGATTCTGAATTCCTTCACTGTGTTATCTTGAATTTCTTTGAGTTTCCTCAACAAAGCTACTTTGAATTCTCTGAAAGATAACATACCTCTATTTCTCCGAGACTGGTCCCTGGTGCCTTATTTAGTTCACTGGTTGAGGCCATGTTTTCCTGGATGGTGTTGCTGCTAGGAGATGTTCTTCAGTGCCTGGGCATTGAAGAGTGAGGTGTTTATTGCAGTCTGGGCTTGTTTTTTTGCAGTCTGGGCTTGTTTGTTTGCTCCTGTCCTTGGGAAGTCTTCCCACATATTCAAAAGGACTTGGGTGTTGTGATCTTAGCTATATCTGCTTTAGGGGGACTCCAAGCCCAAAAGACTCATAGAGGTACTGCTTTGATAATCTTGGCCAAGATCTAGAATAATTCTCTGGATTACCAGGCAGAGACTCTTGTTCTCATCCCTTACTTTCTCCCAAACAAATGGAGTCTCTCTCTGTCTGTTCTGAGCCTCCTGGAGATGGGGGTGGAGTGACACAAGCACCCCCACTACCACTATGGACACCACCACTATGACAGTGCTGGGTCAGACCTGAAGTCAGCACAACACTGGGTCTTGCTCAAGGCCTGCTGTAACCACTCCCTGGCTACCGCCTATGTTTGTTGCAAGCTGTGGGGCTCTGCAATGAGCAGGTGGCAAAGCCAGCCAGGCATGTTCTTTCCCTTCAGGGTGGCGAGGTCCCCCAGGCCCCAGGCAGGTTCAGATCACTTGTCTTTAGTTCCGTAAAATTTTATTTCTGCTCTGTTTCATCTCATTCATTTTTCTCCCCATGTCCTATTTGTGTCTTCCACGGGATCTGTTTTTCCTCTCGCTCTTTCTACTTGCCATGATGAAGGGTTTTTAAAAAATTTATTTTGTAACTTTGGCCAAACCATATTTTATCTCCTCCTGTTCATTTTTGATTCTCTTCTCTTGTATTTGAGCTCCATGATTTTCCTTCATAAATCCAATCCCTTCATTATTTTCTATCCATGGAGGATTACTTGGCTGAAATTCTCATCTCATCGTTTGGAAATATTGTTCTGGTGAATATTTTTTATACACTTTGCTGCCGTTTCTAAAAAGTCGATACTGTTCCAGTTCAAGTTTATTACTCATTTTCATGAATTAAGCTCTACTGGGCCTGCTCTTTGTAGCTGTTTCCATGGAGTCGGGAGAAGAGGAGCCTGTGAAGCTTTGCAGCCCAAAGGCTTTCTCGTTTTCTGCTGTGGCAAGGACAAATGCATGCAGCAGATTGACTTAGGGTGTGACTGGCTGGCCAGCGCCGTCCGCATCTCGAACTCACCTGGACACATGGACACCAGGCGTCCGCTGGCAACTCTCTTTATTCTGGGTCCTGTGCTGGTCATTGCATTTGCAGGATAAAGCTGCCCTCTCAGAAGAGGTCCTCATGTTTAGAAAGTGTATTTTAGCTGTGCTGGTCATTGCATGTGCAGGATAAAACTTCTGCCCTCTCAGAAGAGGTCCTTGTGTTTAGAAAGCGTATTTCAGCTGCCTCTGGGCCCTCACACCCCGTCATGTATTCACTTCCTTCCATGTGACCTCTGCCCAATGTCAACTGTTTTTGGCATCTTCACATATATTTTGGATTCTGTGGGTTTTATCTGTTTTCCTAATTTCACCAAAAAATGAAAGTTTCCATTAAAAAAAAAACTGTACATTGTGATCCAGCGATCCCACTACTGGGTATTTATCCAAAGGACATGATGTCAGTATGTTGAAGAGACATCTGCAGCCCCATGTTTACTGCAGCACCATCCACAACAGCTAAGAAATGGAATCAACCTAAATGTCCATAGTTGATGCATGGATAAAGCAAATGAGGTCCATTGACACAATGGAATACTCTTTAGACTTTAAAAAGAATGAAACCCTGTCATTTGCAACAACGGATGGATCTGGAGGACAGTGTGTTAACTAAAATAAGCCAGGCATAGAAAGCAAATACTGTATGATCTCATTCATCTGTGGAATCTTAAAAAGCTGAACTCATACGTAGAGTATAGAGTGGTAGTTACCAGGGCCAGGGGCCGGGGTGGGGGATGCTGGTGAAAGGATGCACAGCCTGAGCTGGCAGGAGGGTGAGGTCGGGAGCTTGGCTATGCATGACGGTGACCACAGTTGACAACAATGTATTGCATTCTTAAAAAATACTAAGAGAGTGGATTTTAAGCATTCTCGCCACAAAAGATGACAAGTATGTGAAGTAATGCGTGTTAAATTAGCTCAACGTTGCTGTTCCACGATGTATACATATTTTAAAGCATCATGTTGTACACAATAAATATATACGGCTTCATTTGTCAATTAAAACATGAATTAAAAAAGAAAAAACGTCTACATTTTGCTTTTTCGCAACCATGGGGAAGGCAGGGGGACCTGTTTGGTGAGGGAGGAAGGGTCAGATGTGCATGAACGTGCGTGTCACCCGTGCCCGGGGTTGTTGTGGCTCCATCCACTGCCTCACCCTCTCCGACCTGGTTTGTCCCCTGGAGGCAACCTGCTCGGCGCCTCTCTCTGGGCCAGCTGCATCAGTGGCTGCTGATGTAAGGACCCCAAGTCCTGGGCAGCCTTGCAGCCGACCTGGGCCTTGGCCCACTCTGCTGCCTCGTTCCCTTGAGGGGTGGCTCCAGGGACCGCGCCTCAACCACCCCCAGAGCTGCCTGCAGCAAACCTTGGTCAGCAGGCTGGGGTGACTGCCCTGCGCAGGGCCCTAGCCTCCCAGACCCCCTGAGCTCTGTGCAAGCCATTGTAAAGAGTCCCTCAGCAAGCTCCCTTTGCCGTGTGCTCTCTCTTTCTATCTTTTCTTACCATGTTGGGAGGCAGCAAACACTTTCTCCAGCTTTCTTTTCATCAGCTCCACGGGCCTCTGGGCTCTGCTCCTCAGCCTCACTTCCAGTGGTTGCCCTAGAGCTTCGAACACGCTCCTAGCATTGCACAGCCATCCTCGTGAGAACACAGGCTGGAGTGGCCATGGTAGGCACCGAGAGACGCTGGCACCCCCGCCATGCCCCTGGCCCCCCAGCGCCCGCTCCGGGCTTCACTGTGCTGTCCGTGCCTTCCTGTCTGGAGCTTTGCATCTTTATCTTCGTGTGATGAAATTTGTCTTTATTCAAAAAAACAAATTTCTTTGTCTTTTTTTTTTTGAGATGGAATCTTGCTCTGTCGCCAGGCTGGAGTGCAGTGGTGTGATCTCGGCTCACTGCAACCTCCGCCTTCCGGGTTCACGCATTTCTCCTGTCTCAGCCTCCTGAGTGGCTGGGATTACAGGCATGCACCACCATGCCTGGCTAATCTTTGTATTTTTAGTAGAGATGGGTTTTCATCATGTTGGCCAGGCTGGTCTCGAACTCCAGACCTCAGGTGATCTGCCCGCCTCGGCCTCCCAAAGGGCTGGGATTACAGGTGGGAGCCACCATGTCCAGCCTATTTGTCAATATTCTTTATTGTACATATTGAATAAATAAAATAAAAATGAACCATCTTACACATAAAAATAGACATACACATTTATGAATATGCTTAAACACCACGTAGGATTTACGCAGTGAGAGAAGCACTCAAGGGACCACATTCCCTGAGTGTGTCCGGGTAGAAAATATGCCAGCTTTGTTGGGCATAACATTCTTGAATCATATTTTCTTTCCAACAGACTTTTACAGGCATTGATAAGTTTTTGTGTTTTTCAAGAAATCCGAGGCGACACTGACTTCCCCTTCATAAGGGATTGTTGTGCATGGGGCTCATGTTACTTACACTGAAGTCTGGTAACTTTAATGAAATCCATTTGCTATGGAATGGTCTGGATTTCTGGCTGCCTCTCACTTCCTTAGTCTCGGCTAGTGGAGCGGTTGGAGCTGGAAGCCTCACCCCCACCCTGCCTGCCCCTGGGCACCCTGAGGCTGCCTTCAGTGAGGAGGTGACCCCAAGCTCAGGGCTGACCTGCACCTGGCACTCTGCGGCATGAACCCAATGCAGGAAGAAAGGAAGGAGGGAGGAGGGAGGGAACACAGGGGCGCTGGGAGCGAATGCAGACAGAAATGGCAGTGACCCGAGTGCCAGGCCGTCCTGGTTTGGGGTTGAACTGTGTGGAAACAGCTCCCTGGCTTGTGTGTAAGTGGTTGGGGGAGGGCATGGAGGTCTGGGGCAGGAAGGGGTGGCAGGAAGGCAGCTCCCGGCCCTGAGGGTCTGAAGCTTATCTTCTTCCTGTGAGCTGGCAGTGGGCGGCTCCCTGGGGCTGTGCCCTGGACTGGTGGTCTGGTGGTGCCCAGGCCTCCCAGGGAGAGCAGGGCAGCTGGGGCTGGAGGAGCCCTGGGGCCCAGTACCCACACCTGTGCCCAGCGCCGTCAGGGGGGACCGGGGCACGAGGCTCCTTTGCCCAGGAAGGGAAGCGAGTGAGTGAGACCTGGAGCGCCCACCCTATGGGCGGCTCCAACCCTCCTGGAGGGGGACTGGGCAGGGGGTAGGTGTGTGTGTGCAGGTGTGGGGGGATGAGGAGGGGTGGGCTCCAGCCTCTGGGAATCCTGCCAAGGGCTTGGGCACTGCAGGGTTGCTGGACCCGGGCTGCCTGGTGTGGCCATGGTGGCTGCATCCCCAGAGCCGGGATGGAGGCGCAGTGGGGACCGGCGCCAGGGAGTTGCCTAGTGGTGGCTGCATGGAGGACCTGCCCTGCATGATGCCCCTATCTTGGGGGGCATGGGGTCCACATGAGAGGAAGGGGCACAAACCCCCTCCTGGGGGTCTTCCTGAGACCACCTCAGTCAGGGCTCTGTGCTTGGTGACTTTCCAGAAGGTCCTCCCTGCACAGACCCCAAAGTCTGTGTTGCCCCAGGGCAGGAAAGAAAAATCTGTGTCCTGGTCGAGGTTGGGCCCCACAATGGTGGCCCCTAAACCTGAGTCTGCTCCAAAGCACCCGCCCCTCAGCAGGCCCTGAGTGAGGGACAGAGACAGCGGTGGGGTCTTTGATCCAGGTGGACACGGGGGTGGATCCCAGTGGGAAGTCACCAGGGCCAGGGTCCCCCAGGGTATTGGGGTGTCTGTGTTCCTGGTGTCGGCTCTGGATTTGGGGTTTGTGCCTGTGCTGCCTGGGGGTGATGTTGGGAGGTGCAGATGGCCCCGGCCCCCGTCCTCACCATCCAATGGGGACACTGTGGAGCTCCAAGTGCTGGGGGTCATGAGGGCTGGGAAGGTCGTATGTTCGGGCGGCTGGTCCCTTCTCTGGCTGGGCCTCCAGCAGTGGCCGGGAGACAGTTTTGGACATAGCTTTTCTCACAGTGGTAGTAGCTCCCACTATACCCACCGTGACTCGGGGCTGTTCAGAATCCACCCAGGCGCCCTGAGCTCTGGGGCCTCCTGGGTAGGGGCTGGGCTGCTGCGTGGGGTCTCCTGTGGAGGCTCTGGCGGCTGTGGCTCACCTTAGGTGTGGGGTGAGGACTGGCAGCCCCAGCTAGCGGCACCCACAGAGCCTGAGGCCTGCACACATTCTGCCTGGGTGTGTGGGGTGGGTCCGGGCCCCTCTGGGCAGGATGGCCTCAATGGGGAGGGGGCTGGGATTCCCGCCTGGCTCCTCCTCGGGGTAGAGGGGACCCATCTCCTGGCCCTGGATCCCCTCAGGCTGCCCCTGTTTTCTCAGGAACACTGAACAGGGCAGGGCGCCCTGGAGGGGAGACATCTGTTGGCTTGAGTGTCAGGTGTGGCCTCAGATCCTAAATGTGTCCTGCCTGCTCTCTCTGCCTTCGGCTGACTTGGGATGGGGTTTCTGTCCTGCCCAGTGTCATTGTGGTAGCCGCTGCTATACCCGACTGTGACACAGACAGCTTCAGAAACCTCCTGGTTTGTTTGGGGGCCTTCCCTTGCTGGGCTCAGCGCGCCTCTTGGACTTGGCTGCCCTGGACAGGGGTGTCCCTCAACACTGGTTCTGGGGGGCCTGTCCCTCTGTCTGGTGTCTGGAATGGGGGTCCGAGACAGAGGCCAGCTGCCTCACAGCCAGCAGGGGCCGGAGACAGGTGTTCCACCCATGGTGGGTCCTGGTGGGCCTGGATGGAGCTGAGGTCTGTGCCAGTATTGGGGTCCCCATATCTTGCTCCTTCATGGCTCTGAGCTCCCCCTGGCAGGACTTCTTCGGGGTGCTGGGTCTGTCCTCTGTGGGAGGGGCTGCCCCCAGGCCCAGCACTGCAGTGGAGGGCTCACTGAGGGGCTTTTGTATCTGGCCTGAGCCGCTGTGGAGGTATTCCACTGTGAGAGGGTCCCGCACAGATTCTCCCATCCTGCTTCTCCTCCCAGAGCCTGGAGGGGATGGGATCCGGGGGTCCCAAAGGTGGATCCTAGACCCAGGGGAGGGGGGCCTCTTCACTGACCTCCCCTTCCTCCATTCCTCCCTCCCCAAAGCTGCCCTGGCGGCCCCCCTGCACCCCAGCCTCTGTCTGCACTGGCTCTGCCGGCTCTGGTGTAGGTGGGACTCAGGATGGTGTGGACGACGTGTGGCCAGGGTGGAGAGGAGGTGGGCGGGTCGGTGGGTGAGAGGGATGGGCTCATCCAAGATGGAGCACCTGCAGGGACCTGAGCCCTCCCCCACACCGTCCCTGGTCCTTCCCCGCAGCCTGCCACGGTGGGAGCCCCAGGCAGGGTGGACCATACCCTCTAGGAGGCTGGCACTTCCCTGGGTTCACGAAGACGGAGCCTCCTGCCCGGTGGTGCAGCGGCCCCGCTTCCTCCTTCAGCCCTTCCTGATGGCTTCCTGGGGATTCTGGATTCCCATGGAGTGATGAGAGGAGAGCAGAGGGGAGGAGGGGCAGGGCTGGGTCCTGGGTAAGGGGGTGCTCGGGCTGGGGTCCCTGGAGAGAAGTTCTGGGTTCCTGGGGGCCAATTAGGCAGGCGTCCTTTCTGTCCACACCCCAAGGGTCCCGGCAGGAGCCAGGTGGGGGAACCATAAGGAGAGGGCCTGTGTCCTGTCCCCCCAAGTCCTCTAGACAGGGTGGGGGCTGAGGGGTCCTCCCCAGGGCAGGGCCAGGCAGTGACTCTGGTGTTGGGTTGTTGGTCGTCATGGGCTGACCTGGGGAGTGGGGGTTGCAGAGTAGAAAGGGGCGGACTTAGGTAGGGCATGGCACAGTCATCCCTGTGTTCAGGCCATTTCCTGTCCTGGGTGCCTGCACTGAACCTCGGCAAGGACAGGGGTGGCCTCCCAGCCTACAGCCTGCCTGGGATCTGCTCTGGCCCTAGAACTGGGGACAGAAGCCATCCTGGAGGTCAGCAGCCTCCTAGGACAGCAGGAGGAGACCAGGCCAGCCCCTAGCAGGGGAGGCAGTGGGGATTTTGGTAGGGTCTGCGTTGAGAGCCAGTACCCAGTAGTCACAGAGCAAGATGCCCCAGCAATATGTCCTATCTGCAGCCGTCTGCCCACCCTGTCTTAGCCAGGGCAAGGGAGGGTACTGTGCCCCTGGCAGGCCCAGCCTTTGGCCTTCCTTGGAGGGATGAGGGCCTGGGAAGCCGAGCTGTTGGTGGCGCTGGGAAGAGGTTCCCAGGACAGGGGGATGGAGCTTAATCAAGCGGCCTGGTTGGGGTTGGGTCCTTCTGCAGGCTGGCCACTCAGTGATGGGGATCTCCGGGTGGTCCCTGCACCTAGTGCCAGGATACACACAGTGCTCTGGGCCCACTGTCTGGGCTCCCCGCCTTGTTTCCAGGGGGCTGGGTGGTTCTCCAAGGCTCAGTTTCCCCACTGTGGAGTGGATGCTGCTGGAGGGATGAGGATCGTAGAGCACAGCTTGGCAGCTTCTGTGCCTGCTGCCCCTGGGGACCTGGGCTGTGGGACGGGGCAGGCTTCCCCATCAGGGCTGGGCCTGCCGGGAGCCCAGCACCCTCACACGCCCACACTGGGGGCTCCGTGGCTCTGTGACTCCATGGCTCTGTGGTGCTGCCTGCACCTCTCAGGGCGGGAAGCTGCCTTTCCCTGCCAGCCTTTGATTTCTATCTCAGTCATCCCTGCCCTGGAGCACAGACCTCCCACTGAGGGAACCCTCCCCACAGAGGGCCAGAGGGCAGACAGCAGCCTTGAGAGCCCCAGGAGAAGCAGGTGAGCTGGAGGCCTGGGGCTGCGTGGCAGGGGTCTGTCTACTTGGCCTGGTTGCTGCTATGGGCGGCACCACTGTGGTAATTGTAGCCATCTCTACCACGGCCTGGCACCCCCTGACAATAACCACACCTGGAACTGGAGGCGGGGCTGTCAGGAGGAGCTTCCCAGGGAACAGGGAGGGTCCAGACAGCTGTGCCAGGGGCCCCCAGTGCTAGAGAGCCTGGGGGCTGCTCAGGGACCAGACATGCCCTGTGTCCCCCTGGAGAGGCCTCTGCAGCCTCCTGGGCTCTGGGACGGGTCTCTGGTCAGCAGGAGGCTGGGTGCTCCCCGGCATGTGCTCTCCTGCCCTCACTGGTGAGCTCCTATGTGGCCCAGTGTGGGCCCAGCTCCAGCGTCCACTCCTGTCGGCCTGGCCGAGGGTCCCAGCAGAACTGGGCATGGCTCCTTCTTAGGGGCCTCGAGGACTCTCTCTACAGCTGTACCTGGGGCTGGGGGCTCCACAAGTGGTCTTTGCCAGGTGGGGACGACAATGGCAGGTGTTTCTACATGGGCAGGTGAGGGGAACTGTCTGCGGCCTGGCCCTGCGGAACACAGCGGCCTCTCAGAAGAGGGTGTGTGGGAGTCCTGCCTGTTGGGAGCCTGGCGGATGCTGCCCTCTTGATTCCAGCCAGGATGGGAATCCAGGCAATTGGCAGGAGGTACTGGAATGAGGCTGGTGTCTACAGTAATTCCCGGCCCCAGGAATTGGCTTTTGGAACTGGGGCATCTCTCGGAACAGGGTCTGGTGCAGCTGGCAGTGAAGGGACCAGGGCACCTGTGGTCATGAGTGAAGTCACCTCAGAGCCCTCTGAAGCCCCTGTTTGGCAGCACACGGTGTGCAGGGCATCAGCCCATCGGCTAAGATGGCCCGGGTGTCCCTAGAGGCCGAGGGTCTGGGCACAAACCCTCGGGCCTGGCTCTTGTGCTCCTGGAGAGCTCCGAGCCGAGAAGTGTGCATAAACCCTGCGAGTCCGGTCAGTTTTTGCTGCTGGTTTCATCACTGTGGGAGTTACCACCGTAGTCACACAGCAGGAGGGCCCTTCACAAAAAGCCCCTGAGTGTGGCCAGAGGCCTTTCCCACACAGGCCCTGGTCCAGGCGTCTGGGGCCCCCATTGACAGTGGTGCTGCGTCCTGGGGATCTCAGGCCTTTCTGAATCTTCCCCGCCTGCCATTGAGGGCAGGTGGGTCTGACTCACCCTCCCGGGCTCCTGTCCCCTCCAGGAGGGGGCTGAGGTGATATCTGGCAGGAGGGTGTGCAGGAGTCAGGCCTCCTGGAGTTTGAGCCCTGGGGCAGGTGCAAGGTGGGGATACCTTTTAGGGGTCTGGGAAGGGCTGGGCTGTCCCCATGGGCCATCGCGTGTTCTGGGGGCCGTCCTGATCCAGATGTGCGTTCCCGCTGTGATGCTGCTGAGGACTGTCCTGGAAGAGGGTGGGAGAGAAGAGAAACCCTGGAAGAGGGTTTCTCTCACTGGGGAGAGAAACAGGGATTTCTGGAAGGTTCATTGTCTCTGACTGTGTGAGGTGAGTCCTCTGTTGGCTTCCCTGGTGAGGTCTGGAAATGAGCAGGACTCAGGACAGCCAGGCAGGATGAGCGACTCCCAGCTCCGGCTGTCCCTGGGAATGTCTTGGAAATGACCCAGGAGAGGCTCAGGTGTCAGGGCCAGGCAGGCCAGGGACCACAGGGGCAGTGACAGTGCACAGGGCCAGCCCCGCCCTCCTGCTGCCCCTACTCTGACATGGGGGGCTCGCAGGGTTCACACACGTGGCCCAGCGTTCAGGGAGGGGCTTCCGGGACTGCTGGGTGGACGGCAGCAGATGGTGCTATGGGGCCGGCCCTGTCTCCATCTGGTTTGGCGTTGGGAGGGCAGCAGCGATGCAGACCCCTTGGAGCCAGATCTGGATGACCTGTAGGGTGACCTTGGCCATCTGTTTCATGGTCTCTGGGGCTGGTGGGCTGGAGCCCATCATGGTCACTTGTGGGCCTGTCCATTGTTTCTGCTGCCCCGTGTGTTTGGGTCATGGGCTGCACTGCTGTGGTAGCCACCATACCCATGGCGCCGTGTCCTCGATCAAAATCCTAACACGGCATGCAGCGGTCCCCCGCAGGGAGGGCTGTGGTGGGAGGCTCCCAGGCATGAGTTTTTGATGGACTCTGTGACACTGTGGTAGTAATAACCACTACTATCATAGTAATACCACAGTGACACAGACCTCACTTCAAACCTACCGCCAGGCCTGGGGAAACCCGGGATGTCCAGGGCTGACCTGAGGAGGCAGCAGGGCCCCGAGGGGAGGCTGTGGGCCCAGCGCTCTCAGGTCTACTGCAGGGACACTCGGGTCTGTCCCTCGCTTAGGTGGACACTGTCCATGCCCACCTGTGTCCTGAGGCTTCACCTCAGGCTGACATCTGTCCCTACTGTCCCTACCCACCCCATGGCCATGTCCTTTCGGGTTCATAAATTGCCCCCAAATCACACAGGCATCATTCTGGGGCTTTTTATATTCCCTGGGCCACCAGGTGCCTCCACCCAGAAAGGTCAGATGTGGGAGAGTTGCAGAGTCATTCCCCAACCCTGGATGAGTCCCTACAGCCTCAGTGCTACTCAGGCTCCAGCAAGACCTGGAGCAGGTGCAGGTGAGGCCCGAGGCCAGGTGAGGTCCAGGTCAGGTGAAGCCCAGGCCAGGTGAGGTCCAGGTCAGGTGAAGCCCAGGCCAGGTGAAGCCCAGGCCAGGTGAAGCCCAGGCCAGGTGAGGTCCAGGTCAGGTGAGGCCCAGGCCAGGTGAGGTCCAGGTCAGGTGAAGCCCAGGCCAGGTGAAGCCCAGGCCAGGTGAGGCCCGAGGCCAGGTGAGGTCCAGGTCAGGTGAAGCCCAGGCCAGGTGAAGCCCAGGCCAGGTGAGGTCCAGGTCAGGTGAGGCCCAGGCCAGGTGAGGTCCAGGTCAGGGGAGGCTGAGGTGGATGTGTGAGGCTTCTGCAGTTTTCTCTGGGTGCTCACCCTGCCTGGTGTCCCTGCCCCTCCTCTCAGCACCCACTCTGTGCCTGCAAGGTGGTGGCCCGTGCGCAGGTGGTGGTGGCTGCGGAGGTGCTGGGCTCTGCCTCCCTGTGCATGGGTGTGCATCTTGGGTTCTGGCCAGGGAGTGTGGCTGAGTTGCTTCTCTCTGGAATGCACTGACTGTACCTTCCTTGGGGATATACAGCTCTGTGCCTGCTCCACATCAGGCCCCAGGAGCTGCCAGCAGGTGCCTGCCTGCCCTGCCACACAGTGAGCCTGCAGCCTGTCCGGGGATGCCCAGGGAGGTGATTGCCACCACACATCAGGCCTTTTCTCTTTAAAGTCATTTCTTTGGGGATACATCATCGATGTCTCATATACTGAATGTATGTCTGTATCATTGTGCAATTGCCTGTGTCATCGCTTATTTATCCAACCTGGGTTAATGTCTTTGCTATTATGAACAGTGCTGGACTGAGAATTTTCTAAACACAGGTGTGTGCATTTTCCTCTTCTTGCGATTTAGAAGTTTAACTGCTGTTTTCAAGGTACTGTAATGTATTTGTTCTGTTCTTGTTAGGAGACTTGCCGACTCTGTGTGTCTCAGCTCATACCCTCTTCCTTCCCCAGTAGAAGTAACCACCACTGTGTTTATGTGATCATCGTTTTCTTGATTTTCCTTATAGTTTTTCCAGGGGAAAGTTTATCCCTTAAGAAGATAGTTCATTTTGCCGGGTGTAAATTTTATTTAGAAGAAATCACATTAAAAGTATTTTTTGGGCTTTCCTCTGTTACTCCAATTACTCAGCATTGTCATGAACTCAACCGCAAAGCCGCCTGTAGCTCTCTACTGTTGTCCTCTGGCTGTCCTAGTTTGTATTTCATGAACCTGCCATCGTTTATTTGTCTGTTCTCCTTCAGATGGACGTTTGCTTTGTCCAGCCCCATAGTTTGGGGCTATGACAAACAGCTGTTCTGCACATCTTTGCCCATGAGGTTCTCAGGAAGGGCTCTAGGGCTGGCATTGCCTGAGGGTTCTGCTTTGTCACAGGCAGTTCCTGCCAGTGCTTTTCAGAGTGTCTGTGCCCAGCAGCAATGCCTGAAGGTGCCCACTGAACTTTGCCTTGGCATCAGGCACTTTCTGTGTGCTTGCTTCTGTGCTGCTCCACATTCTGGAGGATTTATTCAGATCTGTGCTGCAAATGCATTTCACTGATTCTCTCTTTAGCTGTGTCTACATCAGCTGTTAAGCATCCCATGATGCAGCATTGTGGGCACAGGGCAAACTTTCAAAAGATGACAGTGTAGGATAGCGGCTGCTCCTCCTTCCCTGTGCTCTTCCCACACTGTCCTCCTGGGCTCACTCCCAGCCATTGATCTTGAATACCAGTTTATGGAACTCTCTGCACAGGAAAGCAGAAACAGCAAAAGGCCCTGCTGAGGCTCTGCCCACATCCCCTCTTGCACACCTGCCAAAGCTCTTTCCTTGGGGCCTGTGCAAGCTTCCCAGCTGCTTCTCATTTTCTGTTTACTCTGCTCACTGGCTGGTGGGGTGATGTCTTGGGGAGAGTCTGGTGCATTTTGGGCATTGATGGACACCCCTAGGCCATACTTCCCAGATGCTCCCCCAGCCCCTCAGTCCCAGGAGTGGGTGCGTTTGCAGTAGGGCTTTAGGAATGGGGTTGTGTCACTGTGGGAATAGCAGTCACCACCACAATATGCTCACAGTGACACGAACCCCCACAAAATCCTCCTGTCCCTACAGGAGACTGGTGTCACCGAGTCTCCTCTTGCTGGCTCTGGCCTGGCTCTCCTGCTGAGACTGTGCATTCCAGCGGGTTGTTGTCTGAAACTGAGCCTGTCTCAGAGAGGACTCTGAGCCCAGTGCTGTACAGGGGGCTCCTCCTTTGTCCTGGGGGAGTTGCGTGGACCCTGTTTTTGGTCAAGGGAAGCATTTGATGGTGAAGGAGACCTCCCCTCCTCTCTTTCTCAGGAGCCCCCTCTGATGCTGTTGCCTAGTGTTTCTTGGGGCTGGTGCTGGGGGCTCAGCAGTGTCTGCCCTGTTCCAGGTGGGACTGTGGGTCTGTTCTCTTTCCACGGGGTGTTCTGGGGCCGCCAGTGAGGGGCTCGGGATGTTAGCGGCTGGTCTCTGTCCCTATGGTATGGGCTCCGGTTCACTGCTCCCCTGCCCTCCAGGTCGGTCACTGACTCGGTTACTATCCAGCGACCTCCGTGGCTGTTCAGTGGTGGCTGCAGGTCTCTTCCCAGGAGAGGCCTGCGAGAGGGCTGGGCTGTCTGGGAGCCCTGCATTCTCCCGTGATGTTGCTGCCTGGATCCCTCATCTTTAGAGGGAGTGCGGAGCCTCCCTGCAGGTGCAGGCAGTGAGAGACACAGGCGGACGTGTGTCAAGGCACTGGAGGCCGATTTCTTTCAGTGCCTTCTGCCTGTGGAAGAGCTGAGCTCCCTGCTTCTGCGCACAGGAGGCTCCCGTGTAACCAGGCAGTGAGGGCAAGGGCCTGCATGGGGAAGACTTGGGTGAGCCTTTGTCCTGGAAATACCAGGGCCGGGTCTGAGAGGGAGGGGAGCGGGGTCAGAGTGTCCAGGAGGAAGGTGATGGCATGGGCAGTGTGTGGGTGGGAGTGTAGGGTCAGTGCCATGGCTCAAGGGCTCCAGGAGAGGAAGAACTCAAGTTGTGGGCAGGAGGGGTTAGGGGGTGGGCACAGGTAGGAAAACCTGAGGCTCTTGTGGCAGAAGAGCGGAGGGCCTGCAGGTGCAGAGTTGGCCTGGGAGGGGTGTTTAGAGGGAGGGACAGGGGTCTGGTTGCAGATCAGGGTGAGGACTGCAGGGTCACGTACCCAGGGTTGTTTGGGTGGGCGGCAAGTGCAGCAGGTAGAAAAGGCCCGAGGCAGGGTGGGGTCTCCCCAGCGTGTGGGCTGCAGGGAGGGGCTGCACAGGGTGTTCCCCAGAAGGAGGGAGCACAGAGGCACTGGGAGGGAATGGAGAGGGAAATGGCAGTGACCCTAGTGCCAGGCAGTCCCGGTTTGGGGTTGATCTGTGTGGGAACAGCTCCCTGGCCTGTGTGTAAGTGGTGGCAGGAAGGCAGGTCCCGCCCTGGGGTCTGGAGCTTATCTTCTTCCTGTGAGCTGTGTGTGGGTGGCTCCTGTGGGCTGTGCCCTGGACCTGTGGTCTGGTGGAGCCCAGGCTTCCCAGGAACGGCAGTGCTGTCTGGGCTGGAGCAGCCTTAGATGCCAGGTCAGGGTGGCCCTGGGGCCACTGCCTCCAGCTGTGTCTAGTGCTGCAGGGATCTGGGCATGAGGCCCCTTCTCCCAGGAGGGGAGGCACGTGAGTGAGACCCTAAGTCCATACCCCATGGTGGCTTGGCCCTCCTGCAGAGGGTCTGGGCAGTGGTAGGTGGCTGTGTGCAGATGGGGGGTGGGGGGTGGGGAGGTTAGCCCCTCCCAGACGCACCCTGCTCTGCTCCAGAGTGTGGGCTTGCCCACTGCAGGGTGGCTGGGCCTGGGCTTCCTGGTGTGCTTGTGGTGGCTGCATTCCCAGAGCAGGGACTGAGGTCCAGTGGGGTCCCGGGAGGAGTCTGAAGGGGGCTCCATGGAGGACCTGCCTTGGATGGCACCCCTATCTTGGGGAGGACCTGGGGTCCAGCTGGGAGGAAGTGGAGTGGCCACCTCCTGAGGGCCTTCTTGGGGCCACCTCGGCCTGGGGGCTCTGTGATTGGCCACCAGCCAGTAGTTCTTCCCTGCCCAGACCCCAAAGTCTGTGCTGCCCCAGGAAAGGAAGGAAGGGTCAGTGGCCTCATCAAAGTTGGGGCCCACAGTGGTGTCCCCTAAGACCGAGTCTGCTCCCAAGCGCTCGCCCTGCAGGAGGCCCTGAGTGAGGGACAGAGACAGGGCAGGGCCTTTGGTCCTGGTAGACTCTGGGGCGGATTCCAGTGGGGAGTTATCACGGTTGGGGTCCCCCAGAGTGTTGGGGTGTCTCTGCTCCTGGAGTTGGCTCTGGATGTGGGGTTTGTGTCTGTGCTGCCTGGGGTTGATATTGGGAGGTGCCGGTGATCCCTGTCTTTCTGAGGACACTTGTCAGAAGGGTCAACTCCAGCCAGAGGCAATGGGGCCACAGCAGAAGGATGTGATCAAGTCCCTGCCGCAAACCACCGGAGCCCCCAGCCCTTGTCCTCATTATCCAACGGGGACACCGTGGGGCTCTGGGTGCTGGGGGTCATGGGAACCGGCAGGACATGGGTTCAGGCCGGCTGCTCCCCTCTCTGGCGGGGCCTCCGACTGCTGCCAGGAGTCAGTTTTGGACACAGTTTTTCTCACGGTGGTCGTTCCAGTTATACCCACTGTGACTCGGGGCTGTTCAGAATCCGACCAGGCGCCCTGAGCTCTGGGGCCTCCTGGGTGGGGGCAGGGGCTGGGCTGCTGGGCGGGGAATGCTTAGGGGGCTCTGGAGGCTGGGGCTCGCTTTAGGTGTGGGGTGAGCACTGGGGGCCCCAGCTAGCGGAACACCCACAGAGACTGGGGCCTGCACACATTCCGCCCCGGTGTGTGGGGTGGGCCCAGGCCCGTCTGGGCAGGTCAGCCTCAATGGGGACGGTGCTCGGGTCCTGCCTGGCTCCTCCTTGGGGTAGAGGGGACCTATCGCCTGGCCCTGGACCCCCTCAGGCCGCCCCTATTCTTGAAGAAACGCAGGACGGTGGAGGGTGCCCTGGAGGGGAGACGTCTGCTGCCCTGGGTGTCAGGTGCGGCCTCAGATCCTAAACGTGTCCTCCCTGCTCTCTCTGCTTCCGCTGACTTGGGACGGGGTTTCTGGCCTGGCGAGTGTCACTGTGGTACCAGCCACTGCTATACCCCACTGTGATACAGACAGCTTCAGAAACCTCCTCGTCTGTTTGGGAGCCTTCCCTTGCTGGGGTCAGTGCCCCTTGGTCTTGTCTGCCTTGACGGATCATCCCTCAACCCTGGTTTTGGGGGGCCTGCCCCTCTGTCTGGTGTCTGGAGTGGGGTCCGAGACAGAGGCCAGCTACCTCACAACCCGGAGACAGGTGTTCCTCCCATGGTGGGTCCCGGTGGGCCTGGATGGAGCTGAGGTCTGTGCCTGTATCGGGGACCCCATATCCTGCTCTTTCATGGCTCTGAGCTCCCCCTGGCAGGACTTCTTCGGGGTGCTGGGTCTGTCCTCTGTGGGAGGGGCTGCTACCCAGGCCCAGGACTGCAGTGGAGGGCTCACTGAGGGGCTTTTGGGTCTGGCCTGAGCCGCTGTGGGGATATTCCACTGTGAGAGGGTCCCGCACAGATTCTCCCATCCTGCTTCTCCTCCCAGAGCCAGGAGGGGATGGGATCCGGGGGTCCCAGAGGAGGATCCTGGACCCAGGGGAAGGGGGCCTCTTCACTGACCTCCCCTCCCTCCATCCTTCCCTCCCCGAAGCTGCCCTGGCAGCCCCCCTGCACCCCAGCCTTTGTCTGCACTGGCTTTGCTGGCTCTGGTGTAGGTAGGACTCAGGATGGTGTGGAAGACGTGCAGCCAGGGTGGAGAGGAGGTGGGCGGGACGGTGGGTGAAGGGGGAGGCTCACCGAAGATGGAGGAGCACCCGCAGGGCCCTGAGCCCTCCCCCACACCGTCCCTGGTCCTTCCCCGCAGCCTGCCACGGTGGGAGCCCCAGGCAGGGTGGACCATACCCTCTAGGAGGCTGGCACTTCCCTGGGTTCACGAAGACGGAGCCTCCTGCCCGGTGGTGCACGGCCCCGCTTCCTCCTTCAGCCCTTCCTGATGGCTTCCTGGGGATACCGGATTCCCATGGGGTGATGAGAGGAGAGCAGAGGGGAGGAGGGGCAGGGCTGGGTCCTGGGTAAGGGGGTGCTCGGGCTGGGGTCCCTGGAGAGAAGTTCTGGGTTCCTGGGGGCCAATTAGGCAGGTGTCCTTTCTGTCCACACCCCAAGGGTCCCGGCCGGAGGCAGGTGGGGGAACCATAAGGAGAGGGCCTGTGTCCTGTCCCCCCAAGTCCTCTAGACAGGGTGGGGGCTGAGGGGTCCGCCCCAGGGCCGGGCCAGGCAGTGACTCTGATGTGGGGCCCTGGTTTTCGTGGACTGGCCTGGGGGGTGCGGGGTACAGAGCAGGAGGGGGCTGACTCTGTTGGGGGATGGCGCAGTCATCCCTGTGTTAAGGCCATTTCCTACCTTGGTCACCTCCAGTGAACCCTGGGAAGGAGGGGGTGGCCTCCCAGTCTGCAGCCGGCCTGGGATCTGCTCTCGCCCTGGAACTGGGGACGGAGACATTCTGGAGGTCAGCAGCCTCCTAGGACTGCAGGAGATCAGGCCAGCCCCTAGCAGGGGAGGCTGTGGGGATTTTGGCGAGGACTGCGTTGTTTGGGAGCCAGTGCCCCACTAGGCACAGTGACAGACACCCCAGCAGTATGTACTGTCCCCCGCCAGGCTGCCCACCCTATCTTAGCCGCGGCATGTGAGGTTGCCCATCCATTGGCCTTCCGTGCAGACATGAGGCCCTGGGATGTTGAGAACAGACCTCCCACTGAGGGAACCCTCCCCACAGAGGGCAGAGTACAGACAACAGTGACCTTGAGAGCCCCAGGAGAAGCAGGTGAGCTGGAGGCCTGGGGCTGCACAGCAGGGGCCTGTCTACTTGGCCTGGTTGCTGCTATGGGCAGCACCACTGTGGTAACCATAGCTGTATCCACCACAGTCTGACACCCCCTGACAATAACCACACCTGGAACTGGAGGCGGGGCTGTCAGGAGGAGCTTCCCAGGGAAGAGGGAGGGTCCAGACAGCTGTGCCAGGGGCCCCCAGGACTGGGGACGTGGGGGGCTGCTCAGGGACCAGACATGCACAGTGTCCCCCTGGAGAGGCCTCTGCAGCCTCCTGGGCTCTGGGACGGGCCTCTGGTCAGCAGGAGGCTGGGTGCTCCCCGGCATGTGCTCTCCTGCCCTCACTGGTGAGCTCCTATGTGGCCCAGTGTGGGCCCAGCTCCAGTGTCCACTCCTGTCGGCCTGGCCGAGGGTCCCGGCAGAACTGCGCATGGCTCCTTCTTAGATCCCTCGGGGAGTCTCTCTACAGCTGTACCTGGGGCTGGGGGCTCCACGAGTGGTCTTTTCCAGGTGGGGACGACAATGGCAGGTGTTTCTCTAGTGGCAGGTGAGGGGAACTGTCCAGGGCCTGGCCCTGCGGAACACAGCGGCCTCTCAGAGGAGGGTGTGCGGGAGTCCTGCCTGTTGGGAGCCTGGCGGATGCTGCCCTCTTGATTCCAGCCAGGATGTGAATCCAGGCAATTGGCAGGAGGTGCTGGAACGAGGCTGGTGTCTACAGCAATTCTGGGCCCCAGGAATTGGCTGTTGGAACTGGGGCAGCTGTTGGGACAGGGTTCGGTGTAGCTGGCGGGGAAGGGGCCAGGGCACCTGTGGTCATGAGTGAAGTCACCTCAGAGCCCTCTGAAGCCCCTGTTTGGAGCAGATGGCATGTGGGGCACCAGCCCATCCGCTGTGATGGCCAGGGTGTCCCTAGAGGCCGAGGGTCTGGCTACAAACCCTCAGACCTGACTCTTCTGGTCCTGGAGAGCTCCAAGCTGAGAAGTGTGCATGGTCCCTGGGTGTCCGGCCAGTTTTTGCTGCTAGTTTCATCACTGTGGTAGTCACCGTAGTCACACAGTAGGAGGGGCCTTCACAAAAAGCCCCTGAGTGTGCCCAGCGGCCTTTCCCACGCAGGCCCTGGTCCAGGCGTCTGGGGCCCCCATTGACAGTGGTGCTGCGTCCTGGGGATCTCAGGCCTTTCTGAATCTTCCCCGCCTGCCATCGAGGGCAGGTGGGTCTGACTCACCCTCCCGGGCTCCTGTCCCCTCCAGGAGGGGGCTGAGGTGATGTCTGGCTGGAGGGTATGCGGGAGTCAAGCCTCCTGGATTTTTAGCCCTGGGGCAGGTGCAGGGGGTGGGACGCCTTTTAGGGGTCTGGGAAGGCCTGGGTTGTGGGGCTGTCCCCATGGGCCATCTTGTGTTCTGGGGGCCGTCCTGATCCAGATGTGGGTGCCTGCTGTGATGCGACCGAGGAATGTCCTGGAAGAAGGTGCCCACTGGGGAGTGAGACAGGGATTTCTGGAAGGTTCTTTGTCTCTGACTGTGTGAGGTGAGTCCTCTGTTGGCTTCCCTGGTGAGGTCTGGAAACAAGCAGGACTCAGGACGGCCGGGCGGGATGAGCGACGCCCAGCTCCGGCTGTCCCCGGGAATGTCTTCTATCTTAGAAATGACTCAGAAGAGGCTCAGGTGTCAGGGCCAGGCAGGCGAGGGACCATGGGTGCAGGGACAGTGCACAGGGCCAGCCCCGCCCTTCTGCTGCCCCTACTCTGACATGGGGTGCTCTCAGGGTTCACACATGTGGCTCAGCCATGAGGGAGGGGCTTCTGGGACCACTGGGTGGACAGCAGGAGATGGTAATGTGGGGTTGGCCTTGTCCCCATCTGGGCTGGTGTTAGAGGGCAGCAGCGATGCAGACCCCACGGAGCCATGTCTGGCTGAACTGTGGGGTGACCTTGGCCATCTGTTTCATGGTCTCCGGGGCTGGCGGGCTGGAGCCCAGCATGGTCACTCACAGGCCTGTCCATTGTGCCTGCTGCCCTGTGTGTTTGGGTCATGGGCTGCACTGCTGTGGTAGCCACCATACCCATGGCGCTGTGTCCTCGATCAAAATCGTAACATGGCACGCGGCGGTCCCCTGCGGGGAGGGCTGTGGCATGGGTTTCTGATGGACCGTGTGATGCTGTGGGTATAACGATAACTCCCCCAAACGTAATCATAATACCACAGTGACACAGACCTCACTTCAAACCTACCATCTGGCCTGGGGAAACCCGGGATGTCCAGGGCTGACCTGAGGAGGCAGCAGGGCACCGAGGGGAGGCTGTGGGCCCAGCGCTCTCAGGTCTACTGCAGGAACACTCGGGTCTGTCCCTCGCTTATGTGGATAGTGTCCGCGTCCAACTGTGTCCTGAGGCTCCACCTCAGGCTGGCATCTGTCCCTATGTCCCTACCCACCCCATGGCCATGTCCTTTCGGGTTCATAAATTGCCCCCAAATCACGCAGGCACCATTCTGGGGCTTTTTATATTCCCAGGGCCACCAGATGCCTCCACCCAGAAAGGTCAGATGTGGGAGAGTTCCAGAGTCATTCCCCAACCCTGGATGAGCTTCTGCAGCCTCAGTGCTACTCAGGTTCCAGCAAGACCTGGAGCAGGTGCAGGTGAGGCCGGAGGCCAGGTGAGGTCCAGGTCAGGTGAAGCCCAGGCCAGGTGAGGTCCAGGTCAGGTGAGGCCCAGGCCAGGTGAGGTCCAGACCAGGTGAGGTCCAGGTCAGGGGAGGCTGAGGTGGATGTGTGAGGCTTCTGCAGTTTTCTCTGGGTGCTCACCCTGCCTGGTGTCCCTGCCCCTCCTCTCAGCACCCACTCTGTGCCTGCAAGGTGGTGGCCCGTGCACAGGTGGTGGTGGCTGTGGAGGAGCTGGGCTCTGCCTCCCTGTGCGTGGGCGTCCCTCTCGGGCTCTGCCTGGGCAGTGTGGCTGAGCTGCTTCTCTCTGGAATTCACTGACTGTGCCATCCTTGGGGGTATACAGCCCTGCGCTTGCTCCACATCAGGCCCCAGGAGCTGCCAGCATGTACCAGCCTGCCCTGCCACACAGTGTGCCTGCAACCTGTCCGGGGATCCCAGGGAGGTGAGTGCCACCACACATCAGGCCTTTTCTCTTTAAAGTCATTTCTTTGGGGATACATCATCGATGTCTCATGTACTAAATGTATGTCTGTATCATTGTGCAATTGCCTGTGTCATCATTTATTTATCCAACCTGGGTTAATGTCTTTGCTATTATGAATAGTGCTGGACTGAGAATTTTCTAAACACAGCTGTGTGCATTTTCCTCTTCTTGCGATTTAGAAGTTTAACTGCTGTATTCAAGGTACTGTAATGTATTCGTTCTGTGCTTGCTTGGAGACTTGCCGACTCTGTGTGTCTCAGCTCATACCCTCTTCCTTCCCCAGTAGAAGTAACCACAACTGTGTTTATGTGATCATCGTTTTCTTAATTTTCCTTGTAGTTTTTCCAGGGGAAAGTTTATCCCTTAAGAAGACAGTTCATTTTGCCTGGTGTAAATTTTATTTAGAAGAAATCACATTAAAAGTATTTTTTGGGCTTTCCTCTGTTACTCCAATTACTCAGCATTGTCATGAACTCAACCGCAAAGCCGCCTGTAGCCCTCTACTGTTGTCCCCTGGCTGTCTGGGTTTGCATTGCATGAACCTACCATTGCTTATTTGACTGTTCTTCAGATGGACGTTTGCTCTGTTCTCAGTTTGAGTCTATGATAATCAGCTGTTCTGCACATCTTTCCCCATGACGCTCTCAGGGAGGGCTCTGGGGCTGGCATTGCCTGAGGGTTCTGCTTTGTCGCAGGGAGATCCTGCCAGGGCTTTTCAGAGTGTCTGTGCCCAGCAGCAATGCCTGAAGGTGCCCACTGAACTTTGTCCTTGCATCAGGCACTTTCTGTGTGTTTGCTTCTGTACTGCTCCACATTCTGGAGAGTTTATTCAGATCTATGCTGCAAATTCATCTCACTGATTCTCTCTTTAGCTGTGTCTACATCAGCTCTTAAGCATCCCATGATGCAATAGTGTGGTCACAAGGCAAACTTTTGAAAGATGACAGTGTAGGATAGCGGCTGCTCCTCCTTCCCTGTGCTCTTCCCACAGACTGCCCTCCTGGGCTCATTCCCAGCCACTGATCTTGAACACCAGTTTATGGAACTCTCTGCACAGGAAAGCAGAAACAGCAAAAGGCCCTGCTCAGGCTCTGCCTGCATCCCCTCTTGCACACCCGCCAAAGCTCTTTCCTTGGGGCCTGTGCAAGCTTCCCAGAGCCTCTCATTTTCTGTTTACCCTGCTCGCTGGCTGGTGGGGTGGTGTTTGGCGGGCAGTCTGGTGCATTTTGGACATTGATAGACACCCCTGGACCCTACTTCCCAGACGCTCCCCCAGCCCCTCAGCCCCAGGAGTGGGTGTGTTTGCAGTAGGGCTTTGGGAATGGGTCTGTGTCACTGTGGGAGTAGCAGCTACCACCACTACAATATCCTCACAGTGACACGAGCCCCCACAAAATCCTCCTGTCCCTACTGGTGTCACCGAGGTCCCTTTTGCTGGCTTTGGTCTGTTCTCCTGCTGAGACTGTGCATTCCAGCGGGTTGTTGTCTGAAACTCAGGGTGTCTCAGAGAGGACTCTGAGCCCAGTGCTGTATAGGGGGCTCCTCCTTTGTCCTGGGGGAGTTGCGTGGACCCTGTTTTTGGTCAAGGGAAGCATTTGATGGTGAAGGAGATCTCCCCTCCTCTCTTTCTCGGGAGCCCCCTCTGATACTGTTGCCTGGTGTTTCTTGGGGCTGGTGCTGGGGGCTCAGCAGTCTCTGCCCTGTTCCAGGTGGGGCTGTGGGTGTGTTATGTTTCCTAGGTGTGTTATGGGGCCACCATTGAGGAGCTCGGGATGTCAGCGGCTGGTCTCTGTCCCTATGGTATGGGCTCCGGCTCACTGCTCCCCTGCCCTCCAGGTCGGTCATTGACTCAGTTACTATCCAGCAGCCTCTGTGGCTGTTTGGTGGTGGCTGCAGGTCTCTTCCCAGGAGAGGCCTGTGAGAGGACTGGGATGTCTGGGAGCCCTGCATTCTCCCGTGATGCTGCTGCCTGGATCCCTTGTCTTTAGAGGGAGTGCGGAGCCTCCCTGCAGGTGCGGGCAGTGAGAGACACGGGGGGACGTGTGTCAAGGTGCTGGAGGCCGATTTCTTTCAGTGCCTTCTGCCTGTGGAAGGGCTGAGCTCCCTGCTTCTGTGCACAGGAGGCTCCCGTGTAACCGGGAAGTGAGGGCAAGAGCCCAGGCCTGCCTGGGAAAGACTTGGGTGAGCCTTTGTCCTGGAAATACCAGGGCTTGGCCTGAGAGGGGGCGGGGTCGGAGTGGCCAGGAGGAAGGTGAGGGCATGGGCTGTGGGTGGTGGGAGGGCAGGGTCAATGCCATGGCTCAGGGGCTCCAGGAGAAGAAGAGTTAGAGTTGTGGGCAGGAGGAGGTAGGGTGTGGGCACAGGGGGGAGAAACTGAGGCTCTAGCGACAGAAGAGGACAGGGCCTGCAGGTGCAGGGTTGGCCTGGGAGGGGTGTCTGGAGTGATACACAGGGGTCTGGGTGGAGACCAGGGTAGGGACTGCAGGGACAGGACCCCAGAGTTTTCTGGGTGGGCAGTAAGAGCAGCAGGGTTGGAAGGGCCCCAGGCAGGGTTGGGTCTCCCCAGGGTGTGGGCTGCAGGGACTGGCTGCACAGGCTGTTCCCCCGAAGGAGGAACCAGGGAGGACAGAGGCGCTGGGAGCAAATGGAGAAGGAAATGGCAGCCACCTGAGTGCCAGGCGGTCCTGGTTTGGGGTTGTTCTGTGTGGGAACAGCTTCCTGGCCTGTGTGTAAGTGGACGGGGGAGGGCGCCCAGGTCTGGGGCAGGAAGCAGTAGCAGGAAGGCAGGTTCTGGCCCTGGGGGTCTGGAGCTTATCTTCTTCCTGTGAGCTGTGTGTGGGTGGCTCCTGCACCCGGTGCCCTGGACCTGTGGTCTGGTGGAGCCCAGGCCTCCCAGGGACAGCAGGGCAGCCTGGGCTGCAGGAACCTCAGGGACCAGGTCAGGGTGGCCCTCGGGCCTCTGCCTCCACTTGCGACAGGCGCTGCTGTGGGAACCTGGGCTTGAGGCCCCTTCACTCATGATGGGAGCCACGTGAGTGAGACCCTAAGTCCATACCCCATGTGGGGCTCTGACCCTCCTGCAGAGCCGCTGGGCAGGGGTGGGTGGGGTGTGCAGGTGGGGGTGGGGTGGGGAGCTCAGCCCCTCCCAGAGGCACCCTGCTCTGCTCCAGAGTGTGTGCTTGGGCACTGCAGGGTGGCTGGGCCTGGGCTGCCTGGTGTGCTTGTGGTGGCTTCATCCCCAGAGCTGGGACTGAGGCCCAGTGGGGTCCAGGGAGGAGTCTGAATGGGGCTCCAAGGAGCACCTGCCTTGGATGGCACCCTTATCTTGGGGAGGACATGGGGTCCAGCTGGGAGGAAGGGGAGTGGCCACCTCCTGGAGGTCTTTCCAGGGCCACCTCAGCCTGTGGCCTCTGTGCTTGGCGACCTGCCAGAAGTTCCTCCTGGCCCAGACCCCAAAGTCTGTGCTGCCCCAGGAAAGGAAGGAAAGGTCTGCGTCCTGGTCAAGGTCGGGGTCACACTGGTGTCCCCTAAGCCCAAGTCTGCTCCCAAGGCCTCGCCCGGCAGCAGGTCCTGAGTGAGGGACAGAGGCAGAGGCAGGGTCTTTGGTCCTGGTGGACTCTACGGCGAATTCCAGTGGGAAGTCATCAGGGTCGGGGTCCCCCAGGGTATTGGGGTGTCTCTGCTCCTGGAGTTGGCTCTGGATGTGGGGTTTGTGCCTGTGCTGCCTGGGGTTGATGTTGGGAGGCGCCGGTGATGCCTGTCTCTCTGAGGACACTTGTCAGAAGGGTCAACTCCAGCCAGGGGCACTGGAGCCACGGCAGAAGGATGCGATCAAGCCCCTGCCCCGACCCGCCGGAATCCCCAGCTCTTGTCCTCCCATCCAGTGGGGACACTGTGGGGCTCCGCGTGCTGGGGGTCATGGGAGCCGGCAGGACATGGGATCAGAGTGGCTGCTGCCCTCTCTGGCGGGGCCTCCGGCAGTGGCCACTGGACAGTTTTTGACGTAGCTATTCTGACAGTGGTGGTTCCGGTTATACCCGCTGTGACTCGGGGCTGTTCGGAATCCGACGGGGCGCCCTGAGCTCTGGGGCCTCCTGGGTGGGGGCTGGGCTTGTGGGCGGGGTCTCCTGCGGGGGCTCCGGAGGCTGTGGCTCATTTTAGGTGTGGGGTGAGCACTGTGAGCCCCAGCTAGCGGAACACCCACAGAGACCGAGGCCTGCACACATTCCGCCCCGGTGTGTGGGGTGGGCCCAGGACTCTCTGGGCAGGTCAGCCTCAATGGGGAGAGTGCTCGGGACCTGCCTAACTCCTCCTTGGTGTACAGGGGACCCATCTCCTCACCCTAGACCCCCCCTCAGGCCGCCCCTGATCTTGCAGAAATGCAGGACAGGGTGGGGTGCCCTGGAGGGGAGACGTCTGCTGGCCTGGGTGTCAGGTGCAGTCTCAGATCCTAAACGTGTCCTCCCTGCTCTCTCTGCTTCCGCTGACTTGGAATGGGGTTTCTGGCTGGGTGAGTGTCACTGTGGTACCAGCTGCTGCTATACCCCACTGTGACACAGACACCTTCAGAAACCTCCTGGTCTGTTTGGGGGCCTTCCCTTGCTGGGCTCAACACCCCTTGGTTTTGTCTGGCTTTGACGGGGCGTCCCTCAACCCTGGTTCTGGGGGGCCTGCGCCTCTGTCTGGTGTCTGGAATAGGGGTCCAAGTCAGGGGTCAGCTGCCTCCCGACCTGCAGAGGCTGGAGACAGACGTTCCTCTCAGGGTGTGGGCTGGGTGGTCCTGGATGGAGCTGACATCTGTGCCTGTATCGGGGGCCCCATATCTTGCTCCTTCATGGCTCTTAGCTCCCCCTGGCAGGACCTCCTCAGGGTGCTGGGTCTGTCCTGTCTGGGTGGGGCTGCCACCCAGGCCCAGTTGTTGGACGTCGTGGGCTGGCCTGGGGGGTGCAGGGTGCAGAGCAGGAAGGGGCGCACTCTGGTGGGGCATGTCCCGGTCATCCCTGTGCTCATGCCATTTCCTGCCTTGGGCACCTGCATTCAACCCCGGCAAGGGCAGGGGTGGCCTCCCAGCCTACAGCCTGCCTGGGATCTGCTCTCGCCCTGGAACTGGGGACGGAGCCATCCTGGAGGTCAGCAGCCTCCTAGGACAGCAGGATTCCAGGCCAGCCCCTAGCGGGAGGCAGTGGGGATTTTGGCAGGGTCTGCGTTTTTGTCAGAGCTACCACCCAGAAGTGACAGTGAGAAATGCCCCAGCAATATGTCCCGTCCACAGCCGTCTGCCCACCCTGTCTTAGCCAGGGCTAGGGAGGGTGCTGTGTTTCTGGCAGGCCCAGCCCTTGACCTTCCTTGCAGGGATGAGGCCCTGAGAAGCTGAGCTGCTGGTGGTACTGGAAGAGGTCTCCAGGGCAGGGGGTTGAGCATTAATCGAGTGGCCTGGGTGGGGCCGGATCCTCCTGTAGGCTGGTCACTCAGGGTTTGGCATCTCTGGCTGATCCCTGCAGCCAGGTACTGCCGGGGTACTCACAGTGCTCTGGGCCCACTGTCTGGGCTCACAGCCTCATTTCCAGGGGGCCGGGTGGTGCTCCAAGCCTCAGTTTCCCCACTGTGGAGGGGATGCTGCTGGAGGGATGAGGATCATAGAGGACAACCTGGCAGCTTCTGTGCCCGCTGCCCGTGGGACCCGGGCTGTGGGATGGGACAGGCTTCCCCATCAGGGCTGGGCCTGCCGGGGGCACAGCACTCTCAAATGCCCACAATGGGGGCTCCGTGGCTCTGTGACTCCGTGGCTCCGTGGTGCTGCCTGCACCTCTCAGGGCGGGAAGCTGCCTTTCCCTGCCAGCCTTTGATTTCTATCTCAATCATCCCTGCCCTGGAGCACAGACCTCCCACTGAGGGAACCCTCCCCACAGAGGGCCAGAGGACAGACAGCAGCCTTGAGAGCCCCAGGAGAAGCAGGTGAAGTGGATGCCTGGGGCTGCGCAGCAGGGGCCTGTCTACTTGGCCTGGTTGCTGCTATGGGCGGCACCACTGTGGTAATCGTAGCCACTATATCCACCACAGTCTGACATCGCCTGACAATAACCACACCTGGAACTGGAGGCGGGGCTGTCAGGAGGAGCTTCCCAGGGAACAGGGAGGGTCCAGACAGCTGAGCCAGGGGCCCCCAGGACTGGGGACGTGGGGGGCTGCTTAGGTACCAGACATGCACAGTGTCTCCCTGGAGAGGCCTCTGCAGCCTCCTGGGCTCTGGGGCAGGCCTCTGGTCAGCAGGAGGCTGGGTGCTCCCCGGCATGTGCTCTCCTGCCCTCACTGGTGAGCTCCTATGTGGCCCAGTGTGGGCCCAGCTCCAGCGTCCACTCCTGTCGGCCTGGCCGAGGGTCCCGGCAGAACTGGGCATGGCTCCTTCTTAGGGGCCTCGAGGACTCTCTCTACAGCTGTACCTGGGGCTGGGGGCTCCACGAGTGGTCTTTTCCAGGTGGGGACGACAATGGCAGGTGTTTCTCTAGTGGCAGGTGAGGGGAACTGTCCAGGGCCTGGCCCTGCGGAACACAGCGGCCTCTCAGAGGAGGGTGTGCGGGAGTCCTGCCTGTTGGGAGCCTGGCGGATGCTGCCTTCTTGATTCCAGCCAGGATGGGAATCCAGGCAATTGGCAGGAGGTACTGGAATGAGGCTGGTGTCTACAGCTATTCAGGGTCCCAGGAATTGGCTGTTGGAATCGGGGCATCTGTCAAGACAGGGTCTGGTATAGCTGGCAGGGAAGGGCCAGGTCACCTGTGGTCATGAGTGAGGTCACCTCAGAGCCCTCTGAAGCCCCTATTTGGAGGAAGATGGTGTGCAGGGCACCAGCCCAGGCTGAGATGGCCCAGGTGTCCCTAGAGGCTGAGGGTCTGGGCACAAATCCTTGGGCCCGGCTCTTGTGCTCCTGGAGAGCTCCAAGCTGAGGCGTGCACACAGCCCCTGGGTTTCCAGCCAGTTTTTGCCACTGGGTTCATCACTATGGTAGTTACTGTAGTCACACAGCAGGAGGGCCCTTCACAAAAAGCCCGAGTGTGGCCAGAGACCTTTCCCACGCAGGCCCTGGTCCAGGCATTTGGGGCCCCTATTGACAGCGGTGCTGCGTCCTGGGGATCTCAGGCCGCTGTGATGCCACTGAGGACTGTCCTGGAAGAGGGTGTCCACTGGGGAGAGAGGCAGGGATTTCTGGAAGGTTCTTTGTCTCTGAATGTGGGAGGCGAGTCCTCTGTTGGCTTCCCCGGTGAGGTCTGGAAATGAGCAGGACTCAGGACGGCCGGGCAGGATGAGCGACGCCCAGCTCCGGCTGTCCCCAGGAATGTCTTCTGTCTTGGAAATGACCCAGGAGAGGCTCAGGTGTCAGGGCCAGGCAGGCCAGGGACCACAGGGGCAGGGACAGTGCACAGGGCCAGCCCCTCCCTCCTGGTGCCCCTACTCAGACATGAGGGCTCTCAGTGTCCACACATGTGGCCCAGCCTTGAGGGAGGGGCTTCTGGGATCGCTGGCCTGATGGCAGCAGATGGTGCTGTGAGGCCGTCCCTGTCCCATTTGGACTGGCGTTGGGAGGGCAGCAGCGATGCAGACCCCTCGGAGCCAGATCTGGATGACCTGTAGGGTGACCTTGGCCATCTGTTTCATGATCTCCAGGGCTGGCAGGCTGGAGCCCAGCGTGGTCAGTCACGGGCCTGTCCATCGTGCCTGCTGCCCTGCGGGTTTGGGTCACAGGCTGCACTGCTGTGGTAGCCACCATACCCATGGTGCTGTCTCCTCGATCAAAATCCTAACATGGCACGTACCGGTCCCCTGCAGGGAGGGCTGTGGCGGGAGGCTCCCAGGGATGGGTTTTTGATGGACTCTGTGACACTGTGGTTATAATAACTCCCCGAACCATAGTAATACCACAGTGACACAGACCTCACCCCAAACCTACCGCCCAGCCTGGGGAAACCCGGGATGTCCGGGGCTGACCTGAGGAGGCAGCAGGGCCCCATGGGGAGGGCTGTGGCGGGAAGCTTCCAGGCATGGGTTTTTGATGGACTCTGTGACACTGTGGTTATAATAACCAGTCAAAATATCGTAATACCACAGTGACACAGACCTCATTCTAAACCTACCGGCAGGCCTGGGGAAACCTGGGATGTCCAGGGCTGACCGGAGGAGGCAGCAGGGCTCTGAGGGGAGGCTGTGGGCCCAGCGCTCTCAGGTCTGCTGTGGGGACACTCGGGTCTATCCCTCGCTTATGTGGATAGTGTCCGTGCCCACCTGTGTCCTGAGGCTCCACCTCAGGCTGGCATCTGTCCCTATGTCCCTACCCACCCCATGGCCATGTCCTTTCGGGTTCATAAGTTGCCCACAAATCACAGAGTCATCATTCTGGAGATTTTTATATTCCCAGGGCCACCAGCTGCCTCCACCCAGAAAGGTCAGATGTGGGAGACTTCTAGAGTCATTCCCCAACCCTGGATGAGCTTCTGCACCCTCAGTGCTACTCAGGCTCCAGCAAGACCTGGAGCAGGTGCAGGTGAGGCCCGAGGCCAGGTGAGGTCCAGGTCAGGTGAAGCCCAGGCCAGGTGAAGTCCAGGCCAGGTGAGGTCCAGGCCAGATGAGGTCCAGGTCAGGTGAGGCCCAGGCCAGGTGAAGCCCAGGCCAGATGAGGTCCAGGTCAGGGGAAGCCAAGGCCAGGTGAGTTCCAGGACAGGTTAAACCCAGGTCAGGAGACGTTCAGGTGAGTTGAGGCCCAGGTCAGGTAAAGCTTGGGACAGGCGAGGTCCAAGTCAGGTGAGGCCAAGGTCAGGTGAAGCCCAGGTTAAGTGAGGCCCAGGCCAGTGAGGTCCAGGTCAGGGGAGGCTGAGGTGGATGTGTGAGGCGTCTGCAGTTTTCTCTGGGTGCTCACCCTGCCTGGTGTCCCTGCCCCTCCTCTCAGCACCCACTCTGTGCCTGCAAGGTGGTGGCCCGTGCACAGGTGGTGCTGGCTGCGGAGGTGCTGGGCTCTGCCTCCCTGTGCGTGGGCGTCCCTCTCGGGCTCTGCCTGGGGAGTGTGGCTGAGTTGCTTCTCTCTGGAATTCACTGACTGTGCCGTCCTCCGGGATATATGGCCCTGCGCTTGCTCCACATCAGGCCCCAGGAACTGCCAGCAGGTACCCGCCTGCCCTGCTGCACAGTGAGCCTGCAACCTGTCCGGGGATCCCAGGGAGGTGAATGCCACCACACATCAGCCCTTTATCTCTTTAAAGTCGTTTATTTGGGGATACATCATCGATGTCTCATATACTAAATATATGTCTGTATCATTGTGCAATTGCCTGTGTCATCGCTTATTTATCCGACCTGGGTTAATGTCTTTGCTATTATGAACAGTGCTGGACTGAGAATTTTCTAAACACAACTGTGTCCATTTTCCTCTTCTTGCAATTTAGAAGTTTAACTGCTGTTTTCAAGGTACTGTAATGTATTCGTTCTGTTCTTGTTAGGAGACTTGCCCACCCTGTGTATCTCAGTTCATACCCTCTTCCTTCCCCAGCAGAAGTAACCACCACTGTGTTTATGTGATCATCCTTTTCTTGGTTTTCTTTATGGTTTTCTAACTGGGAAATGTATCCCTTAAGAAGACAGTTCATTTTGCAGGGTGTAAATTTTATTTAGAAGAAATCACATTGAAAGTATTTTTTGGAGTTTACTTTGTTACTCCAATTACTCAGCATTGTCATGAACTCAACCAGAGTCGCTTATAACCCTGTACTTTTGTGCTTGTGGCTGTCTGGGTTTGCATTTCATGAACCTGCCATCGTTTATTTGCCTGTTCTCCTTCAGATGGACGTTTGCTTTGCTCTCAGTTTGGGGCTATGAGAAACACCTGTTGTGCACATCTTTGCCCATGAGGCTCTCAGGGAGGGCTCTGGGGCTGGCATTGCCTGAGGGTTCTGCTTTGTCACAGGGAGTTCCTGCCAGGGCTTTTCAGAGTGTCTGTGCCCAGCAGCAATGCCTGAAGGTGCCCACTGAACTTTGTCCTTGCATCAGGCACTTTCTGTGTGCTTGCTTCTGTGCTGCTCCACATTCTGGAGAATTTATTCAGATCTGTGCTGCAAATCCATCTCACTGATTCTCTCTTTAGCTGTGTCTACATCAGCTGTTAAGCATCCCATGATGCAGCAGTGTGGGCACAAGGCAAACTTTCGAAAGATGACAGTGTAGGATAGCGGCTGCTCCTCCTTCCCTGTGCTCTTCCCACGCTGTCCTCCTGGGCTCACTCCCAGCCATTGATCTCGAACACCAGTTTATGGAACTCTCTGCACAGGAAAGCAGAAACAGCAAAAGGCCCTGCTCAGGCTCTGCCCGCATCCCCTCTTACACACCCGCCAAAGCTCTTTCCTTGGGGCCTGTGCAAGCTTCCCCAGCTTGCTTCTCATTTTCTGTTTACTCTGCTCGCTGGCTGGTGGGTGTGATGTATGGAGGGGAGTCTGGTGCGTTTTGGGCATTGATGGACACCCCTGAGCCCTATTTCCCAGACGCTCCCCCAGCCCCTCAGCCCCAGAAGTGGAATGCGTTTGCAGTAGGGCTTTGGGAATGGGGCTGTGTCACTGTGGGTATAGCATACACCATTAGTACAATATCCTCACAGTGACACGAGCCCCCACAAAATCCTCCTGTCCCTGCGGGTGTCACTGAGCCCCATCTTGCTGGCTCTGGCTGGCTCTCCTGCTGAGACTGTGCATTCCAGGGGGTTTTTGTCTGAAACTCTGGGTGTCTTGGAGAGGACTCTGAGCCCAGTGCTGAACAAGGGGCTCCTCCTTTGTCCTGGGGGAGTTGCATGGATCCTGTCTTCGGTCAAGGGAAGCGCCTGCTGGTGAAGGAGACCTCCCCTCCTCTGTTCTGCCAGAGCCCCCTCTGATGCTGTTGCCTGGTGTTTCTTGGTTGGTTCTGGTGCTGGGTCTCAGCAGTCTCTGCCCTGGTCCAGGTGGGACTGTGGGTCTGTCCTCTTTCCATGGGGTGTTGTGGGACCACCAGTGAGTGGCTTGGGATGTCAGTGGCTGTCCTCTGGCCCTATGGTGTGGGCTCGGGCTCACTGCTCCCCTGCCTCCAGGTCTGGCAATGACTCCGTTACTACCCATCGGCCTCCAGGGAGGTTTGGTGTTAGACTCCGTTGACTGGGCGTCTTCAGGTCTCTTCCCAGGAGAGGCCTGTGAGAGGACTGGGATGTCTGGTAGCCCTGCATTCTCCTGTGATGCTGCTGCCTGGATCCCTCGTCTTTAGAGGGAGTGCCGAGCCTCCCTGCAGGTGCGGGCAGTGAGAGACACAGGCAGACGTGTGTCAAGGCGCTGGAGGCCGATTTCTTTCAGTGCCTTCTGCCTGTGGAAGGGCTGAGCTCCCTGCTTCTGTGCACAGGAGGCTGCCCTGTAACCGGGCAGTGAGGGTAAGGGCCCAGGCCTGCATGGGAAAGACTTGGGTAAGGCTTTGTCCCAGAAATACCAGAGCCAGGCCTGAGAGGGGAGTGGGGCTGGAGTGGCCAGGAGGAATGTGAGGGCATGGGCAGTGTGTGGGTGCGAGGGCACGGTCAATGCCATCCCTCAGGGGCCCTAGGAGAGGAAGAGCTCGAGCTGTGGGCAGGAGGAGCACGGGGGTGGGCACAGGCAGGAGAAACTGAGGGTCTTTGGCAGTGGAGGGGAGGGCCTGCAGGTGTAGGGTTGGCCTGGGAGAGGTGTTTAGAGGGAGGAAGACGGGTCTAGGTAGAGAACTGGGTGGGGGCTGTAGGGACAGGACCCCAGGGCTGTCTTGGTGGGTGGCAAGAGCAGCGGGGGAGAAAGGGCTGGAGGAGGGTCAGGTCTCCCCAGGGTGTGGGCTGCAGGGTCGGGTCTCCCCAGGGTGTGGACTGCAGGGAGGAGCTGCACAGGGTGCTCCCCCGAAGGAAGGAGGAGGGAGGAAGCACAGAGGCATTGGAAGTGAATGGAGAAGGAAATGGCAGTGACCTGAGTGCCAGGTGGTCCCCGTCTGGGGTTGGTCTGTGTGGGAACAGCTTCCTGGCCTGTGTGTAAGTGGACGGGGGAGGGCAACGAGGTCTGGGGCAGGAAGTCGTAGCAGCAAGGCAGGTCCCGGGCCTGGGGGTCTGGAGCTTATCTTCTTCCTGTGAGCTGTGTGTGGGCGGCCCCAGTGTGGGCGGTGCCCTAGACCTGTGGTCTGGTGGAGCCCAGGCCTCCCAGGGACAGCAGGGCAGCCAGGGCTAGAGGAGCCTGAGGGGCCAGGTCAGGGTGGCCCTGGGGCCACTGCCTCTACCTGTGACCAGCGCTGCTGGGGGGATCTGGGCATGAGACCCCTTCTCCCAGGAGGGGAGGTGCGTGAGTGAGACCCTAAGTCCATATCCCATGGGGGCTCTGACCCTCCTGCAGGGGGCCCGGGCAAGGGTGGGTGGGGTGTGCAGGTGGGGGTGGGGGTGGGGAGCCCAGCCCCTCCCAGACGCACCCTGCTCTCCTCCAGGGTGTGGGCTTGGGCACTGCAGGGTGGCTGGGCCTGGGCTGCCTGGTGTGCCCGTGGTGGCTGCATTCCTAGAGTGGGGACTGAGGCCCAGTGGGGTCTGGAGAGGAGCCTGAAGGGGGCTCCATGGAGGACCTGCCTTGGATGGCACCCCTATCTTGGGGAAGACATGGGGTCCAGCTGGGAGGAAGGGTAGTGGGCCACCTGCTGGGGTTCCCCCTGGGGCCACCTCAGCCTGGGGGCTCTGTGCTTGGTGACCTGCCAGAAGTTCCTCCCTGCCCAGACCCCAAAGTCTGTGCTGCACCAGGGCAGGAGGGAAGGGTCTGTGGCCTGCTCGAGGTCAGGCCCACAGTGGTGTCCCCTAAGCCTGAGTTTGCTCCCAAGTGCTCGCCCCGCAGCAGGCCCCAAGTGAGGGACAGAGATGGGACGGGAGTCATCAGGGTTGGGGTCCCCCAGGGTATTGGGGTGTCTCTGTTCCTGGAGTTGGCCCTGGATGTGGGGTTTGTGCCTGGGCTGCGTGGGGTTGATGTTGGGAGGTGCCACTGATCCCTGACTCTCTGAGGACACTTGTCAGAAGGGTCAACTCCAGCCAGGGGCACTGGAGCCACGGCAGAAGGAAGCCATCAAGCCCCTGCCCCGACCCGCCGGAGCCCCCGGCCCTTGTCCTCCCATCCAGTGGGGACACTGTGGGGCTCCAGGTGCACGGGGTCATGGGAGCCGGCAGAACATGGGTTTGGGGTGGCTGCTCCCCTCTCTGGCGGGGCCTCCGACTGTGGCCAGGAGACCGTTTTGGACGAAGCTTTTCTCACAGTGGTAGTTCCAGTTATACCCACTGTGACTCGGGGCTGTTCAGAATCCGACGGGGCGCCCTGTGCTCTGGGGCCTCCTGGGTGGGGGCTGGGCTTGTGGGCGGGGTCTCCTTCAGGGGCTCTGAGGCTGTGGCTCGTTTTAGGTGTGGGGTGAGCACTGTGAGCCCCAGCTAGCGGAACACCCACAGAGACCGAGGCCTGCACACATTCCGCCCCGGTGTGTGGGGTGGGCCCAGGACCCTCTGGGCAGGTCAGCCTCAATGGGGAGGGGGCTTGTGTCCTGCCTGGCTCCTTCTCTGGGTAGAGGGGACCCATCTCCTGGTCCTGGACCCCCTTCAGCCTGCCCTTGTTCTTCCAGAAATGCAGGACATGGCAGGGTGCCATGGACAGGAGACGTCTGCTGGCCTGGGTGTCAGGTGCGGCCTCAGATCCTAAACATGTCCTCCCTGCTCTCTCTGCATTCCGCTGACTTGGGATGGGGTTTCTGGCCTGGCGAGTGTCACTGTGGGACGAGCTGCTATACTCCACTGTGACACAGACACCTTCAGAAACTTCCTGGTTTGTTTGGGGACCTTCCCTTGCTGGGCTCAGCACAACTTGGTCTTTTCTGGCCTTGACGGGGCGTCCTCATCCCTGGTTCTGGGGGGCCTGCCCCTCTGTCTGGTGTCTGGAATAGGCGTCCAAGTCAGGAGTCAGCTGCCTCCTGGCCTGCAGGGACTAGAGAAAGGGGTTCCTCCCAGGGCAGGACGTGGCAGTCCTGAATGGAGCTGAGGTCTGTGCCTGTATCGGGGGTCCCATATCCTGCTCCTTCATGGCTCTGAGCTCCCCCTGGCAGGACATCCTCGGGGTGCTGGGTTCATCCTCTGTGGGAGGGGCTGCTACCCAGGCCCAGGACTGCAGTGGAGGGCTCACTGAGGGGCTTTTGGGTCTTGCCTGAGCCGCTGTGGAGGTATTCCACTGTGAGAGGGTCCCGCACAGATTCTCCCATCCTGCTTCTCCTCCCAGAGCCTGGAGGGGATGGGATCCGGGGGTCCCAGAGGAGGATCCTGGACCCAGGGGAGGGGGGCCTCTTCACTGAACTCCCCTTCCTCCATCCTTCCCTCCCCAAAGCTGCCCTGGCGGCCCCCCTGCACCCCAGCCTCTGTCTGCACTGGCTGTGCCGGCTCTGGTGTAGGTGGGACTTAGGATGGTGTGGACGACGTGTGGCCAGGGTGGAGAGGAGGTGGGTGAGTCCGTGGGTGAGAGAGATGGGCTCATCCAAGATGGAGCACCCGCGGGGCCCTGAGCCCTCCCCCACACCGTCCCTGGTCCTTCCCTGCAGCCTGCCACTGTGGGAGCCATAGGCAGGGTGGACCATACCCTCTAGGAGGCTGGCACCTCCCTGGGTTCACAAAGACGGAGCCTCCTGCCTGGTGGTGCAGTGGCCCCACTTCCTCCCTCAGCCCTTCCTGATGGCTTCCTGGGGATTCTGGATTCCCATGGGGTGATGAGAGGAGAGCAGATGGGAGGAGGGGCAGGGCTGGGTCCTGGGTAAGGGGGTGCTCGGGCTGGGGTCCCTGGAGAGAAGTTCTGGGCTCCTGGGGGCCAATCAGGCAAGCGTCCTTTCTGTCCACACCCCAAGGGTCCCAGCCAGAGCCAGGTGGGGGAACCATAAGGAGAGGGCGTGTCCTGTCCTCCCCAGTCCTCTAGACAGGGTGGGGGCTGAGGGGTCCTCCCTAGGGCAGCACCGGGCAGTGACTCTGGTGTGGGGTTGTCGGATGTCATGGGCTGGCCTTGGGGGTGCGGGGTACAGAGCAGGAGGGGGTGGACTCTGTTGGGGGATGGCCCGGTTATCCCTGTGTTCAGGCCATTTCCTGCCCTGGTCACCTGCAGTGAACCCTGGGAAGGAGGGGGTGGCCTCCCAGTCTGCAGCCGGCCTGGGATCTGCTCTCGCCCTGGAACTGGGGACGGAGCCATTCTGGAGGTCAGCAGCCTCCTAGGACTGCAGGAGATCAGGCCAGCCCCTAGCGGGGGAGGCCGTGGGGATTTTGGCGAGGACTGCGTTGTTTGGGAGCCAGTGCCCCACTAGGCACAGTGACAGATACCCCAGCAGGATGTCCTGTCCCCGCCAGGCTGCCCACCCTATCTTAGCCGCGGCATGTGAGGTTGCCCATCCATTGGCCTTCCTTGCAGGAATGAGGCCCTGGGATGTTGAGAACAGATCTCCCACTGAGGGAACCCTCCCCACAGAGGGGAGAGTGCAGAAAACAGCAGCCTTGAGAGCCCCAGGAGAAGCAGGTGAGCTGGAGGCCTGGGGCTGCACAGCAGGGGCCTGTCTACTTGGCCTGGTTGCTGCTATGGGCAGCACCACTGTGGTAACCATAGCTGTATCCACCACAGTCTGACACCCCCTGACAATAACCACACCTGGAACTGGAGGCGGGGCTGTCAGGAGGAGCTTCCCAGGGAATAGAGAGGGTCCAGACAGCTGTGCCAGGGGCCCCCAGGACTGGGGACATGGGGGGCTGCTCAGGGACCAGACATGCACAGTGTCCCCCTGGAGAGGCCTCTGCAGCCTCCTGGGCTCTGGGACGGGCCTCTGGTCAGCAGGAGGCTGGGTGCTCCCCGGCATGTGCTCTCCTGCCCTCACTGGTGAGCTCCTATGTGGCCCAGTGTGGGCCCAGCTCCAGCGTCCACTCCTGTCAGCCTGGCCGAGGGTCCCGGCAGAACTGGGCATGGCTACTTCTTAGGGGCCTCAGAGACTCTCTCTATGGCTGTACCTGGGGCTGGGGGCTCCATGAGTGGTCTTTTCCAGGTGGGGACATCTACAGCAGGCATTTGTCTAGTGGCAGGTGAGGGGGACTGTCTGCAGCCTGGCCCTACGGAACACAGCGGCCTCTCAGAGGAGGGTGTGGGAGTCCTGCCTGTTGGGAGCCTGGGGGATGCTGTCCTCTTGATTCCAACCGGGATGGGAATCCAGGCAATTGGCAAGAGGTGTTGGAAGGAGGCTGGTGTCTACAGCGATTCCTGGCCCCAGGAATTGGCTGTTGGAATCGGGGCATCTGTCAGGACGGGGTCTGGTGCAGCTGGCGGGGAAGGGGCCAGGGCACCTGTGGTCATCAGTGAGGTCACCTCAGAGCCCTCTGAAGCCCTTGTTTGAAGGCAGACGATGTGTGGGGCACCAGCCCATGGGCTGTCATGGCCAAGATGTCCCTAGAGGCCGAGGGTCTGGGCAGAAACCCTTGGGCCCGGCTCTTCTGATCCTGGAGAGCTCTGAGCGGAGAAGTGTGCATAAACCTTGGGAGTCCGGTCAGTTTTTGCTGCTGGGTTCATCACTGTGGTAGTTACTGTAGTCACACAGTAGGAGGACCCTTCACAAAAAGCCCCTGAGTGTGCCCAGAGGCCTTTCCCACGCAGGCCCTGGTCCAGGCGTCTGGGGCCCCCATTGACAGTGGTGCTGCGTCCTGGGGATCTCAGACCTTTCTGAATCTTCTCCGCCTGCCATCGAGGGCAGGAGGGTCTGACTCACCCTTGCGCGCTCCTGTCCCTTCCAGGAGGGGCTGAGGTGATGTCTGGCAGGAGGGTGTGCAGGAGTCAGTCCTCCTGGAGTTTGAGCCCTGGGGCAGATGCAGGGGGTGGGACGCCTTTTAGGGGTCTGGGAAGGGCTGGGCTGTGGGGCTGTCCCTGTGGGCCATCTTGTGTTCTGGGGGCAGTCCCGATCCAGATGTGGGTTCCCACTGTGATATCACTGAGGACTGCCCTGGAAGAGGGTGCCCACTGGGGAGAGAGACAGAGATTTCTGGAAGGTCTTTGTCTCTGCCTGTGGGAGGTGATTCCTCTGTTGGCTTCCCGGGTGAGGTTTGGAAAGGCGCAGGACTCAGGATGGCCAGGCAGGATGATGGACTCCCAGCTCCAGCTGTCCTGGGAATGTCTTCTGTCTTGGAAATGACCCAGGAGAGGCCCAGGTGTCAGGGCCAGGCAGGCCAGGGACCACAGGGGCAGTGACAGTGCACAGGGCCAGCCCCACCTTCCTGGTGCCCCTACTCAGACATGGGGGGCTCTCAGGGTCCACACATGTGGCCCAGCCTTGAGGGAGGGGCTTCTGGGACTGTTGGCCGGATGGCAGCAAATGGTAATGTGGGCCGGCCCTGTCCCCATCCGGACTGGTATTGGAGGGCAGCAGCGATGCAGACCTGTTGGACTGAGGTCTGGCTGACCTATGGGATAATCCTGGCCATCTGTTTCATGGTCTCCAGGGCTGGCAGGCAGGAGCTCAGGGTGGTCACTTGTGGGCTTGTCTGTTGTGCCTGCTGCCCTGTGTGTTTGGGTCACAGGCTGCACTGCTGCGGTAGCCACCATACCCATGGTGCTGTGTCCTCAGTCAAAATCCTAACATGGCACGCAGCGGTGCCCCACAGGGAGGGCTGTGGCAGAAGGTTCCCAGGGATGGGTTTTTGATGGACTCTGTGACACTGTGGGTATAATAACCACTCCAAAAATCGTAATACCACAGTGACACAGACCTCACCCCAAACCTACCGCCAGGCCTGGGGAAACCCGGGATGTCCAGGGCTGACCTGAGGAGGTAGCAGGGCACCGAGGGGAGGCTGTGGGCCCAGCGCTCTCAGGTCTACTGCGGGGACACTCGGGTCTGCCCCTGGCTTAGGTGGACAGTGTCCGTGCCCACCTGTGCCCTGAGGCTCCATTTCAGGCTGATATCTGTCTGTATTGTCCCTACCCGCTGCATGGCCATGTCCTTTTGGGTTTATAAATTGCCCCCAAATCACGCAGGCATCATTCAGGCTTTTTATATTCCCTGGGCCACCAGGTGCCTCCACCCAGAAAGCTGAGATGTGGGAGGTTCTAGAGTCATTCTGCAACCCTGGATGAGCCCCTGCAGCCTCAGTGCTACTGAGGTTCCAGCAAGACCTGGAGCAGGTGCAGATGAGGCCTGAGGCCAGGTGAAGCCCAGGCCAGGTGAGGTCCAGGCCAGTGAGGCCCAGGTCAGATGAGGCCCAGGTCAGGTGAAGCCCAGGTCAGGTGAAACCCAGGTCAGGTGAGGCCCAGATCATGTGAGCTCAGGACAGGCAAGGTCCAAGTCAGGTGAGGCCGAGCTCAGGTGAAGCCCAGAGGTGAGGTCTAGGCCAGGTGAGGTCCAGGCCAGGTGAGGTCCAGGTCAGGTGAGGCCCAGGTCAGGCAAGGCTGAGGTAGATGTATGAGACTTCTGTAATTTTCAGTTGGTGCCAACCCTGCCTGGTGTCCCTGCCCCTCCTCCCAGCCCATGCTCTGTGCCTGCCAGATGGCGGCCCCTGCACAGGTGCTGCTGGCTGTGGAGGAGCTGGGCTCTGCCTCCCTGTGCATGGGCGTCCCTCTCGGGCTCTGGCCTGGGAGTGTGGCTGAGTTGCTTGTCTCCGGAATGTACCAACTGTGCCGTCCTTGGGGGTATATGTCCTCGGGGGGATACGGCTCTGTGCCTGCTCCACATCAGGCCCCAGGAGCTGCCAGCAGGTACCAGCCTGCCCTGCCACACAGTGTGCCTGCAGCCTGTCCGGGGATGCCCAGGGAGGTGAGTGCCACCACATATCAGGCCTTTTCTCTTTAAAGTCATTTCTTTGGGGATACATCATCAATGTCTCATATACTGAATGTATGTCTGTATCATTGTGCAATTGCCTGTGTCATCGTTTATTTATCCAACCTGGGTTAATGTCTTTGCTATTATGAACAGTGCTGGACTGAGAATTTTCTAAACACAGCTGTGTGCATTTTCCTCTTCTTGCAATTTAGAATTTTAACTGCTGTTTTCAAGGTACTGTAATGTATTTGTTCTCTTCTTGTTAGGAGACTTGCCAACCCTGTGTGTCTCAGTTCATACCCTCTTCCTTCCCCAGTAGAAGTAACGACCACTGTGTTTATGTGATCATCCTTTTCTTGATTTTCCTTATAGTTTTCCTAGTGGAAAGTTTATCCCTTAAGAAGATAGTTCATTTTGCCGGCTGTAAATTTTATTTAGAAGAAATCACATTGAAAGTATTTTTTGGACTTTCCTTTGTTACTCCAATTACTCAGCATTGTCATGAACTCAACCACAGAGTCACCTGTAACCCTCACTGTTGTCCTTCTGGCTGTCTGGGTTTGCATTTCATGAACCTGCCATCGTTTATTTGCCTGTTTTCCTTCAGATGGCTGTTTGCTTCATTCTCAGTTTGGGGCTATGACAAACATATGTTCTGCACATCTTTGCCCATGAGGCTCTCAGGGAGGGCTCTGGAGCTGGCATTGCCTGCAGGGCTCTGCTTTGTTGCAGGGAGTTCCTGCCAAGGCTTTTCAGAGTGTCTGTGCCCAGCCTGAAGGTACACACTGTACTTTGCCCTTGCATCAGGCACTTTCCTTGTGCTTGCTTCTGTGTGGCTCCACATTCTGGAGAATTTATTCAGATCTGTGCTGCAAATCCATTTCACTGATTCTCTCTTTAGCTGTGTCTACATCAGCTGTTAAGCATCCCATGATGCAGCATTGTGGGCACAGGGCAAACTCTTGAAAGATGACAGTGTAGGATAGCGGCTGCTTCTCCTTCCCTGTGCCCTTCCCACACTGTCCTCCTGGGCTCACTCCCAGCCATCGATCTTGAACACCAGTTTATGGAACTATCTGCACAGGAAAGCAGAAACAGCAAAAGGCCCTGCTCAGGCTCTGCCCGCATCCCCTCTTGCACACCCGCCAAAGCTCTTTCCTTGGGGCCTGTGCAAGCTTCCCAGCTGCTTCTCATTTTCTGTTTACTCTGCTCACTGGCCAGTGGGGTGATGTCTGGGGGGGAGTCTGGTGCGTTTTGGGCATTGATGGCCACCCCTAGGCCCTACTTCCCAGACGCTCCCCCCAGCCCCTCAGCTCCAGAAGTGGAAGCGTTTACAGCAGGGCTTTGGGAATGGGGCTGTGTCACTGTGGGCATAGCAGCTGGTACTACTACAATATCCTCACAGTGACACGAGCCCCCACAAAATCCTCCTGTCCCCGCGGGAGTCACTGAGTCCCCTCTTGCTGTCTCTGGCTAGTTCTCCTGCTGATACTATGATTTCCAGGGGGTTTTTGTCTGAAACTCAGGGTGTGTTGGAGAGGACTCTGAGCCCAGTGCTGTACAGGGGGCTCCTCCTTTGTCCTGGGGGAGTTGCGTGGACCCTGTTTTTGGTCAAGGGAAGTACTTGCTGGTGAAGGAGACCTCCCCTCCTTTCTTTCTCAGGAGCCCCCTCTGATGCCGTTGCCTGGTGTTTCTCAGGGCTGGTGCTGGGGGCTCAGCAGTGTCTGCCCTGTTCCAGGTGGGAATGTGGGTCTGTTCTGTTTCCACGCGGTGTTCTGGGGCCGCCAGTGAGGGGCTCGGGATGTCAGCGGCTGGTCTCTGTCCCTATGGTCTGGGCTCCGGTTCACTGCTCCCCTGCCCTCCAGGTCGGTCACTGACTCAGTTACTATCCAGCGGGCTCCGTGGCTGTTCAGTGGTGGCTGCAGGTCTCTTCCCAGGAGAGGCCTGCGAGAGGGCTGGGCTGTCTGGGAGCCCTGCATTCTCCCATGATGTTGCTGCCTGGATCCCTCGTCTTTACAGGGAGTGCCGAGCCTCCCTGCAGGTGCGGGCAGTGAGAGACACAGGCGGACGTGCATCAGGGTGCTGGAGGCCGATTTCTTTCAGTGCCTTCTGCCTGTGGAAGGGCTGAGCTCCCTGCTTCTGTGCACAGGAGGCTGCCGTGTAACCGGGCAGTGAGGGCAAGGGCCTGCATGGGGAAGACTTGGGTGAGCCTTTGTCCTGGAAATACCAGGGCTGGGTCCAAGAGGGGAGCAGGGTCAGAGTGTCCAGGAGGAAGGTGAGGGCATGGGCAGTGTGGGGGTGGGAGTGCACGGTCAGTGCCATGGCTCAGGGGCCCCAGGAGAGGAAGAGCTCGAGTTGTGGGCAGGAGGAGGCAGGGGGTAGGCACAGAGGGTAGAAACTGAGGCTCTGGCAGCAGAAAAGGGGAGGGCCTGCATGTGCAGGGTTGGCCTGGGAGGGGTGTCTGGAGGGAGAGACAGGGGTCTGGGTGGAGACCAGGGTGTAGGCTGCAGGGATGGGACCCCAGGGTTGTCTGGATGGGCAGGAAGAGCAGCGGGGGAGAAAGGGCTGGAGGCAGGGTTGGGCCTCCCCAGGGTGTGGGGTGCAGGGAGGGGCTGCACAGGCTGTTCCCCTGAAGGAGGGAGGAGGGAGGGAGCACAGAGGTGCTGGGAGCAAATGGAGAGGGAAGTGGCAGCGGCCCGAGTGCCAGGCGGTCCCGGTTTGGGGTTGATCTTTGTGGAACAGCTCCCTGGCCCGTGTGTAAGTGGTCGGGGGAGGCACGGAGGTCTGGAGCTACAAGCGGTGGCAGGAAGGCAGGTCCCAGTCTTGGGGGTCTGGAGCTTATCTTCTTCCTGTGAACTGAGTGTGGGCAGCACCTATGGGCGGTGCCCTGGACCTGTGGTCTGGTGGAGTCCAGGCCTCCCAGGGACAGCAGGGCAGCCAGGGCTAGAGGAGCCTGAGGGTCCAGGTCAGGGTGGCCCTGGGGCCACTGCCTCCACCTTTGACCAGCTCTGCTGTGGGGATCTGGGCATGAGACCCCTTCACCCAGGAGGGGAGCCGCGTGAGTGAGACCCTAAGTCCATACCCCATGGGGGGCTCTGACCCTCCTGCATAGGGCCTGGACAGGGGTGGGTGGGGTGTGCGGGGGGCGGTGGGGAGCCCAGACTCTCCCAGACACAGCCTGCTCTGCTCCAGAATGTGGGCTTGGGCACTGCAGGCTGGCTGGGTCTGGGCTGCCTGGTGTGCCTGTGGTGGCTGCATTCCCACAGCCGGGACTGAGGCCTAGTGAGGACCAGGGAGGAGCCTGAAGGGAGCTCCATGGAGGACCTGCCTCGGATGACACCCCTATCTTAAGAAGGTCATGGTGGGTTCCAGCTGGGAGGAAGGGAAGTGGGCCACCTCCTGGGGGTCTTCCACCCCCACCACCTCAGCCTGGGGCCTCTGTGATTCCTCTCTGCACAGACCCCAAAGTCTGTGCTGCCGCAGGGCAGGAAGGAAGGGCCTGTGGCCTGGTCGAGGTTGGGGCCACAGTGGTGTTCCCTAAGCCCGAGTCTGGTCTCATGGCCCGCCCCGCAGCAGGTCCTGAGTGAGGGACAGAGACCGGGGCGGGGTCTTTGGTCCTGGTGGACTCTGGGGTGGATTCCAGTGGGGAGTCATCAGGGTCGGTGTCCCCCAGGGTACTGGGGTGTCTCTGCTCCTGGAGTCGGCTCTGGATGTGGGGTTTATGCCTGTGCTGCCTGGGGTTGATGCTGGGAGGTGCCAGTGACCCCCGTTTCCCTGAGGGACTCTTGTCGGTGGTAGGGTCAGTTCTGGCCAGGAGCACTGGGACCATAGCAGTAGGATGGGGTCCAGCCCCTTCCATGACCCCCTGGAGCCCTGGTCCCCGTCCTCACCATTCAGTGGGGTTCAGTGGGGACTCCACTGTGCTCTGGCTGCTGGGGGTCGTGTGAGCTGAGCAGGACCTAGGTTCGGGGCGGCTGCTCCCCTCTCTGGCGCGGCCTCCAGCAGGGGCCAGGAGAGAGTTTTGGACACAGTTTTTCTCACGGTGGTCGTTCCAGTTGTACCCACCGTGACTCGGGGCTGTTCAGAATCTGCCCCGGCGCCCTGAGCTCTGGGGCCTCCTGGATGGGGGCTGGGCTTGTGGGCGGCATCTCCTTCGGGGGCTCTGGAGGCTGGGGCTCGCTTTAGTTGTGGGGTGAGCACTGGGAGCCCCAGTTAGCGGAACACCCACAGAGACCGGGGCCTGTACACATTCCGCCCCGGTGTGTGGGGTGGGCCCAGGCCCCTCTGGGCAGGTCAGCTTCAACGGGGAGGGTGCTTGGGTCCTGTTAGTTTTCCTCTGGGTTAATAGGATTCATCTCCTGGCCCCAGATCCTCATAGGCTGCCCCTGTCCCTCCAGCAATGCAGGACATGGCAGGTCACCCTGGAGGGAGGCATGTTCTGGCCTGGGCGTCAGGTGTGGCACCTCAGATCCTCCATGCGTGCTGTGGGCTGAGCAGGACAGCAGACGACCCCGGGCCCCCACCCTGTCTATGGACATTTTTTGCTGCAGCAGCTGTGGGAGCTGACAGTGTTCACAGCCACACCAAGGTCATCATTGTAGTCAAGGCTTTCTAAAAGTTTCATTGTGAGGAAGCCTCCTATTAAACGGCGCCTGGGCCCTGCTTCCTGAGGGTTACTGCTGAGTCCCGGATTTCCCGTAGAGGCGACGAGAGGAGAGCAGAGGGAGGAGGAGGGGGATGAGCTGGGCCCTGCAGAAGGGGGTGCTTGGGTTGGGGTCTGTGGAGTGAAGATCTGGGCTCCTAGGGGCCACCCAGACAACCATCCTCCCTGTTCACACCTTGAGGGTCCCAGCAGGAGCCAGGTGGGGAGACTGTGAGGAGAGGGCCTGTGTCTTGTCTTCCTTGGGCCGTGGGACAGGGTGGAGGTTGAGGGCGTCTTTCCCAGGGGATCACAGAACAGCACCTCTGCTGTGGGGGGGCATCCAGCACGGGGGGCTGGGCTGTGGGGTGCAGGGCAGGAGGGGGCGTGCACGGGAGGGGTGTGGCCCAGTCATTCCTGCATTCACAATCTTTCTTGTCCTGGGCACCTGCACTAGACCCTCGCCTGGAGGGGGCGGCTTCCTAGCCTGCAGCGTCCCTGGAGTCTGCTCTGACTCTGGACCTGGGGACAGGAGCCAGGCAGGAGGTCAGCAGCCTCCTAGGACAGCAGGAGGGCCCAGGCCAGTGCCTAGCAGACTTCTGCTGGAGTGGGGTCCCCGGGGCAGGGAGATAATGATTTCTAGAAGTGTCTGTGTCTCTGAGTGTGCAAGTTTGTCCAAACTGTCCACCAGGTGTGATTAGGTAAACATAGGCAGACTTGAGTTCAGGTGGAGGAAACTGAGTTTTGTCCTTAACTCCCTACCGACTCTAGGGGAATGAGCCAAGCTCCATTATCATCTGTGCAGAGGCCACAGCCTTGTAAAGGGAGGTGGTAGGGGAGCAGGGAGGGTGCTCGGGGCTCAGTCGTCGGGGAAGGGAAAAGTTGCCCAGCGCTGGTCAGCGTCCCCGGGATGGGGCCAGTTGTGTCCGTGCCGGCCACTGTTGAGGTCAGGATTCTGTCCTCCCAGAGCCTGGAGACACAGGCCCCATCCTTCCCAATGGGGACACTTCAGGGAGCGGCTCTCAGGTCCCGAGAAAGACCTTCCTGGCCACAGGAGACACACGGACATCGGGAACGGACGGAGGAAGGATGTGCAGTTGCAGCCTTTTCAGCAGACGCCCTGAGAACGGGAGGTCAAGAGTTGGAGCAGACGGTCAGTTCTGGTGCGTGGAGCTTTCTCAGGCAGGTGTTAATGGGGCTGGGGTCAGCCTAGGGGTGTGACCTGAAGCCACTGGAAGCCTTGCTGGGGTCTGGCTCTCTCTTGGTGCGGGGGGTGGAGGGAGCCCTGACAATAGAGCACTGGGGGGCCTCCAGGAGACCATCCCTGCAGCAGCTGGGCCATGCTCTGAGGACCAGGAGACCATCCCTGCAGCAGCCGGGCCATGCTCTGAGGACCAGGAGACCATCCCTGCAGCAGCCGGGCCATGCTCTGAGGATGTGGGACGAGGACCCCCACTGTCTCTGAGTGTAGGGTGGTGACTTCTTTGCACAGACTGGCCAGGGGTCCCCCAGGGGCACAGTACAGGTATCCCTGGGCTGCAGGGCTGGGGGACATCAGAGCGGCTCTCTGGGCTTGGCAGCCACCTCAGGTGGGATCAGAAGGGGAGGCAGTGCCTGGTGCTTCCCCTCCAGGCCTCTCTCCATGGTGTCCAGGGTAGTTTCTGGGGCTTTGGTGCCAATTCCTCAGGCCAGGGTCCTACCCTTCTTGGTGCCGTGATGCTTGGGGGCTCTGGAGGAAGCCCCAGCTTTGGCCACTCCTGCACTGCCTGGGGCTCCAGTCCTGCTGCGCCTTGAGGGGAACCCAGGGCCCCAGCCTTGGCCCTGTAAGGTCAGATGGGGGCTGGGCTCCAGCATCCTGCCGCTTGGTTTAGTTCCTAAATGACAGGGAGGCAGACTCTGGCTGAGCTCAAGACCTGTCCCCAGGCTCTGCACCAGAGCAGGGTCCCCCAGCAGAGGCTGTGTGGAGCTGGGCAGGGTTCCCACTTTGTGGGGAGTTCCCTGGACCTGGAGACTCAACCCTCAGCCTCCTTGATGATAAATGATGCGTCCTGTGACTGTCTTGGCCCAGACCATCAGATGGCCTCCTCACCTACCCCTCTTCAGACAGGGCCTCAGACCTAAGGCAGGAGCACCCCCTATGCCAGACCTCCTGGGTCACAGGATATGCACGGACATTGGGAAGGGATGGAGGATGGACGGAGGAAGGACGTGCAGTTGCAGCTCTTTCTGCAGATGCCCTGAGAGAGGAGGTAGGAGCACCCTTGCTGTGGTTTGAATGCTTCTCTCCTCCAAAACTCATGTTGAAATTTCATTGCCATTGTAACAGTATGAAGAGTGATTAGGTCATAAGGTCCCCACCTCATGGGTGGGATTGGTGCTGTTATAAAAGGGTGAGTTCGGCCCCCTCTTGCTCTCTTTCTTGCCTTCCGCCATGTGATGACACAGCAAGAAGGTCCTCGCCAGATGCTCCTGGACTTGCTTTGGACTTTCCCTTGCTCTTGGACTTGCTCTGGCACCTGTGCTCTTGGACTTCACAGCCTCTAGAACTGTGAGAAATAAATTTCCGTTCAGTATAAATTTCCCAGTCTTGGGTATTCTATTCTAACAGCACAAAACAGTCTAAGACAACCCCAAATTCAGACCTAAGGTGAGATAACCCCAACCAATATCTAAGGATCCCCTGCTCCAGACCTTGGTGGTGAGGTCAATACAGGACTCCCTCTGAGGGAAGCCCTGACAGCGATGCCTGGGAAGGCATCTCTAGGGCCCAGTGGGCCAGGGGAGGCCCAGGACACACCTGCATCATCTCTCATAATCCCTCCATTCTGTTATAACAGGAGCATATGCTTATAGCATACTTTAAAAATTAGCCCAAAACTGAAGGTAAGCATCGATTAATTGATGGACTCCTTTTCACAGTTTGGTCTTTGTATTTACACCAGTCATCTCACAATGCGTGTTGAGCTTTGCACCCTTTTACCAAATGAGGTCACCCCATGAATGCTGTCATGTTATCACAGATATGCGGTAAGTATAATTGGGAATGTTTGCGGAATAATCCCACTAATTTTACACCACAGTCATCTCACAATGCGTGTTGAGCTTTGCACCCTTTTACCAAATGAGGTCACCCCATGAATGCTGGCTGTCACGTTATCACAGATATGTGACAAGTATAATTGGGAATGTTTGCAGAATAGTCCCACTAATGTATGCACCATAATTTCTTCAGGCACTATCTTGCTTTCAACTATTTTATAATTATAAATAATGTTCTGAAGAATGTCTGTTCACAAAGTGTTTTCCTTATGTGTGCTAGCCATTTGTTTTCTTTTAGAAATTGTGTTATATCCTTTTTGCCGATTTCTTAAGGGATTTGTTCTTTTTCTTATTAGCTTATGTATGTTGTTTGCATAATAATGGTACAAGACCTTTACATATTAGATTAATATTATTTGAGTTTATTATTTACTCTTGTTTTGATGATTTTTAAATGTAAAGAATCTGTAAAGGTGTTACCTAGCTTCATGATTTGGGTTTGCAGTGAAGCCTGCCCAACTTTAGGCAGCTGTCTGGGCCTGTGTTTCCAGAGCTTGAAGGAGTCTCTGCTTCCCTCTGGAGGGCTGGTGTGATATCAGTGTTCTCTGTCCAGGCCTGGGTGCCCTCCTGGGTCTGGGCTTGGGCTGGGCTCTTAGATGTCTCAGAGAAATTGAGACTCTATTAATCATCTGAGTCTTTCCATTTCTGGTGAGATGATCATGGGTCATCATTGGCCTGAGTGGTGGGATGAGCTATAAATAGTTCTAAATTCCTGGTGTAAGTCCTTGTTCAACGAGATGGACAGAATTTGGCCTTCTAGGATGTCATTTATAACATTTGGCTCTTTGCCAAAATGCAAGTTAGCCCATGTTTTACTCTGGGGACTGTGAATTGTGATCCCTTTAATAGACTTTCCCATGTTCCTCCAAATCCTGGAGCAGTTCTTATGGGAACTGATTAGTTTTGTGAAAGTCTAAACTTCACCCATAAAGCCATCTTGGCCTGAAGTCATCTGTGAGGGCAATTATTTAATAATCTTAATGCTTTCTTGAGGATTACTGTTCCAATTATGATTTCCATTTCTCCTTGAGTCAGCTTTAAGTTTTATTGCTAGAAAAGAAAAATGCCAACTTGCCGTCATCTCTGCTGTCACTATTTTGTGTTCAACAATTGCCTTCTCTATCTGCTGTATCTTTTTCAGCACAGAAGCTGTAATGTTATTAAACAAAGCAATGTATCCAGATCACTCAGAATCTATGCCTGTCACGGGGAGCAGGAGAAGAGGGTGAATGAAGAGCCACAGCATGGCAGGGGAGCCACTGCAAGGATGCTGAAACTCGTGTGAACAGAGTTGCTGTAGGCAGGCTGCTATGGAACCTTTTGGGGAAGCACTGCCTCTTAGGGATGGCAGTGAAAATGGGAGAAGAGGGTGGCATTGCCTCCAGATGGAAGATGTAGTGCTTTGCCTTGCTCCTTGGTGCTTGGAGAGGGAAAGGGATGCTGCTGTAAAGTTCCTGGCTGGACTTTGGCTTGATAAAGCACGGGCACCTTTGGGAGTATGAGGGTGGGTGGGTGTGCACATCTTCCATGAGGAGCTGTTAGTATTGGGGCAGACGTTTCAAGTATGGCAGACAAAGGATGTTCTGCGTGGGGAAATGTGGTGACACCCATTTCACAAGGACAGCTCACATAGATTGAGTGCTCAGGAAGGACCAGCACCATACCCAGTGCCTGATGTGTATCATCTCAATTAGTCCTTGCCTCAGATGCAAAAGGAAACCATCGCCATCATCATCACCACCATCATCATCTTCCTCCTGTGCAGATGGAAAGGCTGAGGCATAGAGAGGTGACGGAGTCTGCCCAGGACTGCAAGCCTGCTGGTGGCAGAGCCAGGTTCCAATGGAATGAAGGCTGTCATCCTCAGATGGCAGGGTAGGCAGGTGGCTAGAGCTCACTTGGGAGAAGGGGAAAGGACACTGACTTTGGCTAGGGATGGAGCAGAGCTTGGGCTGGCTTTCCATGCACGGGCAGGGGGCGTGGCTCATGGCTACGCTCCAGCCCCGGGTGTGGACATTGAATCTTCCAGGTCTACCCTAGGCTATGGGTCTGGACAGCACTGTGATGGAAAGAAGACACTCTATGTCCTGCATTCTGTGACCAATGATGTGACTGTGGGAATGGCGCTGGCATCTGGCTGCCACTCTGGGACGGGTGGCCAGCTGCCATCAGGCCCCACCCAGGATGGGACCACCATGCGACTTCTTCCCTCGCTCCTCCTGGTCATGTCCAGAGCCCCAGGAGGACCAGCAAAGCCTCTCGAGCCGATGGCAGCTCACGTTCTACCTTGTCAGCTACTCCTCTCCTGGGCAACATTGGCTGCTTGCTGTGGCTCTCCCCGGGGTATGTGACTGCCTCTGTGCTGGGCACCTGGCCTGGGCTTTCCTTCTGGGCCTGGGCAGCTGGGCTCAGCTTGGACCCAGGCAGCAGCCACAGAGGGGCCCATGGAGGTGACAGAGTTGCTTCTATGATGGTGAACGGGCAGCTGTGACACGGAGGAGGCGACCACTCCTCAGTTTCCAAGTGCTGCGGTCAGGGCCGGGGCCAGCAAAGTCCCTCCCATATTCAAAGAGTGGGTTTGGGTTTGTCCCAGGAGGACATAGTCAGGAGCCCATGCTGGCACATGCCTCCTCCAAAGTTCAGCCTGGATCCCCAGCCTCTGCCAACGGCCCCGCTCCTTAGCTAACCCAGCTTGCTCCTGGGTTCCACGGCGGAGTCAGATGTTTCTGGGCAGTTTCACCTTTGTGCCTTAAATGCATGTTGAGGACTTTAAGGAATTGTGGAGAAATAGGGCTGTGGCAAAGGCAAGTGACAACTGGGAACAATGATCCTGCAGAGGCTGCTGAGGCCTGGGCCCCAGGGGCGTGGGTTCATCCTTCTGCCTGGGCTTTGGTGGGAGGGGCAGACTCTGTGGTCTGAGACACAAAAAAACCCAAAACATACGTGTGTACAGACACACAGCAGAGCCACACACACACTTGTGCCCATGCACACACTCACAGGAGGCCCGTGGACTCCGCACAGGGAAGAAACTCCTCCGGTCGACAGTGGACGGCGCTGCAGCAGGGACTCACCCCCAAGCCCTGCCTGCCTCCCATTGCCCACCTGGCCCTGGCTTGATGGGCTTATCTCATGCTGTGGCCGGGGACCTCTTGCTTCCTGCAACCCCTTGCTGGACTGGGGCCTGGGCCTCTCCTGGGCTGTGCCTAGGGTTTGTAACCCAGGGCCTGTGCCGGCGTGCACAGAGCATCTCTCCCTGGGAGGCTCAGGGCTGCCTCCTCGAGCTCTGTGGGCCTGCACTGGCCGGTGAGCTTGTGGTGTGGGTTTTCAGGCTGTATCCTTCTACCTCCTGAGCCCAGGGGTCCCAGGCGCCCTGCAGCTGTCTCCTCGGCCATCCTGTGGGGCCCCGAGGCCTTGCCCTCACTTCAGTGCCTGGGTGCTCAGGCTTTGCCCAGGTGCCAGGAGAAGGTGTGAGCATGAGCCTATTGGACACACCTGGCGACGTATACCAGGTGTCCCACCCCTGCCACCATGGGGCCTCCCGATACGGCAACCACCACGGACCTGTGGGGACCAATGAGGAAAGAGAGAGGCAGGTCTGGGCCAGGCTCACAGGGACTCCGGCATAGCAGACCCTGCCCCAGCAGGCCCCCTTGTCCTTCCTGGGTCCTGGTCCTTCATGAGGAACTAGCCCATCCCTGGTGGGGCTCCCACCCCGCTTCTCAGTGGGCTCTATGCTTGCCTCGTCGGAGTCACCCCTCAGGCAGTCCTGGGATCCTCTCCTTTAGACCCACTGTGCCTTCCCGGCCTCCCGGGCTTCTGCTGGGGGCAGAAGAAATGCCTCCCCAGGTCTGTCTCTGGAGGCTCTGAGGGAGATGGGCTTGGGGGCTGTAGGAGGAGGCAGGGATTCCAGGGTGTCAGGAAGGCAGGGGTGCCAGGTCCCACCTAGTGAAGTAATAAACCGTGGGTGGTGATAGTGACCCAGTGCCCTCACTGCCCAGCCCCGCCTGTCCTCAGCCAGCACTGCAGGGATCCCAGGCCCAGACTCTGGAGGCCTTCACTGATCCCAGCCACCCCAGAAAAGCTGCAGCCTGCAGGCACCAGCCGGGCCATATGCCCAGTGCCAGCTAGGGCCCACCGCCCATCCTGCACACGGGGCCGCTGGGCAGGTGCCCCTCACACCCCCAGGATGTCAGTGCTCACCTCGAGCAAAGCGCCCCAGCTCGGCCTTGGGAGGTGGTCGTGTCCAGGGGGATGATGGAGAGCTGTCCAACCAAGAGAGCGGGAGGGAGGGAAGGAGGGAGGGAGAGAGATAGAGAGAGAGAGAGAGAGAGAGAGAGAGGAAGTGTGGGCCCTAAGGCTGCCTTAGTGGAGGTGCGCGTGGCCTGCACCTCACCAAGCCTAGCCACTCTCGCGGCTCTGAGTGGCTCACAGGCTTGTGAGGGCCCCGTCGCTGCCTGCTGGGTCCCCACCAGGGCTCCCTCTAGGAATGCGCCATGGCTGCTATGACAATTTGCACAGCCCAGTGGCTTAAACACCATTTATACCACAGGTCCAGATGAATCCTGCAGGGCCAAGGTCTGGGGGTGCTGGAGGCCATGCTCCCTCCAGGCTTGCGGGGAGAACTTCCCTGCCTCCTCCAGTCTCTCCATCCCTGAGCTCTCGGCTCCTCCTCCGTCTTCAGGGCCAGGGCGTAGCGTCTGCTCTCTCGGCCTCTGCCTCCGCTTCCCACCTCACCTGGCTTCTGTCTATGTCAGTCTCCCTCTGCCAACCTCCTAGAAGGACACTTGTGATTACATTAGGGCTCACCCCTTTAATCCAGGGGAGCCTCTCCACTTCATGATTTTCAGCTAACTTGCTTCTGCAAAGACCCCCTTTCCCTATAAGGGCACACATTCACTGGTCCCGGGGCTAAGGACCTTGCTCCAAGTCCCTCCACCCATGATGCTGTGCCTTCCAGAAACCTGTCCTCTGCAGCTCGGTCTTGACCCCAAGCCTGCTGGTGACCTGAACTTCACAGGGTTATCCCCTTGGACTGTGTGCAGCACGATGCAATTTCTGGGCCTGAATGTCATGCTCCCTGGGGCAGGACCTTGAGCCTGCAGCACACACTAGGCCACCTGCAGTCTCACAGGCCATGCCCTGGGTAGACAGGGAGGTGCTCAACCCCAGCTCGGGTCCTCTAGTCTGCCTGGCTACCATGCTTCTCACTCTCCTGCATCTGCAGACCCTGCGTTGCCATGTGAGGCAGGGGTGGGGTGGGGCTGAGGGCGTGGCTTTGGTCCCTGGCTGTCCGGATGAAGTACCAGAGTGACGCCACAGCCCATCCCGGTGACATGCTCACCCCCAACCCCCGTGTCCGGGACCCCGGTCTTGTGTGGTCCCTGATGTGGAGTCCTCAGTCCTTAAGATACATCCAGAAAGTCCTGGCCATGAATTGGAGGTGCAGAGTCCTGCAGAGCCTCTGGGCTGGGCTGGTGCCCCCAGGAGATGGAGGGCCTGGTGGATGCCCTCCTCCCTCAGAGCTGGGGCAGCTGCCTCCCAGGGGTGGGACTCTGGGCTCAGAGAGAGGCCCTTGAGCTGCAGCTCAGGGGGATGCGAGGCTTCGTGGACTGTGTCCTGGTCCATGTGGTGCACGTGTCTCCACCTCCAAGGAGAGGCTCCTCAGTGTGCACCTCCCCCACATCCGTCCTCTCTGCCGGCCCCGGGCGTCTGAGCAGTCATTCCATGCCAGCACCTCTGCAGCCTGCTGGGCCTCAGGTTCTCTGTGAGGGACCTCCCCGGCCTTCGGCGGAGGTGGAGTAAGCTCCGTCAAGGCAGGTGGCTTCGTCCCTTCCTGTGAGTGACACCAGTGATGAAATGGACCCCTCCACACAGGCATCCTCAGGGCACAGGGCCCTGGGGGCACCTTCCTCCTTTCGTATTTGTTGAGAAAAAAAGTGGCATTGCGCTCACACCAGGATGCTGGAGCAGAGCTGACATGCTCGGGAAAGGGCAGAGGTCACTGGGGGTGGGAAGGTCATCCAGTCCAGACTCAGCACCTCGTGGGCTGGTAAACTGAGGCTCAAAGTGCTGGTGCCAGGCCTGAGGCCTCGCGGTGACCCCTCTCTCTGGTTCCCAGCACCTGCCTGAGACCTGCCCCAGGCACCCATAACCTGGAATTCCCTGTTTCCTTGTCCAGGGCCTGAGGAAATGGCTCCCCAGGTCTGTCTCTGGATGCTCTGAGGCAGATGGGCTTGGGGGCTCTAGGAAGAGGCAGGGACTCCAGGGTGTCAGGAAGGCAGGGGTGCCGGGTCCCACCCAGTGGAGTAACAAACTGTGGGTGGCGTTTGGGCCTCCCCGCCTTCCCCACTGGGTGTGCTGGTGCTGGCGCTGCTGGGTCAGGGCTGCCCGTGACCCCAGACACCACTGTCCATCCTGTGAGGCTCCCGTCTGGGCATGTCCTGGGTGGATTCCTCCTTTCTGTTAAGTAGCTACATGAGGCAGGGGCTCCTGGATCCAAAGCAAATGACAGGAATTCCAGAGCCAGGTGCATCCACTCAGGGCAGCCAGTGTTGGTGGAGCTGCCTCTAGCACATGGAGGAGAGTGAAAGTCAGCCTGCCCCTCTCACGAGAAAAGAACCTGGGGATACCTCTCAGCCTCCAGCGTTGCAAGTGCAAGGCCAGTGGAGTTAATCTGCAACGTGCACGAGGGCGTGTGTCAGTGGCTGTGTGCAGGAGTGTGAGTGAGCAAGAGCAAGAGCGCATGGCTCCTGCTGTACCTCAAGGTGTGGGCTCCTGGTGGCTGCTCAGTGTTCCCAGGGGTGAGAGGCCTCATGTATCCTAGGCTGCCTGAGATTTCTGTGTGCTGATCGCATCCTCAGTTTCTTGTCCACCGCTTCACTGGCAAGAGTCCCAGGCTCCAAGGACACCCTCCCTGCACATGATTGGGTGTTAATGGTGGCCTGGGTTGTGTCTTCCCCTGGGGATGAGGGTTGGGTGTCCATGGTGCCCTGGGCTGTGTCCTCCCCTAGGGATGAGGGTCGGGCCTCCACGATGCCCTGGGCTGTGTGCTCTTATGGGAATGAGGGTTGGGTGTCCAAGATGCCCTGGGCTGTGTCCTTCCCTGGGGATGAGGGTTGGATGTCCAAGATGCCCTGGGCTGTGTACTCCCCTAGGAATGAGGGCTGGGTGTCCAAGATACCCTGGGCTGTGTCCTCCCCTGGGGATGAGGGTTGGGTGTCCATGGTGCCCTGGGCTGTGTCCTCCCCTGGGGATGACGGTTGGGTGTCCATGGTGCCCTGGGCTGTGTTTCCTTGGGGATGAGGGTTGGGTGCTATGGCATCCTGGGCAGGTGCTTCCTTTCTGCACAAGGGTTGGGTGACCATGATGTCCTGGCAATGGCTTCCCTGGGTTGCCTCTTTTCTGCCATGTGGGAAGAGCAGGGGAGGTTTAGTTGGTCTCAGCACATCATTCTCTCAGGATAAGTAGAAGAGTGTCTGAGCTGTGAGGCCAGTGCTCCAGCTTTGGAATTGTCTTCCCCACCCTCACCTCCATCCCATCAAAGCCCGACATGTCGTGTGGCAGCAGCGAGGTGGGTGTTGGCTGTTCTCTTGGGCTGGGGGTTAGTCGTGGACGGGGAAAGGAGAGATGCTGGTCAAAGGGCATGAAGTTTCTGCTGATGGGAGGAGTCAGTTCTTTTGATCTGTTGCACAGCATGGTGACTATAGTTAACAATAATGACTATTTCAAAATTGCTAAAAGATGAGATTTTAAATGTTCTCACCACAAAATGATAAGTGTGTGAGGTGATGGATATGCCACTTACCTTGTTTTAATCATCCCACAATATAGACAGGCATTGTCACTTTGCATTGTACCCCAGGAATCTTCACATTTGCTTTTTTGTCAATTAAAAATAGAGACACAAAAGGAGAGAGGGGAGAGCAATAGACTCTTCACGGAACCGTGGGCTTCTGCCTCCGGGTAAAATAAACTGCAAAAAGGATTCCCAGGAAACCGTTCCCTCTTTCAGCCCTTGGTTACAGGAAGCCGGATTTGGGAAATCTGCCTGGATGACATTCACATGAACGGGCACATACAGGAAAACACGGTAATGTAATTAGAATAGTCAGAGAAAAGTAGCCAGAAATGACATTCACATGAACGGGCACATACAGGAGAAAACACGGTAACGTAATTAGAATAGTCAGAGAAAAGTAGCCAGAAATGACATTCACATGAACGGGCACATATAGGAGAAACCATGGTAACGTAATTAGAATAGTCAGAGAAAAGTAGCCAGAAATGACATTCACATGAACGGGCACATACAGGAAAACACGGTAATGTAATTAGAATAGTCAGAGAAAAGTAGCCAGAAATGACATTCACATGAACGGGCACATACAGGAGAAAACACGGTAACGTAATTAGAATAGTCAGAGAAAAGTAGCCAGAAATGACATTCACATGAACGGGCACATACAGGAGAAAACACGGTAACGTAATTAGAATAGTCAGAGAAAAGTAGCCAGAAGAATTTGCAACGTGCCCTTGTAACACCAAATTTGATCAGTTTTTTAAAAAATGATCGTTATGTAGGTGATTGAGAAGTAAATGTATTCTTTTTTAAGGTAAAAATTTGGACCCTTATCATGCATACCCCCCTCTGTGCTCTTCAAATCAACATCATTATTAATATCTGTACATTTTTGCTCATCTGAGCCAGCACAGGCTGAGGCTGTCAGAATGGACACCTTTTGGTTGTTGGGTTTCTGTCAGTTTCTGGGGTGAAGCTGCGTGATTGAGAACGTAGCTCTTGGCTGCCATCTCGGGGATTATTAAGGACTGTGAACTCTATCCACAAGCCATGGCAATATCTGTCCCACCGAATGCTCCCTCTAACACACTCTTACTCCCGTGATGTGTGTTAAGGGCTCCGACGATGCTGAAAACAGCACAGGATGTGAAAAGGCAGGAACAGTTCTGAAGTCAAAGGCTGATGTCCTGTTTCTCTTTCCCTCTGTGACCGACTCCCTTCCCAGTGGTAACAAGTACCCACAGCTTGGTTTGAATTTCTGCACGCTGTTGTCTGTGCACTCGCTCACACTTACGCACACAGCAGGCATGTGGGCGATGCTGGGTATTTTGTGTATGAGTGGGATGCACATACACACATCTACATCCATATCATGCCCATGCATCTGTAACTTGCTTTTCCCGTGTAAGAACACTTCTTAGAGTTTGTTCAATGCATGTGTCTGTGTGAATGATTGAAGGCATTTCTAACCCATTTTAAAGATGGCTACTTAGGACCATATGGATGTTGTACTGATGTCATTTGACCACGTCCATTGTTTCCATCTTTTGGGCTGTTCTTGTGTATTTTACTTTCCATGTAACACTGTGACATTGAGAATTGGTACCTACAACAGTCTATTTGCTTTACATTAAATTTGTAGGCTAATTTGTGTACCTTCAGAGTGTGAAAGTTTTCTCCTGAGGAAAATGGGGTAATTCATGTTTATTCAGGTTTTCTTCTTGTCTTCCCATGTGCTTTCTAGTTTACTTTATAAATAATAATAATGTACTCTTACTATCTCTCAGTATACGGAAAGCACAAGTCAAAGAATATGGTGTGGGTTCTTTATTTAAATCTTCACAACACTAATCAGTGGCAGAGTGTGGATCCTTGCCCCCCAGCACGGGACTAGCCAGTGGCAGAGTGTGGATACTTGTCCCCAGCATGGGACTAACCAGTGGCAGAGTGTGGATCCTCGCCCCCCAGCACGGGACTAGCCAGTGGCAGAGTGTGGATACTTGTCCCCAGCATGGGACTAACCAGTGGCAGAGTGTGGATCCTCGCCCCCCAGCACGGGACTAGCCAGTGGCAGAGTGTCGATCAGACTTCTGGGACCAGTGCCCATTTTCCCAATCACTGCACAGTATAGCCTTGGATGGCATGAGCTACCTTGGTGTCTAGGTCGTTTGTTGTTCCCATGAATGGGTTTTCTCTTTAAATTACAGTGCTATGAATAAAGCTGTTTCACACAAATAACATAAGCGCAGTCTCACTATTAAAATGCAAATACAAAATAGGAAAATTGGAACTTACTTCCAACAGCTCACCTGCAGCCGATTGTACCTTCCTGTTTCCTGCTGGCCACGTTGTCATATTTTCTGCTAAGTAACCAGCCCATCTGCAGGGTCTTTCGGGGATCTCACCGAGGCCAGGTGCAAATCATCAGTCTTGCAGTCATCAACAAACAATGCTGATGATAAAACCACACAGAAAATACCTTGAAATCCACAGCTACGCAGCAACATTGCTCATTAGTACATCCCATTCTTTGACCAGGGGTGAGGGCCAGGCAGGTACATCATTTATCACTTACATGATAGGTGCAGCTGTTTAAGTAGAATTTCTCAGGCCAACTCCAAGCCCGCTGTAACTAAAACTCACAGCATGGTGTTGGAGGGAAATGTTTAGCAGCAAATATCCGCATCCAGACAGAGGAAAGGCCTCAAGTCAATAAACTTAGCTTCCACTTTAGGAAACTAAGAAAATAGCAAATTAAACTTACTGTAGGCAGTAGAAAGGAAATAGTAAATATCAGAGCAGAAGTCAATGAAATGTAACACAAAAAACTAGGGAAAAAAATCAATAAAACCAAAACCAGTTTTTTAAGAAAATCAATGAAATTAAACTTTAGGCATACTGATTAGAGAAAGAGAGACGACACAGATGAGCAAGATCAGGGATTTAAGAGGTGCCATCACTACAGATTCTACAGATGTTCAACCTCTAAGAGAGGAATATTGTTTAAAAAAATTTTGACAATAAATTCAACAACTTAGATAAAATAGATACATTAATTGAAAGACACTGGAAAGCTCACTGGAAAAGGAAGAGAAAATTGAATTTTTAGTTAAAAACTTTCCCACAGTCTGTGTGCAGTGGCTCATGCCTGTAATTCCAGCACTGTGGGAGGCTGAGGCATGAGGATTACTTGAGGCCAGGAGTTCAAGACCAGCCTGGGCAACATAATAAGACCTCAAAAACAAGACAAAGCGATAAACAAACAAACAAACAGCTGGGTGTGGTGGTACATGCCCGTAGTCCCAGCTACTCTGAAGGCTGAGGTAGGAGGATTGCTTGAGCCCAGGAGGTTGAGGCTGCTGTGAGCTATGATTACACCACTGCATTCCAGCCTGGGCAACAGAGTGAGACTGTGTCTCTTAAAAAAAAACCCAAACCACAAAACAAACAAACAAAGACTTTCCCACAAAGAAAACTCTAGGCCAATGACTTCATTATGAAATCTTGCAAACCTTTAAGGAAGATATAATTCCAATTTTATACAAATTCTTTCAGAAAAATGAAGAGGAGGAAATAGCTTCCCAACTCATTCTGTGAGTCCAGCATTACCCTGATTGCAAAACTAGGCAAAGTTATTATAAGAAAAAATACCCTACAGACTAATCTTCCTTGTAAACATAGATGTAACAATTCTTAACAAATTTTGAGGAAATTGAATCCAACAATATGTAACAATAACAACACATGATGACTAAATGGGGTTTGTCTCAGGAATGCAAAATTGCCTTGATATTAAAGAATAAATAAATGTAATTATTCATGTTAATATAAGAACTGCATAATCATCTTAGTAGACAGAAAGCATTTAATAAATTCTAGCATGAGTGTCACATTAAAAGACTCTCAGAAAATTAGGCATAGGAGCAAACTTCCTCAATGTGATGAAGGGCATTTATAAAAACCCTACAGCTAACATCTGACACCATAGTAAAAGACCAAACTCCAACGTTAGGAAACAGGCAAGAATGTCTGTTTTCACCACTTCTGTTTAACATTGTACTGGAGGTCCTACCTGCTGTAACACAGAAAGAAAAAGACATAAATTTATCCCCACTGGAAAAGAGGAAAATCTGTCTCTATATATAGACCACATGACTGTTTGTATGGAAAATCCTATGGAATCTAAACAGTGCTGCTAAAATTGAGAGGAAATTTAGCAAGTGTGCAGGACATAAGATCAATTCAATTTCCTTGCTGTTTGAAGAACTTCCTTTAGCCAGTCTTTAAGAGTACATCTTGTAGCAAGAATTCTTTTAGTTTTTGTTTATTTGAGAAGGTATCCATTTTCTGCTCATTTCTGAAGGATAGTTTCATTGGGTATAGAATTCACAATCAACAATTCTTGAACATTGAAAAGTATCTGAGAAAGACTCCAGCATTTGAATTGGCATCCTTGATAGCTAATGCATCATTTCTCTCTTGCTGCTCAGTGCGGTCACTGGGGCAGTGCATGGAATAGATGGTGTTCAGTCCATGTGTGTGACCACTCAACATGTATTTGAGCAGGTGGGCCAGGTGGGCGCTGAAGGGGAGGCTGAGTAGGGTGGTCTGGTGAGTGCTTGTCTAAGCAGGGACTTGCCAGAGCATAGCCAAATGCAGGGACAGTGAGGTCGCAGAGTGGGAGGATGGTTTGGAGAGAGGGGCTCAAAATGACATAGGGGAGGGAAAATGTACTTATATTTGTTTCTATGTATAAAGGTGATAAGTTTATTGTAGGAAGTTTGTAAATTATAATAATAAAATGATATCCATTCAATTCTACATTATCCAATAGCATGTGCCACTTACAACATTGAGCAGAACGAACAGACTCCCCCGCATGGCTGGGTTCTCATCTCACGGCTGGAGATCCAGATAGGGCATGGCCATGGCATAGGTGTCTGGCAGGAATCTCCTTAAATCATCCCTGGTCATTTATAAATTCCAAACTGATGAGCTATTATCCACTCAGACCCTACTCAAATCACTCTGCCCTTCCTGACCACCACCCAAACCAATGCCTCCCAACCTGGTCCCTCTTCACTAACAGCATGGAGTGTAAGGAACCACCAAGTTCAAAGCAAAGGCCTTAAACACCCTGAAAATAAGAATTTGTAAAAACATGAATGAAACTGCCAATTTAAAATATTACCTAAAAAATAAATGTCAACAGGATGTTTTATTGCCAAGCTGACAAATTTTAAATTATTAATTCAAAGCCATAGTGTATTAGTCCATTTTCACACCGCTATAAAGATACTACCTGAGACTGGGTAATTTATAAAGAGAGGAGGTTTAATTGACTCATAGTTCCGCATGGCTGGGGAGGCCTCAGGAAACTTACAATCATGGCAGAAGGTGAAGGGAAAGCAAGGCACGTCTTATGTGGCAGCAGGCGAGAGAGAGAGCAGGGGAACCTGCCACTTTTAAACCATCATATCTCATGATAACACCCTATCATGAAAACAGCCTGGGAAAAACCACCCTTGATCTAATCACTCCCACCTGGACCCTCCCTGGACACATGGGAATTACAATTGGAGATGAGATTGGGGTGGGGACACAGAGCCAAACCATATCACATAGGAACCTAATAGGAGAATAAAGTAGGAAAACTTCCACATCAGTAACCCTTTATCAGTTGGTAATCCCAATCTGCAAAATAAAACTATGTAATTTTACCAAGATAATGGAATCTTCTCTACAGAAGGATTTTCCAGTGCAAAAGCTCCCCACCACCACCATGAAATGCAGGTGACCATTTCCAATTTGTGTAAAGTCCTCAGTTAGTACTGAGACTTTTGAAGGTCAAAAATCCCTTTGCTCATGCTGCATGATCTGGACGAGACATAAGAATTTTTAGCTAATAGACATGCAACAGCTTTTGTGTGAAAGATGTTATAAGACATTTAAGGTATTTGCTTATGATTAGTAAGTATTTGTTGTATCATTGGAGCACATGTGCTTATATACCCTGGAAAAATTTTCGTCTTGGAAAAGTATTATTTTGGGGAAAAATATCAGAAAACATATTGTTAGTCTTTGTTTATAGAGTCTCAGCCTTCTAAATTTGAAATTATTGGCAGTTTTCCTCCAATTGTAATGACAATCAGCCAATTTAAGGAGGTTTTCCAGTTGCAGAATTTTTATAGAGGTGTCCTCTGCTGAAATTTCAGTATTCACTACTTCTTAAAAACCCATGCCTGGATGGAGAATGACATCAGCAAGATGGATGAAGAACTTAGAGAAGCCTGGTGTTCACCCACACCCTCCCCATGAGGAAGGAATAAGGCAAAGAAGAAACAGCTAAGGTTTGACTGGAGTGTTGAAGGGAGACTGACGGAGTGCAGTGGAGGTGTGGAAACGCACCCGTGGTGATCGGAGGGCAGCATGGAGGCACCTGGCCTTTGCAGCCTTGTCTTCCCCACCCAGATCGGATTGGTCTGGACACAGGAGGGACTTCCCATGTAGGGAAAAGGTAAGCAGATTTCCCGCCAGCACCCACTGCCACTGCAAACATCTACAGCCCTTGCAACAGGAGAATTCCACAGGTTTTGCAAGCCCTCAGCCAAGTTTGGGAGCTGCCAGGAATGATCCCAGATTAGGAGCACAAGGTGTGTACTCCCTGCCCCCATTCATCCACTGTGAGCCTAGCTGCTGCAGCCCAGCGCCACCTTGAGACCGGAGCCGCCTCTGGAGTGCATCCTGCCCTGAGGCTGGTAGCCACTGCCCCTTTCTAGCATTGGGGCTCCATCTTCAGGATGCCCATATCTGGGTGGCTGAATGCCACAACCCTGGCTGTGCAGAGCCTAGGCTGAGGATTGGCCGTGACTCTGGCCCTGCACAGCAAAAAACCCAACCCCTGCTGCTGCACATCCAGCTGGAGGAAGAGCCTGCCAGGCCTGCCCAGGGTGAATCCACCATTGATTTGGCCAAGCTGCTGAGGGCCCTCCCCTGAGCAGGAGAGGCCCCTGAGCCACCGAGCACCTGATACTAACTCCAGGCTGGCAGAGTGGATATGTGCCCACACTCAGGCACCTGAGAAATAGCCCTGTGGCATCCACTCCAATTTCCACAGGTATGCCGTTGACCTGCCCAAAGGCTCTGCACCTGAAATTAGGCCTGAGAAACAGCATCATGGGCCACCCCTGGCAGGCACTCCTATAAGCCAGCAAGCAGCTGTGCGCCCATGACCCCGGCCTGAGAAATAACCCTGTGCCCCTGCAGCCCCCCAGCAGACACACACCCAGGCCAGCTGAGGAAGCCATGTGGCCATGTCCTGGGTCTGAGAAAGAGCCCATGGGGTGGCCCTGGGAGACACATGCCCAGGCCAGTTGAGCGGCCATGCACTTGTGTCCTGAACCTGAGAAACAGCCCTGTGGATTGCCCTCAGAAGCCACACCCCCAGGCCAGCCAAAGAGACTTGTGTTTGCATCCTGGGCCTGAGAAACAGCCCCATGTCCCCAACCCTAGTGAGCCTGGCACCAAGTTGGTCAATCCACCATGTGCATGCATGTGCCCCGACCTCAGAAACAGCCTGGTGAGTCCACCTCTAGCAACGTTGCACTTCCACTGCCACAAACCTCTCAGCCCAGGCCACTGAGACACTCGCAAACGTCACCAATGTGGACGGCAGCTGAAGAAACGACATGGAGACTACGCTACTGCGTCAACCTAGAACTAAAGCCAGCACGCCCCGCCACACTGACACCCTGAGACCCGTCTGTACTAGGAAGTCTTTTCCTGCAAAACCTACTCCATTAAATTGCAAGGGATGACTGGTCCGCCAGATGTGTAGAAATCAACGTAGGAACACATAAAACATGAAAAGGCCAGGAAACACGACACCTGAAAAAGACAACAGTCATTCTCCAGTAGCAGACCCCAATCATAAGGAAATATACAGAATGTCAGAAAAATAATTCAAAAGGATAATCTCTAAGAAACTCAGGGAGATACAATAGTGTACAGATAGAAAATTCAGTGAAATCAGGAAAACAATTTATCATTTGAATGAGGAATTCAACAAAGAGATAAGTATCATAAAAAAGAACCAACAGAAATTCCAGAGTTGAAGAATTCAATGAATGAAATTAAAAGTACAATTGAGACCTTCAAGATTAGACTAGGCCAAGCAAAAGAGTTTCTGAAGTTGAAGACAGATCTTTTGAAATAATTCAGGCAGATGAATAAAAAGAAAAAAAGAGTAAAAAGGAATGAAGAAAATCCCCAGCATTTATGGGACACAATTAAGTGAACAAATATTTGCATTATGGGTATTCCAAAAGAGTAGGGAAATGGTGTAGAAAACACGTTTAATGAAATCATAGCTGAAAACTTCCCAGATCCAGGAGGTTCACAGAACCCAAAATAGAACTTCTTTGAGGCACACTGTCAAAAGTCAAGTTGTCAAAAGTCAAAGACAAAGAATTCCAAAAACAGCAAGAGAAAAACATTGTCACATATTAGAGAATCTCCATTAGACTAAGAACAGATTTCAAAAATATGAAAAAGGGTTTTCTATGATCTCTGTTGCTGAGCCAAAAAAAAAAAAAAAACAACAACAGTTTAAGACACAGCAAGAAGTTCCATTTTTGCTTAACTCCACACCTGCTCCTGGTCTGGGCCCTGCGCTGGTAGTGCTGGGTGCCTTCTGGGGTCCTGAGCATCCCTGCAGGGAGGTTTGTGTCTGGGCTCACACTGACTTCCCCTCACTGTGTCTCTTGCACAGTAATACACAGCCGTGTCCTCGGGAGTCACAGAGTTCAGCTGCAGGGAGAACTGGTTCTTGGATGTGTCTGGGTTGATGGTTATTCGACTTTTCACAGATACTGCATAATCATTATACCACTTGGACCTGTAGTATGTCCTTCCCAGCCACTCAAGGCCTCTCGATGGGGACTGCCTGATCCAGTTCCAAGCAGCACTGTTGCTAGAGACACTGTCCCCGGAGATGGCACAGGTGAGTGAGAGGGTCTGCGAGGGCTTCACCAGTCCTGGACCTGACTGCTGCAGCTGTACCTGTGACAGGACACCTGGAGACAAAAGGAAACAGCAAAGTGAAACACCCCTCAGTCTGTGAATGCTGCTGTGAATACGGCATCTCCCTGACACTGACCCCATGGGAGGCCCAGCACGGGCAGGAAGATGAGGAAGGAGACAGACATTGTCTGGAGCTCTGGTGACTGCCCTGGTCAGCCAGAATTCAGCAGGCTCTGCAGTTCTGCAGCGGGGGAGGCTACATTTAAACAGGAAACCACACCCTGGCATTTGCCTGTGTGCGTCACTTGCTGATATAAGGCCCCGGGACGGAGATGGCTCATTGAAGAGCCGGGGCCCTCAGGTCTACAACTGGGTTTCCCTAGAGCCATGTTCTTCAGCAGATTGGATGCAAAGAGGAGCTCAGAGGCAGGGCCCCTGGGTGTGATGACTCTGAAATTCCAGCATTTGGCGTCCTACATCAACCAAAGTCTATATACCCTTATTCATAGATCAGATCCCCTTCATTTATTCACCCATTCACTCATTCATGCAACAAATCCTGAGGGCCGATGGTACTAACCCCCACCCCCTGGCATGAGGAGGCATCCCTAGGCAGATGCACCATCCCTGTGCCCCTGGGGCCAGGTGCCAGGTCCCTAGAGTAAGAAGGCTCAACACCCACACCACCCCAGGCAGTCCCACCACTTCGGGAGTGAAGGGCAGCAGGTCAGCATTCTGGTCCAGGAAAAGCCTGCAGTGGAAAGGAGAGGGGTTTTGCTTCTGTGTGGTGGGGCAGGATGGAGCCGAGTGCAGGGAGCTGTGAGCTTCTAAAGGGAGGTCCACAGAGCACAGTGGGCAAGGGCAGCTCATCCCAAACCCCAAGGGTGGTGGAAACACCCCAGGATGGGGTTGGATGGGTGAGTAGGAGCTTTTTTTTTTTTAACCACCTCAATCATGAATCTGCAAGAGTGAGAGCTAATGACAGGTGACTATGGCGCACACAGTGTCTAGGAGGGGCCTGTTTCTGTCCAGTGACACTTTCTCCTTACATGGCCCCAGAGTGTAACACCCGAGTTTCTGTGGTTCTCGGGGCCTACAGTTCTACCCTCTACTCCTCAGTACTCACATGCGTCACCCACAGGCGTTGCATCTGTGGGGTGGGAACGGGGGTGCCACCACTCCTCACCACATCCAAGGCCCACTGCAGGCTGGCTGATCTGTGGGGATTTGTGGTTCCAGGGCATGGCAGGTCAGCTGCTTTCCGGAGGACTATGGGTGGATATCTCCTGGGCATGGAGCTCACCGCACAGCCAAGGGAGGGCTCGGAGTGCACTGGGGAAAGGCCGCCCCCAGGGCATTCCTGGTGACTGGCTGGGGCTGTGAACATGGAAACTGCACTGTGTGAGGAGAGGGCGAGGCAGTGAGTGTGGCTGCCTCCCAGTGATGTGGGACTGTGCCTCTGCAAGGGGTCGAACCTGTGTCCTCCTGTTGATGGTGGACCCATTGTCCTCATCCACACCTCCACAGGCCTTTCCCTGACTCACTGTAGAACCTGACTATGGCCCCGATAGACAAAGACTTTCCCGCCTGCATTCTCGGTCTACAGCCCATCCTGAGCCCAGGGCGAGGTCCAGGCTTGCACAGGAAGGAGGCACTGATGGGCACGGGGTGGACTGTAGCCACGGAGGGCTGCACAGTGCTGCCAGGCGAATTAGCAGACTCCTAGCTCCCAAATGCAGGGCCAGTTTCCTCTCAGGAACCTACCCTCATTTCCTTGGTAGCCCATTTCATGCACTGGGCTCTGAAGAGTTCTGGTGCAGGATGAGGAGGTGGGGCTGAGGTCTGGACAGACAAAGGTGTGCGTCCCATGGGGCCCACATCGTGGGGCTTGGGAATGATGATGTGTCCAGGAGAGGGCATAGCCTCCACGCCTCGTTCTTGAGAGGGCCTGTGGTGTGGCTTTGGAAATTGGATAAGAATGGTGGCCGCAGCTGCTGGTGCTATAAGAACGGTCACAGCTGAGCAGCGGCCACAGTCCCCCGAGAGTGTCCTCTCCAAGGCACCGTGCAGCTGCTAACACCACCCACCCAGTGCCTGCGCGTCCTGAACTACCCAGAAAACCTACCTCAAGTTGAAAGGAAAAAGCAAAACTGTCTCTGTTCAGAGATTATATGGTTATAGACATAGAAAATCTTAAAGAATCTGAAAAAAAAATAAATCCCCAAAACAAAAACGGACTGTTCAAACTAAGAAAATCAAGGACATTTGAGCATATTAGCACCAAACAATTGGAAAATTAATTTTGAAAGGAAAAAACTTGTGAAGACATAAAAAGCAATCAGGATATACCTTAGAAGAAACATAAAACGATGTGGAGTTCTTTACACAGAAAATTGTAAAACATTGCTCAGAGGCTATGAACATATGAAGAGATACACCACATATTGGATGCATGGATTGGAAAACTCAGTGTAATTGAGAGACAGGACTAGCTGGATTTCCTAGGCCGACTAAGAATCCCTAAGCCCAGCTGGGAAGGTGACCACTTCCACCTTTAAACACGGGGCTTGCAACTCAGCTCACACCCGACCAATCAGATAGTAAAGAGAGCTCACTAAAATGCTAATTAGGCAAAAGCAGGAGGTAAAGAAATAGCCAATCATCTATCACCTGAGAGCACAGCGGGAGGGACAATGATCGGGATATAAACCCAGGCATTCGAGCCGGTAACAGCTACCCTCTTTGGGTCCCCTCCCTTTGTATGGGAGCTCTGTCTTCACTCTACTAAATCTTGCAACTGCACTCTTCTGGTCCATGTTTGTTACGGCTCGAGCTTCGCTTTCGCTCACCGTCCACCACTGCTGTTTGCCCCCGTGGGAGACCCACCGCTGGCTTCCATCCCTCCGGATCCATCAGGGTATCCGCTGTGCTCCTGATCCAGCGAGGCGCCCATTGCCACTCTCGATCGGACCAAATGCTCGCCATTGTTCCTGCACGGCTAAGTGCCTGGGTTCGTCCTAATCGAGCTGAACACTAGTCACTGGGTTCCACGGTTCTCTTCCGTGACCCACGGCTTCTAATAGAGCTATAACACTCACTGCATGGCCCAAGCTTCCATTCCTTGGAATCCGTGAGGCCAAGAACCCCAGGTCAGAGAACATGAGGCTTGCCACCATCTTGGAAGTGGCCTGCGGTCATTTTGGAAGCGGCCTGCCACCATCTTGGGAGCTCTGGGAGCAAGGGCCCCCCAATAACATAATTAAGATGCCAGTTTTCCCTAAATAAAATCTATAGTTTAAATTTAATCCAAATCAAAATCCCATTCAACCCAGCAATTCAATTACTGGAATTTCTCCAGGGTATAAAAGCACATGTGCTCCAATGATACAATGAATGCTTAGTAATCACAAGCAAATACCTTAAATGTCTCATAACATCTTTCACACAAAAGCTGTTGCATGTCTATTAGCTAATGATTCTTACATCTCATCCGGACCATGCAGCATGAGCAAAGGGATTTCTAACCTTCCGAAGTCTCAGTACTAACTGAGGACTTTACACAAATTGGAAATGGTCACGTGCATTTCATGGTGAGGGTGGGGAGCTTTTGCACTGGAAAGTCCTGTAGAGAAGATTCCGTTATCTTAGTAAAATCACACAGTTTTACTTTGCAGATTGGGATTACTATCGGATAAAGGGTTACTGATGTGGGAAGTTTTCCTACTTTATTATCCTTTTAGGTTCCTATGTGATACGGTTTGGCTCTGTGTCCCCACCCCAATCTCATCTCTAGTTGTAATTCTGATGTATCAAGGAAGGGTCCAGGTGGGAGGTGATTACAGGCATCTGCCACCACGCCCAGCTAATTTTTGTGTTTTTAGTAGAGACAGGTTTTGCCATGTTGGCCAGGCTGGTCTCAAAGTCCTGACCTCAAGTGATCCGCCTGCCTCGGCCTCCCACAGTGCTGGGATTACAGGTGTGAGCCACTGCACCCGGGCTCCAGGCTACACTTGAAGCATTTCTTAGGTTCAGTTCAGAGCAGCCTTTAGTCCTGAATTAATGTGGCACCACTACTCACGAGATTACTTCGGAAGATTGCTTGAAGCTTTACATATCTCAAGGTCTTTCCACCCTGGCTGGGAGAACACAAACAATGCTTTCCTTGTGTAGGCTCTGTGTAGTTTTGGGTCCACAGGTTTCTGGTGATTTCCCCCTGATATCGAGTAGTTTCTTTTCATGCAGGCATAAGTCAGGCATAAGTCAGTTCTCAGCCCCAAACCTGAGGGATCCCCCTCCCTGCGGCAAGTCTCCAGCTGTTCTCCCCCCGCCCCACCCCGGCCCATCCTGGCTGCACAGCAGCCTGCTCCCCGGTGCTCCTCCCCTCGGGCTGCTGCTGCCTTGAACTCTGCTCTCTGTCCGCTCAGCTCACTAAGCCTTTCCGTGTGTCCTGGCAGCTGCTTTCAGGCAATAGCAGGATTCGTTCATTTGTTTTTCTTTTCTCAGGGGTTATGATCCTGTGATGCTTGTTTCCAAATGTCTGAAAACTACTTTTTCAAAACATTTCCACCTCAGTGTTCTATTTGTTTAAGGAATGTGGGTAAGTGCATTTTACCCACAGGGCTTGAACCAACATTCAAAATTTTATGTTAGAACCTGTTAAAGACAAAGGGCAAAACTGATCACAAACTCAAATGCAGGACAGTTGCACTGCGATTCTTTTTTCGTTAGGTTACAGCCCTTATGTGTTGTACTCCGCGGGCGCAGGCTGAGAGCCGTCTGCACCTTTGTTACTGCGGCCCGACGCCCTCTTGCCAGGGCCACAGCAGCATCCCCCGGGTCACCGAGCCGGGGCTTTCCCACGTGCCTCCTTACAATTGCTATGTTTCTGCAAGCAGAGGCCCAAGGAAGTATGAAGCACTCCTCAATATCTAAATTAGCTAGCAAAACTCTACAGGGTGATTAAAAAAAAAAAAAAAAAACAACTGTGAAGGTGAGAGGTGCAGTGAGTCCTTGGCAGAGGCCGTTTGCTCAGGGAAAGTAAAACCAATGACCTGACTCAACGCGGACACGTCTGCCCCGCCCCCTAAAACCTGCTTCTGGGGCCGCTGTGTGGTCTGGAGCGCCGCCTGGTGGTCTTGTGCTTCCCTGCAGGGAGGTTTGTGTCTGGGCTCACGCTGAGGTCCCCATTCTGTCTCCCACGGGAATGTGCGGCCCTGCCCTTGGCCATCACGGAGCTCAGCTGCAGGGATAACTGGGCCTTGGATGTGTCTCTACAGATGGAGAGTTGGCCCAGAAAGGCTGGGCTGAAGTGTGTGCTGCCCCTGGAGCTGAGGTGCCCCAGCGCCTTCCCAGAGGGCTGCTGGGTCCAGGCCCAGAGGTCTGTGAGGACCTCACCAGCCCTGGGCATGACTCCAGTAGCTGCATCTGATGCAGGACACTCAGGGACAAGAAGCAAAGAGATGAGTCACAAGCGGACACCACAGCCCACAGCCCCCGTTCTGAAATCTCTGAGACACTCACATGGAGGTACAGCCATCAGGCAGAGGACGACACACAGAGATCTCATGTTTTCCTCAACAAGGGGCTCGACTTTCTCAGTGGCCTCTCCAGGACAGAACAAGAAAAAATAACTGGCTGTCTCTAGTTTGAGGTTGCATTTCGCTGGGTCTCTGGGATGGAAATGTGTCTTGTGTCTTCAGGAGTCTGCAGGGCAGCCGCTGCTGTGACTCAGGTAGAAACTTCTCTCCCCTGATGTCCTGGCCCCTCGTTATCCCTGCCACAGTGCAATCAGACTGGGCACCGCTTTAGGGAGAAACGGAGGACATGGAGTGAGGGCAGGGTAGTGGAGACTATTGAAGAGAGTCAAAACTCTCCAGGGGTAGAGACGCCTCCAGGACCCCTTGGCATTGTTTTCTTCACTTTGCAGGAGTAGGAAGGAGCTGAGAGTCTAGACAGAGCCTCAGATGCACAACCCTGATTTGGCATATCGGGGAGCAATCTCATCAGCCCAGGAGAAGGCCCAGGAGAAGGGGCAGCTCTTTGTGCCTCTGCAGAGAAGCGGCAGGGACTGGGAGGACATTTTCCCTGCCCAGCAGGTGGTGCTGCCTCCTTGTTCCCTGCCTGGCACAGCCTCGGGGTGCAGCTGCTGGCTTTCCCAGGGTCTGTGGAGAGCGTCTTCTTGGTACTTCCTTAACGTCAAATAAAGTGAATGCCTTCTCAATGCACATCTTAATTCATCATTGGAAAGGCCAAGACACACGCACACACACATCTATATGTTTTTCTGACAAGAGCTAGAGACAATTGATAAGTATGTTATCTGACTGTAGTTCACCTTAAGGAGGAAAAAACTATTAAGAAATTTCTTAAGTGTAAATTGTGCCTAATTATGAGTAAATTAGTAACAGAAGTAAAAAATAATAACTGCAGTCAACTTATACACTTTAAAAGAATACTCTGTGAAACAATGACGTGTTATCAAAAAAGGGACACTTAATTTGTTATGTGTGGTGATGGTCAATGAGCAGACTCGTGTTCTTGCTGGAGAAGTCGCAGCATCCCCACAGGTGGACTTCCTGCAGCAATCTTGTGTGTCTCACACTTCTGTCCAAAGCATGTAAGGGGGGAACTCAGTGCGCACAGGAACCTGACGCCTGCCACCCAAGGGATGCGTGAGCTTCCGTATAAGCAGAAGAAGATGGAAACTTCAGCACCTGCAACAGAAGAGGCTTTCTGCTTTGGGGACCCAAACAGTTCCATCTATGGTGGAGATGTAGGCTCATTCCTACATCAACGTCAACAAGCCATTGGACACAACAACATTTAGGAGTAGTCGACCGCACCTTCTCCAATGTGGCCTGCACAGCCCAGGCTGCAGGGTGGGAGAGGTCGATTCTGGAGAAAAGTCATTCCTGCTCCCCTGGTACACTCTCCTCCCCCACTGCTTCATACAGGGACCAATGTGATGATGCCATCATGATGTTGAAGCACACACTGAGCCCTGTAATCAATTAGAGGGCTTTCCTATCCACCCATCCACACACACATCCACCCATCCACTCACCCGTCCATCCGTCCACCACTTATCCATGCATCCATCCACCCACCCAGCCATGCATTCATCCAGCCATCCCACAATCCACCCACCCACCCACACATCCAAACGTCCATCCACGAATTCATGCATCTGTCCACCCATCCAGCCATGCATTCATCCAGCCATCCCACAATCCACCCACCCACCCACACATCCAAACGTCCATCCACGAATTCATGCATCTGTCCACCCATCCAGCCATGCATTCATCCAGCCATCCCACAATCCACCCACCCACCCACACATCCAAACGTCCATCCACGAATTCATGCATCTGTCCACCCATCCAGCCATGCATTCATCCAGCCATCCCACAATCCACCCACCCACCCACACATCCAAACATCCATCCACTAATTCATGCATGTGTCCACCCATCCAGCCATGCATTCATCCAGCCATCCCACAATCCACCCACCCACCCACACATCCAAACGTCCATCCACTAATTCATGCATCTGTCCACCCATCCAGCTATCTGTTAGCAGGAGCGAATCCATACAGGTCTGCAGCAACTTGATTCTCGCCTCCTTGGAGGAAAGAATTTGGCCAAGGGGCATACAGAAGAGTGAGAGACCCAAGCAAGTTTTAGAGCAGGAGTAAATGTTTATTAAAGTTTTAAAGTGGGAACTAAAGGAAGTAAAGTACACTTGGAAGAGGGCTAAGTGGGCGACTTGAGAGATCTAAGTGCTCTGTCCGGCCCTTGACTTGGGGTTTTATACATTGACATGGTTCTGGGATTTGTATTTCTTCTCCCTTGATTCTTCCCTTGGAGTGGGCTGCCCACATGTACAGTGGCCTGCCAGCACTTGGGAGGGGCTGCATACACAGTGGGTTTAATGAAATGTGCACATGCTCATTTGAGGTGTCCTTCTCTTACTATTAGAGTGTTCCTAGAGGAAGATTATGTGCCAGTTAAACTCTGCCACTTTGCCTCTTAGTGCATATGCTTGAGCCCACTCACCCAATGCCTGAGATCTTATCAGGAAGCTGCTGATGACCAGTTTCGGGTGTTTTCTATCTATTGGGAGACTGCCTTTTCTTGGCGCTGGCTGAGATCAATTATTATTTATTATTATTATTATTATTTGAGACAGAGCTTTGCTCTGTCACCAGGCTGGAGTGCAGTGGCACAATCTCAGCTCACTGCAGCCTCTTCCTCCCAGGTTCAAGCAATTCTCCTGCCTCAGCCTCCCGAGTAGCTGGAACTATAGATGCACGCCACCACGCCCAGCTAATTTTTGTATTTTCAGTAAAGACAGGGTTTCACCATGTTGGTCAGGATGGTCTCAATCTCTTGACCTTGTGATCCGCCCACCTCAGCCTCCCAAAGTGTTGGGATTACAGACATGAGCCACCGCGTCCAGCCGAGACCAATAATTATTTTAGAGAGGCAGTTTAACAATCCCTTGACTATCAGCTCATGCCTGCCTAATTACCCACTCTAATACATCCATCCCTTCACATACCCATTCATCCATCCATCCATCCATCCACTCACTTATCTATCCAAGTACTCATCCATGCATGTAGCCACCCACCTACCCACCCATTCATCCACTCACCCATCCATCCACCCATCCATGCATCCATCAACCTACCCATCCACCCATACATGCATCCATCTATCTTTTCACTCTTCCATCCACACACCTACTCAGCCATCCATCCATCCATCTATCCATCCATCCATCCATCCATCCATCCATCCATCCACTAATCCATGGTTGGGTCCATCTGTCTGTGCCACAAACATGCAAAGATAAGTTCCATGTGACAAGTCTGAACTCAGTGTTGGAATCATGGGAGGGGCAAGGTGGAACAGGCTGGCTTCCTCACCACTGTTAACACTGTGGGGAGAAGGCCGATGGCAAACTCACTTCCATGTTAAATTTCCTAAAAGAGGAAGGGGAGTGTCATGCTAGAGAGTAATGGAAGCTCCCACTGTTGACACAGAGGTAATAAATGCCTGTCTGATGAGCTAAGACCTGCAGGAACAGAAACAGTCAGCCACATGAAAACAAGGCAGGAAAGAGGCCTATGGCAGAAGAGCAGCTGCTGAAAGTTCCCTTAGGTTGGGCAAAGCTGTTACGTTTTGAGGAACTAAGAACAGTCCAAGGGCAAGCCACCGCCCTGTGTTTCTCCTCTTCCCCTGTGTCTGTCTGATGACCCCACAGGTTGCCCTCTTTCACTTTGTATCTCTCATTTCTGTGCCTCTCTCTCTCTCTCTCTCTCTCTCTCTCTGTCTCCCTTCATCTGGCTTATCTCTCTGTATATCTTTTTGTCTTATTATTTCAACAAGGGCTCTTAGGGTCCATCTACCGTGCTGGAAACTTTCTTCTCACCAACCATTGTAAGTTGGAGAATGTTTTCTCCACCTTATTACAAAATGTTATAGCTAATTCTCTTACTGCAGAATAATCTTTAATATGGGTGCCCTGTTTTTAGAATTTAAAATTAGTATCAATTGCCATTTTTTCACAATTACAATTAGTATTTTACAAATGAGTTTTGTAACAGGGCAGGGCATTAATGAATTAAATTACTCTGTAATAGGAATGAGAAATTTTATTTTAATATTTTTGAGACAGAGTCTTGCTTTGTCTGTCAGGCTGGAGTGCGGTGGTATGATCTTAGCTCACTGCAACCTACACCTCTTGGGTTCAAACGATTATCCTGCCTCAGCCCCCCAAGTAGCTCAGACTACAGGTGCATGCCACCATGCCCAGCTAATTTTTGTATTTTTGGTAGATACAGCGTTTCACCATGTTGGCCAGGCTGGTTTTGAACTTCTGACCTCAGGTGAGCCACCTGCCTCGGCCTTCCAAAGTGCTGGGATACAGGCATGAGCCACTGTGCCCAGCCAAGAAATTTTATTTTTAATGGACCCTCTTAGATAGTTCTTAATAATGGCAGTATCAAAATACATGCAATTATGCATATGGAAGTAGCTTTTTTCCTACAAACTTAAGAATATTTCAAATCATCTTCTCTCTATTCTTTTGAATTACATGTGTGAGAAACAGATTATAAGTATTTCATGTTATTTTCCCAGACATCACTATAAGCATCAAGTAACTATTCACATGTGTGCCAGCGATTTATCATCATACTCATGAGGGTTTTCTATTTCTAGAAGTTGCCCATTTTTTGATCTCTTTTTGCTTTTTCCTTCTTGTAAATATTGGAGTTCTTAATTCTTTTCTAATGCTGTAGATCCTCCTAGGGAAGGATTCTCTACAGTACTACATGTGTTAGAATGTGGGTGAAAAATTATACGTGCTTTAAATAATGAATGAGCCCGAAAAAAAGAGCTGGAAGTTGCCAGGTGCTAGGAATAGACAAAATTAAAAAGGGCATTTGAATTGAGAATGAAACCTGAATGCCCCTTGCATTTCTGAGGTAGGTTTAACATACACAGGACGGGAGCAGCCTTGTGTGACTTGTGGGACTGGAGCTGAGGTTTCGGCTTGAGTAGAGAGGTTTTTTTTTTTTTAAATAATTAGTTTCTCTTTTGATTGACACATAAAAATGACCTATATTTATTCTGTACAGCATAATGTTTTGTAACATGTCTACATAGGGGAGTGGCTCCACTGAGCTAATTAACATCTGTATCACTCACCTACTCCCCATACGGCTAGAGAGGTTCTAAGTTGGCTTCAGCCATGATGTCAGGTTAGAAACATTCCCTCATGAACAGCAGCCCTGGACATGGTAGAAAAGCAAACCCCAAGCCCTCGCTGTTCACAAAGTGGTCCTAGTGTCTCACCCACCATCTGGAGCTGCAAAACTGAGCTGGGAAATCACCGTCGTGGAGTGCCACTGGCAGCACACAGGTCCCAGCAGCCAGGAGCAAGGCACCATCCACAGATGCCTGCTCCCGGGGGACCACAGCTCCTGTGATGAGGTCTCATACATAGAAACCATGTGATGAGCAAGGGAAAAGCGTGTCATGACATTCTGAAGGCCACAAAGAGGGAGGTAAACCTGTAGAGATGACAGATACTTCAAGTTACTTTCTGATTTTTCTAAAATTATAAAATAGATCAACAAAAAGCTAGAGAAGAATGAATAATTCAAGAACAGATTTTAAGAAAGAAGAACTTTCTGATGTGTGAAAGTACCCAATATGCATTATCATAATTGTAGGCATTGAGCTCTCAATGAAAGAATGACCTCACACTTGACACTCAGAAGGGGATAAATAATGTTGGATAGATTGCCAAAGTGTTCTAGAAAGAAAATAATCCATCTTTAATTTTACAATACCACTCTTTCTACAATGATAGCGAAAAAAAAATCCAGATACAAATGGCAGGAAAGTGGAGCATATAGTTTCCTGCTGAAGCTGCTGTTGATGAACGTGCCTCACTTGCATGATCTCGGCTGTGCATAGTGTGTGGCCAGTGGGGAGCAGTGCTTGTGGGTGGCTGAATAATGCATCCCCCAAATGTTTACATTCAAACCCCCAGAACATGTGGTTTAGTGACCTCATATGGCACGAGGAACTTTGTAGATGTGATTAAATTAATCTCGAGAGGGGAGAATATGGCCCTGCATTGTCTGGGTGGGTATGATGTAATCACAGGGGTGCTTATAAGTGGAAGCAGGAGAACCAGAGTCAGGGGAAGGGTGATGTGATGATGGACACAGAGATGAGAGGATGGCCTTTGAAGATGGAAGAAGGGGACACAGAGCAAGGAATATGGGTTCTAGAATCTGGAAAAGGCATGAAAACAGAATCTCCCTCCCAGGGTTCAGAAGAAACCAGCTCTGCCAACGCTTTGCCTCTGGACTAATAAAACCGCAGGACCACCAAGAAACTGCTCTTTCTTGCATAGAACACAGTCAGTATGCTCACACGACATGGGTGGGTTTGAGAGTTAAAGGAGACTGCAAGGTCTCTGGCTGAAACAGGGCAGGAATCAGGTGGAGCAAGAGGGTGGGTAGGCAGGACCTGATTTTCAGGAGTGTAAATGTGAGGCACTGATGAGATTTCCAGGTGGAGACAGAGGGAGGAGTTATGTGTTCAGGTCTAGAGTGGAGCTGGTAGGTTGGTCTGAGCCTGAGAAAGGAGGGCATCCTCCAGGAATTGAGAGTAGGAAAAGGGAAGAGTGGATAAGTGCTAAGAACTAAGTGGGAGATTTCTGGAGGTGGCGGCTCACAGAGCCAGCAATGTCTTATGGTTGGGGTTTGTAACCCCAGTCACTGAAAGTGTCCTCCCAGCCTCTCTCTGCATATGCCCCTGGGGCTGAGTGCCTGCGTTGGATGGTCACTTACCATTCCCTAAGAGGCCCTAAGCACCTCCTGCAGCCCAGCTCCTCCTGGACCCTCTCTCTGCATATGCCCCTGGGGCTGAGTGCCTGCGTTGGGTGGTCACTTACCATTCCCTAAGAGGCCCTAAGCACCTCCTGCAGCCCAGCCCCTCCTGGACCCTCTGGAGGGGAAGTTTGTGTTTGTGTTTGGTCACGGAGCCCGGCTGCAGAGAAAACAAGTTTTTTTTTTTTTTTTTTCGAAAGGATCTCACTCTGCCACCCACGCTGGAGTGAGGTGGTGCCATCATAGCTCACTGCAACCTCAACCTCCTGGCCTCAAGCCACACTCCCACCTTGGCCTCCCAAAGTGTTGCGTTTACAGGTGTGTGCCAAGGTGCCCACTCAAAAACGGGTTCTTGGCTGGGCACTGTGGCTCAAGCCTGTAATCCCAGCACCTTGGGGGTCAAGGTGGGTGGATCACTTGAGCCCAGGAGTTTGAGACCAGCCTGGGCAACAGACTGTTACATGACCATTTAGCTTATGCAAATGTGGGACTGGTTAAATGGTCTATGTGGGGCTGTCACCTTGTCTTTGCATCTGTCACTGAAGCCAGAAGTCAGCAGGGCAGACAGTTGGGAAGGAAAGACAGTGGGCAAGCTGAGGTGGACAGAGGCAGCCACAGGGATGGACTGGGACACATGAAGGCAGGCGAAACCATGTTGTCTCTCACACCCTTTCAAGGGTCTAGAGGGAGTCCTTTAACTGATTTTCTTCCAATATATGTAATTATGAGGCTGGAGGTGGTGATACTGGAGTTCATAGCCTGACTGGAAGCTGTAAAAAGCTTGTACAACCTTATGGTGATTAGTTTTTATAGCCTTAATAAGCCCCAGAAATAAGACTAAGTCAGAGACTTGATTTAGGATTTTGATTTTTGAGAACATTTGTTATAGATGCTAAAAGGCTCAAAATATTTGATCAAAACAGAATCACAGGCCATTGTAAAATGATAGTTACTAATTTAACCGAAGTGGTAATTAAAAAGACTTCAGAGGTGAGTCAAGATGGCTGACTAGATGCAGCCAGGAGGAATATCTGTCATGGAGGGAGTGAGACATCAGGAAGACGGGTGCTTTCCAAGCAGATCTTTGAAGGGGAGGCATTGAGAGTGGATTGAGAGTAGATGGGGGAGGACACAGATGCTGAGCTGAAGGTGGAGGAAGATGGGAACCCTGCATGGGGATGCCAAGCACCAGGACTCATTCCTGGCTCCCAGCAACTCCTGGGGAAAGGTTGAGTTGAACAGGTGAGGAGTGGCCTGCTGTTGCCATGGGCCTCCAGAATCCTAGCAGCAGGAGACCCCATGACCCCCATGGACACTTGTGCTGGAAGGGACAGCTGCTTAGAGAGATGCCAGGGGCAGGACTCCAGTCTGTGTAAAGCCCAGAGTGTTTGACATGAGAATGGCTGTAGTGGAGCACAGCCAGGGGACACCCATCCCCCAAGGCTCACCAACCTCCTCTAGGAGATTTTAACCTTAGAGTGACTATGGGACCTGAATAAAGCAGGGTGGTCTTGTCCATGGGACAGGGCCCATCTGAAATGAGAATTTCCTTGCCTTCTGGCCTCTCCTGGGGCCCCAGGCTGGCTGTGCCTGCTTGCAGTACAGCCTTGGAAGCCCAACCAGGGTGTTTCCTGGGGGCCCTCATCATAGCTCCTTTGCCAGCAGACCATGCCTAACCATTGGAGACCTCCAGCAGGCCAGCCTCTGCTGATGTGCACCAGTCCACCCATAGTACCTCCCAACTGCTTTGCTGGCATGAGTGCACAGCAGATCACAACTCCCTCTACCACCAGCAAGCATGTGCATGTGTGCCCCACCACCCTGTCCCTGCCAACACACGGACACCTCACTGCGCTGTGACTGCCAGCAGGAACCTATGTAGGGATGCTGCCACTCTGCTCCTGCCAGTACCCCCACCCCAGCAGATGCATGTGCACCCTGCCATGACTCCACAACTGCTGGCACCCATGAGTAAGAATGGATCCCACTGCCACCACTCTAATGAAGTGCTTTGGCCGGCACCCCCTACTATAGTGTTGTGGCCAATGGACTGGGAACACCTCAGCCCCTCCAATGCAGCAAGTTTCTAAACTCAAGGGGCCAGAGAATAAAGCCAGGGGCCCAGTCCCAGAGCAGAGAACACACCACAAGAGTGCTGAGGTGAGCCTGGACTCTCTAAGATTTTCAAGAAACACTGCTAACTGAATCCACTTTATACCACAATCAAACCTGCAAGAGTATCAAAGAAGATAAGAGCAAAAAACAAACAAATGAACAAACAAACAAAAACACACACCAAAAAACAACAAAAAAGACAAAAACATCCAAAGGACAGCCACTTCAAAGATTAAAGAAACAGCCCACAAAGATGAGAAAGAATTAATGCAAGAAACTCTGCAACTCTAAAATCCAGAGTGTCTTCTTACCTCCAAATAATCACACTGGTTTCCCAGCAATGGTTCTTAACCTGACTGAAATGGCTGAAATGACAGACATAGAATTCAGAATATGCACAGGAAAGAAGATCACTGAGATTCAGGAGAATGTTGAAACCCAATCCAAGGGAGCTAAGAAATAAAGTAAAATGATACAGAAGCTGAAAGATGAAATGGCCATTTTAAGAAAGAACCAAACTGATTTGATAGAGCTAAAAAACTCACTTCAAGAATTTCAGAATACAATTACAAGTATTAACAGCAGAATAGACCAAGCTGAGGAAAGAATCACAGAGCTTAAAAACTGATTCTCTGAATTAACTCAGTCAGACAAAAATAAAGAACAAAGAATAAAAAAGAAGGCATAAAACCTCAGAGAAATGTGCAATTATGTAAAAAGACCAGATCTATGACACATTGGTATCCCTTAAGAAGAGAAAGAGAAAAAAAGAAACTTGAAAAACATTTCAGGCTATCCTCCATGAAAATTTCTCCAACCTCACCAGAGAGGCCAACATTCAAATTCAAGAAATGCAAATAACCTCTGCATGATATTATACATGACAACCATCCCTAAGACATATAGCCATCAGACATCAGACTCTTAAAGGTTGAAAGGAAAAAAAATATTAGAGGCAGCTAGAAAGAAGGTTCAGGTCACATACAAAGGGAACCCAATGAGGCTAACAATGGAGGTTTCAGCAGAAACTGTACAATCCAGAAGAGATTGGGGGCCTATATTCAGCATTCTTAAAGAAAAGAAATTCCAAGCAAGAATTTCATATCTAGCCAAACGAAGCTTCACAAGTGAAGGAGAAATAAGATCCTTTTCAGACAAGCAAATGCTAAGGGTATTCATCACCACTAGATTGCCTTACAAGAGGCCCTTAAGGGATTGCTAAATATGATAATGGAAGAACGTTACTGGCCACCACAAAAACACACTTAAGTACATAACGATTGCCACTATAAATCAACTATACAATCAAATCTGCATATTGAGCAGCTAACAACATGATAACAGGATGAAATATGCACATATCAATATTAACCTTGAATGTAAATGGGCTAAATGCCCCAATTAAAGGGCAGAGAATTGCCAAGTTGGAGAAAGAAGCAAGACCCAAATGTATGCTGTCTTCAAGAGACCCATCTCACATGCAATGACATCCCCAGGCTCAAAGTAAAAGGATGGAGAAAAATCTACTAAGCAAATGGAAAACAGAAAAAAGCAGGTGTTTCTTTTTTTAAAAATTTTTTTATTATACTTTAAGTTTTAGGGTACATGTGCACAACGTGCAGGTTTGTTACATATGTATATATGTGCCATGTTGGTGTGCTGCACCCATAAACTCATCAATTAACATCAGGTATATCTCCTAATGCTATCCCTCCCCACTCCCCCCACCCCACAACAGGCCCTGGTGTGTGATGTTCCCCTTCCTGTGTCCAAGTGTTCTCATTGTTCAATTCCCACCTATGAATGAGAACATGCAGTGTTTGTCTTTTTGTCCTTGTGATAGTTTGCTGAGAATGATGGTTTCCAGCTTCATCCATGTCCCTACAAAGGACATGAACTCATCCTTTTTTATGGCTGCAGAGTATTCCATGGTGTATATGTGCCACATTTTCTTAATCCAGTCTATCATTGTTGGACATATGGGTTGGTTCCAAGTCTTTGCTATTGTGAATAGTGCCGCAATAAACATACGTGTGCATGTGTCTTTATAGCAGCATGTTTTATAATCCTTTGGGTATATACCCAGTAATGGGATGGCTGGGTCAAATGGTATTTCTAGTTCTAGATCCCTGAGGAATCGCCACACTGACTTCCACAATGGTTGAACTAGTTTACAGTCCCACCAACAGTGTAAAAGTGTTCCTATTTCTCCACATCCTCTCCAGCACCTGTTGTTTCCTGACTTTTTAATGATCGCTGTTCTAACTGGTGTGAGATGGTATCTCATTGTGGTTTTGATTTGCATTTCTCTGATGGCTAGTGATGATGAGCATTTTTTCATGTGTCTTTTGGCTCCATAAATGTCTTCTTTTGAGAAGTGTCTATTCATATCCTTTGCCCACTTTTTGATGGGGTTGTTTGTTTTTCTTGTAAATTTGTTTGAGTTCATTGTAGATTCTGGATATTAGCCCTTTGTCAGATAAGTAGATTGCAAAAATTTTCTCCCATTCTGTAGGTTGCCTGTTTACTCTGATGGTAGTTTCTTTTGCTGTGCAGAAGCTCTTTAGTTTAATTAGATCCCATTTGTCAATTTTGGCTTTTGTTGTCATTGCTTTTGGTGTTTTAGACATGAAGTCCTTGCCCATGCCTATGTCCTGAATGGTATTGCCTAGGTTTTCTTCTAGGGTTTTTATGGTTTTAGGTCTAACATTTAAGTCTTTAATCCTCTTGAATTAATTTTTGTATAATGTGTAAGGAAGGGATCCAGTTTCAGCTTTCTACATATGGCTAGCCAGTTTTCCCAGCACCATTTATTAAATAGGGAATCGTTTTCCCATTTCTTGTTTTTGTCAGGTTTGCCAAAAATCAGATAGTTGTAGATATGCGGCATTATTTCTGAGGGCTCTGTTCTGTTCCATTGGTCTGTATCTCTGTTTTGGTACCAGTACCATGCTGTTTTGGTTACTGTAACCTCGTAGTATAGTTTGAAGTCAGGTAGCGTGATGCCTCCAGCTTTGTTCTTTTGGCTTAGGATTGACTTGACATTGCAGGCTCTTTTTTGGTTCCATATGAACTTTAAAGCAGTTTTTCCCAATTCTGTGAAGAAAGTCATTGGTAGCTTGATGGGGATGTCATTGAATCTATAAATTACCTTGGGCAGTATGGCCATTTTCAGGATATTGATCCTTCCTACCCATGAGCATGGAATGTTTTTCCATTTGTTTGTATCCTCTTTTATTTCATTGAGCAGTGGTTTGTAGTTCTCCTTGAAGAGGTCCTTCACGTCCCTTGTAAGTTGGATTCCAAGGTATTTTATTCTCTTTGAAGCAATTGTGAATGGGAGTTCACTCATGATTTGGCTCTCTGTTTGTCTGTTATTGGGTTATAGAAATGCGTGTGATTTTTGCACATTGATTTTGTATCTTGAGACTTTGCTGAAGTTGCTTATCAGCTTAAGGAGATTTTGGGCTGAGACGATGGGGTTTTCTAGATATACAATCATGTCATCTGCAAACAGCGACAATTTGACTTCCTCTTTTCCTAATTGAATACCCTTTATTTCCTTCTCCTGCCTGATTGCCCTGGCCAGAACTTCCAACACTATGTTGAATAGGAGTGGTGAGAGAGGGTGTCTCTGTCTTGTGCCAGCTTTCAAAGGGAATGCTTGTAGTTTTTCCCATTCAGTATGATATTGGCTGTGGGTTTGTCATAGATAGCTCTTATTATTTTGAGATACGTCCCATCAATATCTAATTTATTGAGAGTTTTTAGCATGAAGTGTTGTTGAATTTTGTCAAAGGCCTTTTCTGCATCTATTGAGATAATCATGTGTTTTTTGTCGTTGGTTCTGTTTATATGCTGGATTACGTTTATTGATTTGCGTATGTTGAACCAGACTTGCATCCCAGGGATGAAGCCCACTTGATCATGGTGGATAAGCTTTTTGATGTGCTGCTGGATTCGGTTTGCCAGTATTTTATTGAGGATTTTTGCATTGATGTTCATCAGGGTTATTGGCCTAAAATTCTCTTTTTTTTTGTTGTGTCTCTGCCAGGCTTTGGTATTAGGATGATGCTGGCCTCATAAAATGAGTTAGGGAGGATTCCCTCTTTTTCTATAGATTGGAATAGTTTCAGAAGGAATGGTACCAGCTCCTCCTTGTAGCTCTGGTAGAATTCGGCTGTGAATCCATCTGTTCCTGGACTTTTTTTGGTTGTTAAGCTATTAATTATTGCCTCAATTTCAGAGCCTGTTATTGGTCTATTCAGAGATTCAACTTCTTCCTGGTTTAGTCTTGGGATGGTGTATGTGTCGAGAAATTTATCCATTTCTTCTAGATTTTCTAGTTTATTTCCGTAGAGGTGTTTATAGTATTCTCTGATGGTAGTTTGTATTTCTGTGGGATCGGTGGTGATATCCCCTTTATCATTTTTTATTGCATCTATTTGATTCTTCTCTCTTTTCTTCTTTATTAGTCTTGCTAGTGGTCTATCAATTTTGTTGATCTTTTCAAAAAACCAGCTCCTGGATTCATTGATTTTTTGAAGGGTTTTTTTGTGTCTCTGTTTCCTTCAGTTCTGCTCTGATCTTAGTTATGTCTTGCCTTCTGCTGGCTTTTGAATGTGTTTGCACTTGCTTCTCTAGCTCTTTTAATTGTGATGTTAGGGTGTCAATTTTAGATTTTTCCTGCTTTCTCTTGTGGGCATTTAGTGCTATAAATTTCCCTCTACACTCTGCTTTGAATGTGTCCCAGAGATTCTGGTATGTTGTGTCTTTGTTCTCACTGGTTTCAAAGAACATCTTTATTTCTGCCTTCGTTTCATTATGTACCCAGTAGTCATTCAGGAGCAGGTTGTTCAGTTTCCATGTAGTTGAGTGGTTTTGAGTGAGTTTCTTAATCCTGAGTTCTAGTTTGATTGCACTGTGCTCTGAGAGACAGTTTGTTATAATTTCTGTTCTTTTACATTTGCTGAGGAGTGCTTTACTTCCATCTATGTGGTCAATTTTGGAATAGGTGTGGTGTGGTGCTGAAAAGAATGTATATTCTGTTGATTTGGGGTGGAGAGTTCTGTAGATGTCTATTAGGTCTGCTTGGTGCAGAGCCGAGTTCAGTTGCTGGATATCCTTATTAACTTTCTGTCTCGTTGATCTGTCTAATGTTGACAGTGGGGTGTTAAAGTCTCCCATTATTATTGTGTGGGAATCTAAGTCTCTTTGTAGGTCTCCAAGGACTTGCTTTATGAATCTGGGTGCTCCTGTATTGGATGCATATATATTTAGGATAGTTAGCTCTTCTTGTTGAATTGATCCCTTTACCATTATGTAATGGTCTTCTTCGTCTCTTTTGATCTTTGTTGGTTTAAAGTCTCTTTTATCAGAGACTAGGATTGCAACTCCTGCCTTTTTTTGTTTTCCAGTTGCTTGGTAGATCTTCCTCCATGCCTTTATTTTGAGCCTATGTGTGTCTCTGCATGTGAGATGGGTCTCCTGAATACAGCACACTGATGGGTCTTGACTCTTTATCCAATTTGCCAGTCTGTGTCTTTTAATTGGAGCATTTAGCCCATTTACATTAAAGGTTAATATTGTTATGTGTGAATTTGATCCTGTCATTATGATGTTAGCTGGTTATTTGGCTCGTTAGTTGATGCAGTTTCTTCCTCGCTTTGGTGGTCTTTATGATTTGGCATGTTTTTGCAGTGGCTGGTACCAGTTGTTCCTTTCCATGTTTAGTGCTTCCTTCAGGAGCTCCTGTAGGGCAGGCCTGGTGATGACAAAATCTATCAGCATTTGTTTGTCTGTAAAGGATTTTATTTCTCCTTCACTTATGAAGCTTAGTTTGGATGGATATGAAATTCTGGGTTGAAATTTCTTTTCTTTAAGAATGTTGAATATTGGCCCCCACTCTCTTCTGGCTTGTAGAGTTTCTGCTGAGAGATCAGCTGTTAGTCTGATGGGCTTCCCTTTGAGGGTAACCCGACCTTTCTCTCTGGCTGCCCTTAATATTTTTTCCTTCATTTCAACTTTGGTGAATCTAACAATTATGTGTCTTGGAGTTGCTCTTCTCGAGGAGTATCTTTGTGGGGTTCTCTGTATTTCCTGAATTTGAATGTTGGCCTGTCTTGCTAGGTTGGGGAAGTTCTGCTGGATAATATACTGCAGAGTGTTTTCCAACTTGGTTCCATTCTCCCTGTCACTTTCAGGTACACCAATCAGACATAGATTTGGTCTTTTCACATAGTCTGATATTTCTTGGAGGGTTTGTTTCTTTCTTTTTACTTTTTTTTCCTCTAAACTTCTCTTCTCCCTTCATTTCTTTCATTTGATCTTCAATCACTGATACCCTTTCTTCCAGTTGATCGAATCGGCTACTGAAGCTTGTGCATTCATCACGTAGTTCTCATACCATGGTTTTCAGCTCCATCAGGTCATTTAAGGACTTCTCTACACTGGTTATTCTAGTTAGCTACTCATCTGATCTTTTTTCAAGGTTTTTAGCTTCTTTGCAATGGGTTCCAACTTCCTCCTTTAGCTCGGAGAAGTTTGATCATCTGAAACCTTCTCTCAACTCATCAAAGTCATTCTCCATCCAGCTTTGTTCCATTGCTGGCGAGGAGCTGCATTCCTTTGGAGGGGGAGAGGCACTTTGATTTTTAGAATTTTCAGCTTTTCTGCCCTGTTTTTTCCCCATCTTTGTGGTTTTATCTACCTTTTGTCTTTGATAATGGTGATGTACAGATGGGGTTTTCATGTGGATGTCCTTTCTGTTTGTTAGTTTTCCTTCTGACAGTCAGGACCCTCAGCTGCAGGTCTGTTGGAGTTTGCTGGAGGTCTACTGCAGACCCTATTTTCCTGGGTATCAGCAGCAGAGGCTGCAGAACAGCGAATATTGCTGAACAGCAAATGTTGCTGCCTGATAATTCCTCTGGAAGCTTCATCTCAGAGGGGCACCCAGCCGTGTAAGGTGTCAGTCTGCCCCTACTGGAGGGTGCCTCCCAGTTAGGCTACTCGGGGGTCAGGGACCCACTTGAGGAGGCAGTCTGTCCATTCTCAGATCTCAAAGTCCATGTGGGAGAAACACTACTCTCTTCAAAGCTGTCAGACAGGGACATTTAAGTCTGCAGAGGTTTCTGCTGCCTTTTGTTCAGCTATGCCCTGCCCCCAGAGGTGGAGTCTACAGAGGCAGACAGGTCTCCTTGAGCTGCAGTGGACTCCACCCAGTTTGAGCTTCCCAGCCACTTTGTTTACTTACTCAAGCCTCAGCAATTGTGGGCACCCCTCCCCCAGCCTCACTGCCACCTTGCAGTTTGATCTCAGACTGCTGTGCTAGCAATAAGCGAGGCTCCGTGGGCATGGGAACCTCCAAGCCAGGCATAGGATATAATCTCCTGGTGTGCCATTTGCTAAGACCGTTGGAAAAGTGCAGTATTAGGGTGGGAGTGACCGGATTTTCCAGGTGCCGTCCATCACCGCTTCCCTTGGCTAGGAACGGGAATTCCCTGACCCCTTGCACTTCCTGGGTTAGGCAATGCCTCACCCTGCTTCAGCTCACTCTTGGTGGGCTGCACCCACTGTCCTGCCCCCACTGTCCAACAAGCCCCCGTGAGATGAACCCAGTACCTCAGTTGGAAATGCAGAAATCACCTGTCTTCTGTGTAGCTCATGCTGGGAGCTGTAGACTGGAGCTGTTCCTATTCAGCCATTTTGGAACTGCCCCCTCATAGATTCTTGATATTAGACCTTTGTCACATGCTGATGTGGTTTGGCTCTGTGTCATTAAACAAATCTCATCTCAAATAGTAATCCTTATGTGTCAAGGGGTGGACCTGGTGGGAGGTGACTGGGTCATGGGGGTGGTTTCCCCCATGCTGTCCTCATGTTCTCCTGATAGTGAGTGAGTTCTCATGAGATCTGATGGTTTTATCCATGTATGGTGGTTCCTCCTTCATTCCCTCTCTCTCTCTTTCTCTCTCTCACCTGCTGCCATGTGTCACATGCCTGCTTCCACTTCCACCATGATTGCAAGTTTCCTGAGCCTCCGACCCTAACCACACAGCACTGTGAGTCAATTAAACCTCTTTTCTTTACAAATTAACCACTTTCGGGCAGTTCTTTATAGCACTGTGGAAACAGACTAATATAGTAAATTGGTACCAGGAGTGGGGAACTGCTATAAAGATAACTCAAAATCTGGAAGCAACTTTGGAACTGGGTACCTCCTGGCAGCGGTTGGAACAGTTTGGAGAACTTGAAAGGAGAAGGGAAGATGTGGGAAAGTTTGGAACTTCCTAGAGACTTATTGAGTGGTTTTGACTAAAATGCTGATAGTGACATGAACAGTGAAGTCCAAGCTGAGCTGGTCTTAGGTAGTGAGGACTAAACTCTGATTTTTTTTTCATCTTGCCCAAATTCCTATCTAAAGAGTCTGGGGAGGCATGCTCTACAAATCATAAATTCTCATCAGATGGGTTTTATTTAAACCTATATATCATGATTTACTTTCCAAACTGACTCTGGCATAACATTATAAGACAAATAAGAAAATCAAAATATTTTACCCCAAAACATGTTTCTTTGCCATACTCTGAGATGGCCCTGCAGGCCGGGCATGGTGGCTCATGCCTGTAATCCCAGCACTTTGGGAGGCTGAGGTGGGCGGATCACCTGAGGTTGGGAGTTCGAGACCAGCCTCACCAACATGGAGAAACCCTGTGTCTACTAAAAATACAGAATTAGCCGGGTGTGGTGGTGCATGCCTGTAATCATAGCTACTCGGGAGACTGAGGCAGGAGAATTACTTGAACCCAGGAGGTGGAGGTTGTGGTGAGACAAGATCGTGCCATTATACTCTAGCCTGGGCAACAAGAGCAAAACTCCATCTAAAAAAGAAAGAAAGAAAGAAAGAAAGAAAGAAAGAAAGAAAGAAAGAAAGAAAGAAAGAAAGAAAGGGCCCTGCAAAGCTGTTCTTTGTGGGGGAAAATTTGCATCTGTAAAGAATCTCTATTAACATAGCTAGATCTTTTTCTTCTAGAACCTCCCAATCCTAAAGAGTTCAACTAAGATTTGAATAGGAAACATTTGTCACCTATTATCTCTAAGGGCAGCCACTATAAGACTTCAAAAGAACTTTGGACTCTACAATCTTTATCTTAACCTGAACATTACCTTTCTATCTATCCCAGGTCTTTAGACAAACTCAACCAATTGTCAACCAGAAAATATTTAAATTCACCTATAGCCTGGAAGCCCTAGCTTTGAGTTGTTCCACCTTTCTGGACCAAACCAATGTGTCTCTTAAATGTATTTGATTGATGTCTCATGCCTCTCTAAAATGTATAAAACCAAGCTTGATGGAATTTTGTCCCTGCCCTAGAAATCTGTGGAACTTTGCCCTTGAGAGAGATGATCTGAAATAGGAACTTATGTTTAAAAGGGAAACAGAGCATAAAAGTTTGGAAAATTTGCAGCCTGGCCATGTGGTAGTAAAGAAAAACACATTTGCTAGGGAGAAATTCAAGTTGGCTGCAGAAATTTGCATAAGTAATGAAGAGATGAATATTAATAATCAAGACAATGGGGAAAATGTTTCCAGGGCATGTCGGAGATCTTTGCAGCAGCCCTTCCAATCACAGGCCTGGAGGCCTATCAGGGAAAAATGTTTTCATGGGCTGGGTCCAGGGCCCAGCTTCTCTTTGGAGCCTTGGGACTTGGTGCCCTGTGTCCCAGCTGCTCCAGGTCTAGCTGTGGCTAAAAAAGTCCAATGTACAGCTCAGGCCATTGCTTCAGAAAGCCCCAATCATTGGTGGCTTCTACATGATGTTGGGCCTAGGGATGTGCGGAAGAGAAGAGTTCAGCTTTGTGATCCTCCACCCAGATCTCAGAGGATTTATAGAAATGACTGGATGTCCAGCCAGAAGTCTGCGCCAGGGGCAAAGCCTTCATGGAGAGCCTCTGCTAGGGCAGTGCAGAAGGGAAATGTGGGGTTGGAGCCCCCACACAGAGTCCCCACTGGAGACAGTGACTAATGGGGCTGTGAGAAGAGGGCCACCATCTTTCAGACCCCAGAATGGTAGATCCATTAACGGCTTGCACTGTGCACCTGGAAAAGCTGCATGCACTCAATGAGAGCAGCCAGGAGGGCTGAACTCTGCAAAGCCCATGAGAGCAGCCATGGGGTCAGAGCTGCAAAGCCACAGGGTGAGAGCTTCCCAAGGTTGTAGGAGCCCCCACTTTGCATAAGCATGCCCTGAATGTGAGGAATGGAGTCAAAGGAGATTATTTTGAAGCTTTAAGATTTAATGACTGCCCCACTGGAGTTTGGGCTTGCATGTGACCTGAAGCCCCTTTATTCTGGCTCATTTCTCCCAACTGAAATGGGAGCATGTATCTAATGCCTGTACCCCCATTTTGTCTTGGAAGTAACTGACTTGTTTTTCATTTTACAGGTTCATAGATGAAAGGGACTTGCCTTGTCTCCAATGTGACTTTGGATTTGGACTTTTGAGTTAATACTGAAATGAGTTAAGATGTTGGGGGACTGTTGGGAAGGCATGATTGGTTTTGAAATGCAAAGAGGACATGAGATTTGGGAGGGGTTGGGTGGCGTGATCTGGTTTGGCTCTGGGTCTCTACCCAAATGACACCATTCCTCAGGGTGATCAGTGAGCTACCTGATGGCAGGTTGGATTATATTGGACCTCTTCCATCCTGGAAAGGGCAGAGGTTTGTCCTCACTGAAATAGACACTTACTGCAGATATGCATGCAATGCTTCTGCCAAGACTACCATCTGTGGAGTCATGGAATGCCTTATCCACTGTCACAGTATTCCACATAGCATTGCCTCTGACCAAGGCACTCCCTTTACGGCTAAAGAAGTGTGGCAGTGGGCTCATGCTCATGGGATTCACTTGTCTTACCATTTTCCCCATCATCCTGAAGCAGCTGGATTGATAGAAGAATGGAATGGCCTTTCAAAGTCACAATTACAATGTCAACTAGGCTCCAATACTTTGCAGGGCTGGGGCAAAGCTCTCCAAAAGGCCATGTATGCTCCAAATCAGCATCCAATATATGGTACTCTTTCTCCCATAGCCATAATTCATGGATCCAGGAATCAAGGGGTGGAAGTGGAAATGGCACCATTCACCATCACCCCTAGTGATCCACTAGCAAAATTTTTGCTTCCTGGTCCCATGACATTACATTCTGTTGGCCTAGAGGTCTTAGTTCCAGTGGGAATAATGCTGCCATCAGGAGAAACAACAACAATTCCATTAAACTGGAAGTAAAGATTTCCACCTGGCCACTTTGGGCCCCTCCTACCTTTAAGTCCACAGGCTAAGAGGGGAGTTACAGTGTTGGCTGGGCTGATTGACCTGGACTATCAAGATGCAATCAGTCTATTACTCCACAATGGAGGCAAGGAAGAATATGTATGGAATACAGGAGATCCATTAGGGCGTCTCTTAACATTACCATGCCCTGTCATTAAGGTCAACGGGAAACTACAACAGCCCAATCCAGGCAGGACTACAAATGGCCCAGACCCTTCAGGAATGAAGGTTTGCATCACTCCACTAGGAGAAAAAACTCTACCTGCTGTGATGCTTGCTGAAGGCAAAGGGAATACAGAATGGGTAGTAGAAGAAGGTAGTCATCAATACCAGCTACAACCACGTGATCAGTTGCAGAAATGAGGACCGTAATTGTCATCAGTATTTCCTTCTTCTTTTGTTAAAAACATGTTTGTGCATGTACACACTTGTACTAAGAAAATTCCTTCATTTCTTTTTTCCTTTATCATGTGACATAAAATTTATTGACTTCATATCAGCATTTAAGTGTTCTTAACTTTACATAATAGCATTTGGGTTGGGGATTGGTGCATTTCTGGTTGTACAAAAGATAGTTGTATTACATTAGGTGTAATTATGACCTTATTATTGTCTTTATTTGAAGATTATGTATGATCTCAGGAGATTTGTATGGGTTCAAGTTGACAAGGGGTGGACTTGTGATGGTTGATACTGAGTGTCAACTTGATTGGATTGAAGCATGCAAAGTATTGATCCTGGGTGTGTCTGTGAGGGTGTTGCCAAAGGAGATTAACATTTGAGCCAGTAAACTGGGAAAGGCAGACCCACCCTTAATCTAGGTGGGCACCATCTAATCAGCTGCCAGTGTGGCCAGGATATAAAGCAGGCAGAAAAACGTGAAAAGACTAGACTGGCTTAGCCTCCCAGCCTACATCTTTCTCCTGTGCTGGATGCTTCCTGCCGTCGAACATCAGACTTCAAATTCTTCAGCTTTGGGACTCGGACTGGCTTCCTTGCTCCTCAGCTTGCAGATGGCCTACTGTGGGACCTTGTGATTGTGAGTTTAATACTCCTCAATAAACTCTAATATATATATATATTATATATAATATATAATACGTATTATATATTGTATATATACATATTAGGTTTCTCTAGAGGGACAGAACTATATATATATATAGTTTCCATAGTCTGTGGTGTAGACTAGGTGAAATGGAGTTTACAGCCTCCTGAAGGGTAACACCCAGACTCTCACCTGAATTCCCTGAAATCCTGTGCCCTGGGGATTGGAGAAACCTTAAAACCAAAGCCACTGTTAAGTTAGCTCAGTCTTTGATTGAGCATGGCCATCTGCCTATACTTGGCTTCCAGGGCTGGGTGAAGGAGAATTCCTGCCTGGAACAAGGTCACATTACAAAGAATCTTCACAGTGCTCATGAGACATCTCAGACCTTCCATCAGAAGCATTCAGGATGGCAGGAGACTGGACATGATGAGCAATATGGGGATAGGAGGAAGGAAACAGAGAACGGAAGGAGGTGACAGCTGACAAGGCCTTGTGTTCTCAGATGCTGAGCATGAAATGAAGCATTTATGATGAGGGAAACAGAACAGATGTACGGTACAATATTAAATATAAAGCAGTAAATTACAGCAGGTGGCTTCACAGCAGCTTAGACATAGCAGAAGAGAAGAGGATGGAATTGGAAGATCGATGCTCAGGACGGATGCAGAGTGAAGCCGAGGATCCGACAAAGAGGATTTGGGAGATGCAGGCTTTGGGAGAGAAGGAGGGGGATTGGAAGAAGAAAGAATGTTTGAAAGTACTCCATAGAGAACCAGGACAGCCCCTGGGGCCAAGCAGCCCATGACCCTTGCAGCTTCAGAGGTCCAGACTCCAGCCTGGCCTCACATGCTGGTTGGTCTTATCCCTGCCAGGCCAGAACCCTCTTCAGAACCCACTTCAGAACCCAGAGCCCCCACAGCTCTCCCTCACCCTATGCCCGGGACATGTCTCCCGTGCACTCTTCCCTGGCCCACAGGTGGGAGTTTACACCTGCTTGGGTGGCCTCGGCATCCACACCAACAACCTGTTAGCAGTTGTCCTGCTCCCTCCACCTGGCACAGCGTGAATCTCCCACAGTGCAGGCCCCGTGTTTGGGAGTGATTAGGACACACAGGAGGGCAGGTCAGGACAACAGGTGCTGAGGCAGGCAGATTTCGAGGATTTAAGTGCCGATGCTCTTGGAAGACCATTTCCATGGGGTTAATGGTGGTTTTTCTTGGTGAACTGTTGGCTTGTGTTTTTGATATTGCTGTTGCTCTAAATAGTGTTTTCCTGGCTTCAATACAAACTCTATTGGTCATGTTCTTTGTTAAAATACGTATCATTCTAAAAGTTCACATGGCATTAGATTTTTTGCTCAAACTACCTATAATATTTCTCCAACAGAGTGCACATTTGCCTTCCTTTCACACATACCTCCGCCCCCTGCCCTGAGCAGAGTCCCAGTGGTTCCCATCTGTTTAGGGGGTGGGGCAGGGGACACAGGCCCTGACGCGAGGTGGGGCCGTGCCAAGCGTGGTGGTCTTGCACGGGCACTGAGTGGGTGGGCCCTGGAGAGAGGAGAGGTCATTCCCCCTGGGGAACGCCCCAGGCCACAGGGGAGAGGTCAGCTGGAGCGTGAGGTGGGGGGCGGAGATGCATAAAGGGTGGGATGGGGCCTGCTGCTCTATCAGCAAAACCCCTCACACCCGAAGGACACATAGAGGGAGGGCACTGTATTCACTGACCTCACACTTAACTGTCCATTAGCGTTCACCCACAAAATAATAGAACACACTGACAGAGGCACAGGAATGGATTGCTCGCATCTTTATGACAGCTGAATGGAGGAAATTTCTAACAGGTTCAGAGAAAGGATATCAAGCTGTGTTTGGAGAAAGGGGTGGGAATTCTAAACAATATCTATGGAAGCAGGACATCTAGAACCACGGATGTATTCAGAAAAATGCTAGATCTCAGTACTACCCTAGAATACCAACAGTTTTCTGTGGATGGTATGGGAAGGGTGATTTCTTCCGTCGGTGGGCTTTGCCTTTGAAATTCTCTCTGACATATCTACACTGCATTTTAAAAGTCAATATTAGTGTGAATTTTAAGTTAAAATAAAATGTTATCTCATTCAGTTATTTATACATTTAACTTCCATTTTCCTTTACAATAACTCAGTGATACACCTAGCCCTGTTTTCCACCCGGACCAGCCTGTGCTGCTACAAGCCTGGTTTCTCTTCCTCATCACGACTTACTCAGCTTCCCTTCCTGTTTCAGTTCAAGGAAATGTGGGGGCAGGAAGAAAGGGGGCAGCTGCCACTCACAGAGCTCACACTAAATGACAGACAGCTTGCCCCTCACGTCTACCTATTTTTCTAGTTGAATTTCATTGCATGCAGCAATCGACCTCAGGGATTCATTTTCCCACATACGGGAAGCTCGGCCCCAGGTAGGGGGATTTGCTTGGTGGGGGATTTGAACCCAAGTCCCTCTCACTGAAAAGCCCACAGCACCCCCGTGAGGAACAGACAGGGAACAGGGAGTAGCCCTGGATCACCCTAAACTGACTTCGGGTTTAGAGAAGGACAGATTACCTGGGGAATGAGGAAGCTCATTGCTCTGGAGCTCTCTTCTGGAGAAATGTCATGAATGTTCCCTGTAAGGAGCTGGTGGCAACTTCCGTTAATTCTGGGACCAGAGACCTCAGGTCAAGAGCCAGATGCTCATTCATGTCTCTCCAGGCAAGAGGTTCTGGCCAAGTTTGGGCTCCCAGAGGAGTCTAAGAAAATGTGGAAGGCACCAATGTGTTTTTGAAGATTTATTTCAGAGTGAGCATCAGCGACCTACAAGAACCTGGGACAGAAGCCAATGCCTCCCGTTTCCCTGTGATGTGAAACAGGACCCTGTGCTTCCTGTGGACTTCAAGAAATGTGGACTTGAGCTTTGCCATCCCTTCCCCTGATCCTGTTTCATAGATTTTGCTGTTATATTCTCTGTATCTTTACAGGGATCGGGAGGCTGAATTAGTGTTATTCAGGGTTAGTAACTGTCCCTTCCTTAACGGTGGTGGTCCTGATAGTTCGCACATTTTTGGCTGTCCCAAAGAGCAGTGCAATTATGAAGGCGTAAATACGACCAAAGACCACTCTCAGATACATCACTGATTGCTGGCTTTGTTTGACGGAACGTGTTCTTTTTGGAGGTGGCCCGCTGTTGACACTCCCACCAGCACCTCTTCTTAGGCACAGTGGAGGATCCCAGCCTATATGGCAATGGCAGTTCCTTCTGTTGTTGCAGACTCCTCTATGACCGCACTTCTGAGGGTGGCAGTTGTAGCCCAGTGAAGTGATAGTCACATTGCACTGGGTGTTATTACAGAAGTTTCCATGAACACAAGGAGTGCCATCTATCACACGCCCAACATCAGTCGTGTCTGTTGCATGGTGTTCATCCAGTCCAAAACACTGAAACCCTCCTCTCACTGAGTGATGGAATGAAACACGTTCCTGCAGCCGGGGAAGATGGGTCACATTGGTACACTGCAGTCTTCCACAAAACTTATCTATTCCTGCACAAGCCTGGTAGCTGAGATATGTTTGTTGTCTAATACAATGTCCAAATCGGTAGCTTTCAAGATTTATGTCATAGCAGACCTCGGGAGCATCCTCAGCACTGACACCAAAGATCGCCTTGCAGAGCACATTGCGATCAGTGCAGTTCCCACGATAGCAGTAGCCTTCTTCAGTGCACGGGGTTCCATCTTGCGTATAAACGTTTGCGGGACATGTCACGGTGGTCCCGTGACAGTACTCTGGAAGGTCACATATATTTTGGATAGGTCTGCAGAGAGTCCCTGGTGGGGAGAAGCTGCAGTTTGTACAGCACTCTCCTATATGGCAGATGCTCCCCGGTGTTAAGTGACAGTCACTTTGGCAGCAATAACTGGCATAACACTGCTTGAAGGAGCCACAGTCACATTCCTCCCTCCCCTCCACTATGAGGTTTCCACAGCGAACCGTTGTCATGGTTTCGTTATACACAGGAGCAAGTGTTTCAAAAACACACTGGCCTGAATGTATAAAACAATTTTGTGCATGTCCATAAGAACAGTTACTGAACGCATCTGTCATCCCAGGAAATCGCTGCATAATGCAGGAGGCCCTTCTCTGACATGTGCAGTAGTTATCATCATACTCCAGACCAATACTTCTCATCTGTGTCTGGGTTATTATGACGGCTACCAATAAATAATGTCTGCCTGGAGTACCAATGTGTAACAGGGCTATACGGGAACAGAAGTTATACCTTTCAGGTTCATAGTTAGATTCATGTGGCACGTATTTAATAAGTAGTGTGGATGAATGAACATGAAAAGTATCAAAAAAAGTTGTTTTAAAATAGGTAAACATTGCACTCTGAATTCGATATTCATTCACAGGGGCTGGGTCACGATTATTATATATGGTCAAAAGATAAATATAGTACCGCAGATCAATATTTTGAGCAATGCTGTCAATGAGACTGAACATCTGGACCACCTCTTTGGAACAAGTTGTAATATTGCCATATATGCGATAATATGAATTGGAACATTGAACGTGGCCTTTTATATTGCCTCTATGAGAACTATACAGCGAATTAGATATCCTGGGATTCATGCTGTCATTTGCTTCAGAGAACAGGGGGTCTGTCTCATTGTCATCATCTCTAAATGTGGGCCCTGTTGCGTTGGGCTCGGCCACTATCTGAAAAACAACATGTTCAAACCTGCGGGAATCCTGGAGGGGTTTGATTTCGTACGCAAGGTCGTCCAGCCTCATGATGCCTCTGAGGTCCCCATAGCACGTGTCGACGGTGACCATGGACAGAGGCACCTCCTCCAGGTAGCCGAGGTACTAGCAGTCTGGAGGGATGTAGGGGTCACCCATCTGCAAGACTCCTTGGTCATCCTGAGTTGTCACCAGCAGATGTCTAGGCCAAAGAAGGTGTTTCCTCCGCATGTGAATGACGTGTCTTTGACCCCAAAACACAGGCTGTAGGACAGCCAGCCGGGAAACTGAAGGCCTTTGCTATGGTGTGTCTCCTTCCTGGGAATCACCACCTCGGAGGAGGCGTAGTGCCACAAGGGACGGCCTTGAGAACACCGGACCGGAGCCAGGAGCGCCCAGAGCCCCAGCAGCAAGAGGGGGGTCCTAAGGGTGACCCGCGCCTCTGCCCGCCTCATGTCCCAGCCCAGCGATAGTCATCCAAAGACAATGGGAAAGGAAAGGACTGTCCTGGGCGAAGCCAGGCCCCAACCAGCTGCGGTGGCTGCGTCCCTCCCAGGGAGACCCTGACAGAGAACAAAGGGCCTCCCCAGGCTCCCGCACCACACCCCGGGGGGCACCTGGACTCCGGGAGGGAATGAGGTAACAGTCCCAGGGCGGGGCAGGGGGTGGGCCTGGACAGGACGGCAGCTGCTGCACTGCGGGATGAGGCTGAGGGTCATGGCTGTGAGGCCTCATCGGGGAGGGAAAAGGGAGAGGGAAGCAGGGCTGTCTCTTTTACCACCGTCAATCTTTTCCGTTTCTTTCTGAATCTACAAAATGCAATGATGTGCGTCCAATGCCCTTGCATCACCCGTGTTATTCTCGGTTGCTCTGTGGGTTAATAGTGCTCCTTTCTGTGGCTCACACTGCTTACTCCTTTGTCATGTGGAGGTAGACACTGCCAATATTTTCCTTGGGGACTGAATGTTTTTCTACTCTTAATAAGTACCCATGTCTTATTCTTTTTGTTGTTGTGTTGTTTTGTTGTGGCTTTGAAGTTTTGTTTGAAGTTACCAGATTGTGAAAGGAAAATATCTTGGGCCCCGTCAAGCTGGAAACCACTCAGGACAAATCTGCCTCCCAGTCTATTTAAAGTTGTCCCTCTGCTCACAGAGACAGGTGCATATCCTCATGGCCTCCTTTGCAAACACTTATCAGAAACTCAAAAGAATGCAACCATCTGTCTCTCACCTACCTGTGACCTGGAAGCCCTAAGTGGGGAGGACTTGCTTTGAGTTGTCTCAGCCTTTCTGGATGGAACTAATGTCCTTCTTACTTATATTGACTGATGTCTCATGTGTCCCTGAAATGCGTAAATCAAGATGTGCCCGACCACCTTGAATCCAGAGTTCCTGGATTCACAAGATCAACAGTTGATATAGGGTAACTTTTTCTTCTGTGCTATGTAAAACTCTTGTGAATTATGATACTTTTTACTTAGTCCATCTATTGGGAACAGATGCTATTCCTGACCCCATCAGAGCCCCAGGTGCTGTCCCTCCGATGCTTCTGTGTGGTTCTCTCCTGGTCTTTGGTCATTTCTTCAGATGCAGGAGCTGATCAGCTCTCAGGGAAGGGCACAGGGGGCCCTCTGTGGGTGTCTCATGTCTGAGAACTAACGTTTCACATATTTCTGCCAATTCTGTCATTGCTTATGAGGGGAGGGAAAATCCAAGGCCAGATCATAATCAGAAACACAAATTACTGTTTCTTCAAAAGTGTAAATATTTCCCTTTCCTGGCGAATGTGGTCACTCCATTTAAACTTAACGTGACCGTGGTGTGTTTCGAAGGCTGCGCTGTGTGGCACTTTGTCTTCCAACGCCCCGTACTCCCATCTTCCATCGCTTCAAATCCTGCCTTTTTACCACAGATGAACGATTACTAATGAAGCTGGTTTCCCCTCTACGAGTGTGCAGGTTGAACGCCCTTTCCCTACCCCTTTAAGGCTTTCACAGGGAACAGAAGGAAAATATTTGACATCCCTGAAGGAGGCTGCTAGGGAAGACTGTGTTCCTCCTAAATTCTTGTGCTGAAGTCCCAACCCTTGGTCCTGTCCCCACATGGCCCCTTCCCTGAGATGAGCTCATCTGTCCTCTTCCCCAAGGTGAGCACACCTGTCCCCACGTGGACCTTTCCCTGAGACAAGCACACCTGTCCCCACATGGACCCTTCCCTCAGAGGAGCATAACTGTCCCCATGTGGACCCTTCCTTCAGATGAACTCACCTGTCCCCACGTGGACCCTTCCCTCCAGAGGAGCACACCTGTCCCCACGTGGACCCTTCCCTCAGAGGAGCACACCGGTCCCCAAGTGGACCCTTCCTTCAGACGAGCTCACCTGTCCCCACGTGGACCCTTCCCTCAGACGAGGTCACTTGTCCCCATGTGGACCCTTCCCTCAGATGAGCTCACCTGTCCCCACGTGGACTCTTCCCTCAGATGAGCTCACCTGTTCCCACATGGACCCTTCCCTGAGACAAGCACACCTGTCCCCATGTGCACCCTTCCCTCAGAGGAGCACACTTCTTCCCTGAGAAGGTGGACTCTTCCCTGAGGCAAGAACACCTGTCCCCAGGTGGACCATTCTCTCCGATGTGCACACCTGTCCCCACATGCACCCTTCCCTGAGAGAAGCACACCTGTCCCTATGTGGACCCTTTCTTGATACTAGCACACCTGTCCCCACATGGACCCTTCCTTGAGACAAGCACACCTGTCCCCACTTCGACGCTTCTCTCAGATGAGCACAACTGTCCCCACCTGGACCCTTCCCTGAGACGAGCTCACCTGTCCCTACTTGGATTCTTGCCTTAGACAAGCACCTCTGTCCCCACGTGGACCCTTCCCTGAGAGAAGCACACCTGTCCCCAGGAGGACCCTTACCTCAGACAAGCATGCCTGTCCCCAGGTCAACCCTTCCCTCAAAAGAGCTCACCTGTCCACATGAGGACCCTTCCTTGAGACAAGCACTTCTGTCCCCTCA